>NC_000005.10:114655261-114958291 GCF_000001405.40 Homo sapiens
TCCCATTTTAGAGATAGGGAAACTGGGGTTAGGAAAGTAGACTGAGTTGTTTATGGTCCCACAGCAGACATGTGGTAAAGCCAGGACTTGAACTCAGGCAATCTGACAGCTGGAATTCAGAGCCTTTTACTCTTTATCATTACACTGTGATGCTTTCCAGGGACCACTGCTTACACAAATGCTTATGAATGCAGAGAACATGCTAAAAGAATAAGAAACTGCTTTGCAGTACTGGCTTCTTGGAAGGGAAATTTTGAGTCCAGAGTTAGTTAGTGTATATTGAATACTACTGGTATTGTTAGAATTTTTATTGTGTGTGCCTTACATTTATAAAACAAGAAGTGGGATTTAAATAATATATTTCCTTCAAAACCAACATATGGAGATTATTTTTCTAATGTTTATTCAAAGTGACCCAAACTGTACAGTTAATCAGGCAATAATGAGAAACTTCCCCAAAAACAGATCTCCATCTCTGAGAAGCACTGTTTCTTCTCTCATTTTCTGAAACCAAAGCCTCAGTCAAGCTGCCTGAAGCCTGGACATACTTACAGCACCCCAGAGCACCTCAGGAGGTGGGGTTCTGACCACTCTTACCATACCCACAAGATCAGCTGGCCTTGCTGCAAAAGCCAGAATGATGTACCACTACAGAATCCAAGGGCCAGCTCTGAAAATACCTCTATTTCTTTGTTAGATATTTGCTTAATGTCAGAGATAATTATTAATGACAAATAATGATAAATGCCAGAGATAATGATTAATCTTCATCTATCTATGCTCTCTAGTACTCCTTTCCCTTTCCTCCCCCAGCCAACCTCATCAGCATACACATTTTCCTCCTTGAATGGCAAGGAGTTAAGGGCAGCATTTTGCTCAGGTTAGAGAAGAATTCAACACTGTAAGTAAAATCACTTTCACAGATTGCCACCATACAATCTTGCCACTTAGACTAATTTAATAGAAATTGGAATTAGGTTGTAACCAGAAAGCCAAGTAAGACAAACATGCTATCATAAATCTCTATCAGTAAATGGTTAATACTTGCAAGCACTAAGTCAGAAGATTAGGAGGCTTGTTTACTGAGAGGAAACTGATATCCAGTATTTAAATCCAGTGAGAGAATTACCTGCCCTATATTATGGCTTTGAGTAAATGGAAGTGAGTCATAGATTAGGGATGAGAAAAGTACAGTTTTCAAAAGGTAACACTAAAGATGTAAATTATAGAGAAGTAAAAGCATCTCCATCTCCTGTGTATTCTAGTCCCCCTACTGGTTCTCAACCCTGCACAGTACCATGCTTCTCCCACTAACAGCCAATTGGAAATACATGATAAAATTTATTTAATGGTCATGATGACTGAGAGGCACTACTGGCATTTAATGAACCAGTGATTTTAAATGTCCTGTAATGTGCCATAGAAGAGTCCTGCACAATGGAGAATTTTCCTGATATATCACGAAGACCATCCCTATCGCATAATATGATATTAGGCATCTGTAACACCTTAACTCAGAGCCTCTAGTCTCCAAAACTGCGGATCTATTTACCTAGAATGACCAAATTAACTCTCTTTGTTGGAAAATCATGGTTTCCTCCTCATTTTTTAATTAAGAGGAAAGACTATAATTCAACTATAGTTTGTCCAATTGAAAGGGATGAAAGAGATTTCTTAAGTGATAAGCATATCTGATGGACAGAGAATAATAGAAGAAAAATTCTCCTTAAACACCGGTAAGTCCCTGTGGAATTCTGTGACACAAGGGGACATCAAGTGACTGGATTTGGAAAAGAGGTAGTGGAGGAAAGGAAACAAAGACATCAACCAAAGTAGGTATCATATGTCCTTTCTTCCCTTCTTGATTTTCTCTGCCAATAGTTATTCTGTGACCACTATCTGCAGGCATTGTGTGAGGCACTGTGAAACAAAGATGAGCAGTAAGTGACATAGTTCCTACTCTCATGGTGTATGTATCCTATTGAGGGAGACTAAGAATAAAATCACACAAATTTTAAGCAGATGGATGAGGACCATTGATTCATCCATGGTTGCCAGTCACATTACCCCTAGATACAAGCAGCACCAAGTAATTATTTCTCATACCATATAATTCCT
The DNA here is from genome assembly GCF_000001405.40 of Homo sapiens. Lineage (NCBI taxonomy): Eukaryota > Metazoa > Chordata > Mammalia > Primates > Hominidae > Homo > Homo sapiens. The sequence goes on from NC_000005.10 coordinate 114,657,380, forward strand.
GAGTTTCATTATCAACAAGTTAGTTAGACCAGTTACAAAACTTTTACAGACTCATTTTTTCCTAAGCATGCAAATCAAATGTACATTGCTTTGGATAGCATTGTAGATTCTTAAGTGGTTGGGGCAAAACCTTGTAGATTTTTCAGAACAGTAAGGGCACTTGAACATGACTCGTTGCAGCTCAGTATGAGTCACCAGGGAGGAGTAACCCTATTTCCAAATACAGTCTGAACGACCCTCTCCCACAATAGGCCACAGAGCTGTGAACCACACAGGTGGTCTTGAGATTCCTTGTGGGGCTTTTAAGAGCACTCCTTGTCATTAATTCCGCAAGTGCTTAGAGAATGCAAATTCTAGCCCTTGTTCCATGTAAAAGCCCAAGAATATAAAGATGAGCAACAAACAGCCCCTTCCTTCAGGGGGCTCAGGCTGGAGAAGAAAGTATAATCATACAATATGATAAGTGCATAGGCACGTGATGTCCAGGTCTCATGGAACCCCAGAGGAAGGGATTAGTTACTCTTGCATCATGTTCTGAGATAACTATCTGGTTCCTAAGGAGAATGACTGGAGATGGAGAGCTTCATTTTCAGCCTTTGCTGATATACACGTTTCACGTGATTTGCTTTGGATAGCTATCTCTACACCAAAAGGTCTGGCTTTTTGTTGAGTCTGGATTCTCCAGAAGGTTTCTTGTCCAAGCCTGAGGATGAAGTGCTATTTTAATAGTAAGATTTAACTCAATTCACTCAATGAGGAGTCTGGAGAGTTCTGTGCACATACATGAAGATGACGGTGACCTCTCTCCATAACTTATGAACACTGCCTCCACTCCCAGAATCCTCCACCCCAGCTAACACACACTCATCCATTGCTCAGTGTAGCTGCTGCTACACAAAAGTGAGAAGGGGAGTAAGAACACAGTCCACTCCCTCCACCCTTGAGTTTGCCCAGAAACAACTTAGTGTGTATATCCAGGCAACCAGTACTCAATCTACCAGTTCTCTTGAGGTCAAACTAAAGAACGCTTACTGTCTCCCAAGCCTAGAGAGGCTGCTTTGTTTACTTTTCAGGATTAGTCTCTATCTGGAAGCAGTATGAAGTCATAGCAAAGGCATCCTTTGGTTGTAGGAGGAAAAATCTGAAGAGCTACAGGTTCCACTGGGGATAGAGCAGGAAGAATCCAAAAGACTAAGCTCCATTCCCAGAAATCATATATCTAAGTGGTGAAAACAAGAAACAGTAAGAGATCTGACTTTTTTTTTTTTTTTGAGACAGAGTCTCGCTCTGTCGCCCAGGCTGGAGTGCAGTGGCGCAATCTCGGCTCACTGCAAGCTCCACCTCCCAGGTTCATGCCATTCTTCTGCCTCAGCCTCCCAAGTAGCTGAGACTACAAGCACCCACCACCAGGCCCGGCTAATTTTTTTTTTGTATTTTTAGTAGAGACGGGGTTTCACTGTGTTAGCCAGGATGATCTCCATCTCCTGACCTCGTGATCCGCCCGCCTCAGCCTTCCAAAGTGCTGGGATTACAGGCGTGAGCCACCGCACCCGGCGGAGATCTGACTTTTCTTTAGAGACTCAGGCTTTGTTCCTCACTTCTCCCACTGTCAGCTCCTTGTTTAAATATCTGACAGTTGCTGCTTGGGGAGGCAAATGTAGGTTGGTTCCACCTGGAAGAAGAGCCACATAAGGCAGCAGTGGGCATCACTCAGGCAAAGTGCAGTATTTCACTACCACCCCATGCTGAAACAGCTCATCTGTTTCTGCCAAAATTTTCCAAAATAATTTCCTCTGAAGCTGAAAATGCCTCTGTCTTATTTCAGCCCATTTATCCCAACTGTTACGAAAGGCGTCAAGCAGGGGAGTTAGAATAATGTAAGTGTTTTCTTTAAAAAATTAATACTTTTTCTTTATCCATTCTATCATTGATGGGCATTTGGGTGGGTTCCAAGTCTTTGCTATTGTGAACAGTGCCGCAATAAACATACATGTGCATGTGTCTTTATAGCAGCATGATTTATGACCCTTTGGGTATATACCCAGAAATGGGATTGCTGGGTCAAATGGTATTTCTGGTTCTTGATCCTTGAGGAATCACCACACTGTCTTCCACAATGGTTGAACTAATTTACACTCACCAACACTGTAAAAAATGTTCCTATTTCTCCACATCCTCTCCAGGATCTGTTGTTTTCTGACTTTTTAATGATTGCCATTCTAACTGGCATGAGATGGTATCTCATTACACATGGACACAGGGAGGGGAACATCACACAACAGGACCTGTTGGGGGCTGGGGGGCTGGGGAGCTGTGGCGCTGTGGGGGGATAGCACTAGGAGAAATACCTAATGTAGGTGAGTTGACGGGTGTAGCAAACCACCATGGCACGTTTATATCTATGTAACAAACCTGCAAGTTCTGCACATGTATCCCAGAATGTAAAGTATAATAAAAAAATTTAATACAGCATGTCATCCCAAAGGATTTAGTGACATTAACACACAATATACATGAAGACTATCATGAGGAAGATATTTATATATAAAGTACACCCCCACAAACTTCTGAACAGAGAATTATGCAGCTTTTAACAAAGGGTACCTACAAAATAAGGCAGCTGAAGCAGGGAATCGAAAGGTGGTGATAATGTATCTTGGAAAGTAGGGCTCCAGGTGGCATTATTAGAAATCAAGAATGCAACATTCAGTGTTGAATGATTTCCTTTCTGTCCTGGCTTCCTCCCGGTCCGCCTTTCTGTATGATATCCTGGCTCTTATCTTCTTGCTCAATGTCAGCGCAGCCACTGCTGGTTGGTGAAAGTCATCCCCAGCTCTCATGGAGCAGCACAGAAAAACTGACCCAGCAGAAATGAGATGTGTGGGGAAAAGGACAACTTCCCCCTAATCAGGGAGGTATAAGGTTAGTATTAATGGTGTTAGTATTATGACTTAGGGGGGCTTAAGAAAGGTATATGTTAAGAACTCACTCTATACTCTGGTGGAGCTAATATTACCATGGTCAGAGACCTGGAGCAATAAAGCAGAAGCTCACCCTGCTGTCATCCCAGGGGATAGAAATTCAGTGTGGCCCCTCCTCATGCTCAGATCAAAGACTTGGGAACTTTATCCCAGAGTTTCTGCCCTCTAAACTCCATCCAGCCACCCCTGTCCATCCCATGGCCTCTCAGACACTCATGAAGTAGACTGTTCCAAGAACCTCCCACCTTGACCCCTTTAATCTCATCTCCACATCTCCATCAGTGGTCTTCGACAAAATCAAATCTAATCTCGTCATTCTGTTGCTAAAACTTACTTAATGACTTTCTATCACTAGATAGAAAATAATGACTTTCTATCTAGAGATGGTAAAATCTAAACTCATTCGTTTGGCATCCAAGGACTCTGACAACTCACATAGTCTACTTTTCATCATTATCCCCACATTCCAATATCATAGCCCTTTTCCCATCCCAGCAAACTTCATGCTGCAAGCACTCCAAACTACTCACCCTTGCCCAGAGAAGATCTGTGCTTCTGCGCTTTTATATACACCAGTGCCTTCCCCTAAGACACTCTTTTGCACCATCTGCATCTAGAATTCTTTTTCAAATGTCAGTTTGTCTGAAATCCTTGGGCAGAAATTTTAATTCCCTTTGTAGTTGACTAATTCTTTGTGCATGCCTGTCTTCTTTACACAATGAATAGGGAATTTAGAGCATTCCTCATATCCCAGTACTGTACTAGATGCTGAGAACACAATAATGACTAGAAAAATAAGAATCCCAGCTCCCACTCTCATGGAGCCTACATGGAAGATGCACAGGTCTTGAGTGTAAGCATTATTAAAAGTACTACAGTGGACAGGCACATGGGATTTGAGAAAAAGTAGTAGGTGTAACTGACTTAGGGAGGTCAGCAAAGGCTTTTCTAAATTAGAGATTTTTAAGTTGAGATCTGATGAGAAAACTAGGCAAAAGGGGACAGGAGTTCTATTCTGGGGTCTTTACACCCATTTTATTCCTTGGACTATGTGTTATTCTTCAGCAACAGACATACAATAATTCAGAGTAAGCATTTAGAAGTTTCAAAAGTAATTTGACAGAGTAATTTTATATCTCTTGAATCTAATAAAAAGTAAGGCTTATATTTTGTGTGTCTTTTACTCATTTTATTTTTTTAGTATTTCACTTTTATCGTACTTATAAAAGTATCAGTCTGTGATAGATTAGACATTTAAAAAACCAGCTGGTCTTTTATTTATTTTGAGACAGAGTTTCACTCTGTCGCCCAGGCTAGAGAGCAGTGGCGCGTTCTTGCCTCACTGCAACTTCCTCCTCCCAGGTTCAAGAAATTCTCCTGCCTCAGCCTCCTGAGTAGTTGGGATTACAGGCACACACCACCTCGCCCAGCTAATTTTTTGTATTTTTAGTAGAGATGGGGTTTTGCCATGTTGGTCAGGCTGGTCTCGAACTCCTGACTTCAGATGATCCACACGCCTTGGCCTCCCAAAATGCTGGGATTACAGGCATGAGCCACCACGCCTGGCCTTACAAATGGTCTTTTATCACAGATAGTCTGAGAAGCAATGGCCCAGTCACGAAGAAAACGTGTAAAGAGCTTGCATTGGGACAAACCACAGTTGTGCCAGAAGGAGACATAGTGGAAATGAGCTAAGGCAGGCATGTGGATTCTGAGAATAGTTGCTTACAGATAACGACCAAGGTGGTGATTATTTTTGTAACCAAGTAGGGAGACAGGATGGAAACTGACCAGAAAAGAAGATGAACAAGGACCCAGCACTGACGACCATCAGTATGTAATGGCCTTTAGAGTAAGATGAGCCTCTAAGAGCAAAAAAAGGAGTAGAAGCCAGAGGTTGGGTGACAAGAGGAAGTGTTGAGCCTGAGAAGCCAAAAGAAGAAAGGGTGTCAAGGGGGTGGAGTGGCCTGCAGTGATGCATGAAAGCATGGAGACAAGCTGATTGCAAGTGTCACCTGGATAAAAAGACATAGAGGTCTTTGCTTTGGTACAAGCAATTTGGTGGAGAGGTGGTGGCAATGTGAAAGAGTTAATGAGTGAGGAAGTTGAGAAAAAGAAGACAATAGCAGTAAAAAGAGATGTGTTCGCTGGAGGTGGGTGTGTGTGGACGCAAGAGTTTTTTGGTGATGATCATTGTATTTTTATTTTAATGAGAGAAATATGAACATTTTAAGAAAATACAATAACCCCTGTTGAGAAGGAAAGGTTGAATACAGAAGACAGAGAAAAATACAATAGTTTTTTTTATGAGAAAGTGAGTGGGGTTGTTATCCGAAGTACAAATACATAAGATGGGCTTAATCCCCAATAGTTTTCTTGAAACAATGGACTATAAAATCTAAGCCAGCTAAGGAGGAAGGAAAGAAAGGAGAGATGGATGGGAAGACTAGATGCGTCAAAAGACTGAGATTGTTGTGAGTCTAAAGAACAGTCACTGTGAAAAAGGATGAAGGAGTTAGCTAAGAGGAGAGGGCATTACAGTCAAAGAGGCAAATCTTTGGTTTAATGATTTTTGTTTAAAGAAAATATATACCACTTTATCTTTCTTTTTTTTTAGATATTCTATATTTCTTCAATCTTCATTTTGAAGACCTTCATTTCTTCAAGACTAGAGAGAGGAATCTCTCTGAATTCTTTCTTACTTTCTAGAAGGATTCCCAGTCTAAGCTATGTCAGTCTTTTCCTTTGCTTCTATTCCTTTGTTGACATAGTCGTAAGTGTGGCGTGGTTCACTTGCTCTTATTTGCTATGTCTGTGCATAGATGCTGTGCTGCTTCCCTCTGGATAGCTTCCTCCAGCCAGCTACTGCTCAAGAAGAGGGAGAGGAAGAGTGAGGAGGATGACCTGGGGCCATTCCAGCTTCAGTTTGAGTTTGTTTCCAACACTCAGCTAAACTGGATGTGTCTTGTATCACAAGCCACACACCACCTCAGTGTTCAGACTTTGTGGTGTCAGGAAGACTCACACTGAAGCCCTTTAAGGCCCAGAAACTCTGTCAATCAATGCTGCTGCGCCTTCTCACCCTGCTCACCTAACGCAATCCCCTTGCCTAGAAGGCCAGCCATAAACAATTCTACCTACCCCGCCTTGTTGTAATGTGGAATGAAGCATCTCTGGGGACACTTCTCTTTGGACTCCTAGATCTCATCCATCTAATCAAAGCATCATTAGATGGGCCTTTAAGAATTATGACACTTATGGCTGGGCGTGGTGGCTCACGCCTGTGATCCCAGCACTTTGCAAGCCAAGGCGGATGGATCACAAGGTCAAGACATTGAGACCATCCTGGCCAATATGGTGAACTCCGTCTCTACTAAAAATACAAAAATTAGCTGGGCGTGGTGGTGCACGCCTGTAGTCCCAGCTACTCAGGAGGCTGAGGCAGGAGAATCGCTTGAACCCGGGAGGCAGAGGTTGCAGTGAGCCCAGATGGTGCCTCTGCACTCCAGCCTGGTGACAGAGCCAGATTCCATCTCCAAAAAAAAAGAATTATGACACTTTCTGAGCAGGGATCATAAACCAGCAATCCACAGATATAATCCATCTGGCAGACATTATTTTGTTTGGCCCACACAGTTTTTGAAAGATAGCAACACTTCATATAAAAATCCACCTTTTGAGTCCAGACGCGATGGTTCACACCTGTAATCCCAGCACTTTGGGAGGCCAAGGAGGGCGGATCACCTGAGGTTAGGAGTTTGAGACCAGCCTGACCAACGTGGAGAAACCCCGTCTCTACTAAAAATGCAAAATTAGCCGGATGTGGTGGCACGTGCCTGTAATCCCAGCCACTCAGGAGGTGGAGGCAGGAAAATTGCTTGAACCTGGGAGGCAGAGGTTGCAGTGAGCCAAGATTGCGCCATTGCACTCCAGCCTGGGCAATAAGAGCGAAACTCTGTCTCAAAAAAAAAAAAAAAAAACCGTTTCAACTTCTTTTTAAAAAATCAGATGATCTGGCAATCCTCAGTGGCAATTTTTCTGCATGGCAAAAATTACCTGGATGTGAGCTATGGCTGTCCTCTTTAGATGGGCTTACCATTTACTTGCCACTCCCTATTCCAAATTGCCTTAAATTCTGGCCCTGTGAGCATGTCCTGGTCACCCGGCCCCAGTGTTAGAGGAGCTATGTAGTATTGCCCTGCTAACCTTTCCCTGAGTTCATGTTTCACTCTGTTTGAGAGATAATTTTTACAGTTTTTGTTTTGGGTTTGTGACTGTGCTTTTCACTTTACTTTTCTATTGAGGTGGATTTTTTCTCTATTTTTTGTTATTTTAATTTTTAGGGTTAGCTTTTTTTTTTCTTTTTTTTTTTTTGAGACAGAGCCTTGCTCTGTCACCCAGGCTGGAATGAAGTGGCGCCATCTTGGCTCACTGCAACCTTCACCTTAGGGTCATCTTTTCTATTTGTTATTCCTCTTATTTAGGGTATTTAAAGGGAGAGTAATAAAATATAGTATATATAATAACAATTACATATATTATAATATATAATTCCTTATAAAAGCCTGAAGTCTTTATCTTTTTGCTATTTTCTATTTCAAAGAAAGAATTATCAAAACAGATAGCAAGATGTTTGCATATCAAAAATAATGAAATTGTTGATAAAGTGCTATAAGCCCTCCAAATAATGTTAGCATAATATCACAAACAAGAAATAAGTAGTGGTCTATGTATTAACAGAAGAATCAAGTAACAGACCAAAAGGAACTTTCAGCAAACTTTTCGTTCATTTTTCTTCGATTTCCATGGAAATCTAGATATGCAAAGAAAATGTAAATAGATTCCTTTCAGAAAACATTTAAACATAGCATCAAAGGTGAAGGAATTTATAGAGAGTTCACTCTGAGCTGCAGATAATCCATGGATAGACTTCAAGATGTATGACAATCCCCTGAGCATTTGTAATGCTATGCAAGTGGATTTAAACATTTTGGGTGGGATAGAATCTGTATTTTCTCAGAGTTCAACTCTATCCCTTTCCCCTAGCATCAGGGTGCAAGTCCCCTCAGTAGTGGCCCTGCCTCCATTCTGTCTCCTTTACAGACTCTTTGTTAAATAGAATCAGCTAATGTTCATCCATTCAAAACCTTCCAATGGCTTCCCATTGCACTTAGAATCAAATGCAAACCCCTATCATTACCTTCAAGGTCCTAAAGAGGCAACCACTGCCCTCTCTCCTTTTTCTGAGTCTTCTCCCATTTTCGCTCCCTTCCTCACTATGCACCATCTGCACTAACCTCTCCTTTCTGTTCCTGAACAAGCCTTGTTTGCTCTGGCCCTAAGGCCTTCTCACTTGTTGTTTGTAATGCCTCTCCCCCAGCTCTTCGCAGGCTGGCTCCTCCTGTCATTTGGCTCTCAGCTCAAGTGTCACTGTGCCACAGAAGCCTTCCCTGTTCACCTGATATAAAGTGCCCTCTGCACTATCCAGTGCAGTATTCTTTCTTATGTTTTTCATGTCACTCATTACCATCTGATACCTTCTTGCTCATTTACTTGTCTGTCTCTCTCTAGCAATATTGTTTCCTTGAAAACAGAGACCATGTGTTTCATTTTCACTATCATATCCCCAGCTCACTGACTGAAGGACTGAATTTTATAGGTGACTTAGGTGGGACTTAGAGAAAATGTTCCATGCAAAGTCCCAAACTACCTTGTCAGAGGCAGATATTATCATGTAATCCACACCTCCTGAAATCACTTCGGAAACTTCTTCATAATCCTTTAGTTCAGTAAAAGAGAAATTCAACTAAGAATAGTTAGACTGTAATGGAAAGGTAAAGATAGATACTGTGGGCCAAATTTAATGTTGTTGATCTTAATGAGATTTTTATTGTGTAAGACCGTACCACATCATAATATATGTTCATATTTGGCAATGACGTCTTTTCAAAGCAAAAGCACTTGGATTTTAAAGGCTGCCCACTGATTGAATTAAATTTAATAAGAATTATTTAGGAGTAGTCTAATCAACAGATAGTCATTCAATTTTAGTACATTTACCATTATAACTGAATGCAGTATTTGTTAGCAGCATTTGTAGAAGCAGTATTTTTAATTAAAGAAATGGCATGCAGTCCTGTTATTTAGCATCCACATGGTTCTTCAATTACTTAAGTAAATTCATGATATAGCAATATGAATGCTATTAAAGTTAAATATATATGATTTATTTGACTTCCTAAGAAGTTAAATTGCTAGAGTTCAGATTTCCTTTCTCAGACTCCAACAAATAACCAATTAACTGCCAGGGTTGCTAATTGAGAAAATTACTCCTGAATGACTCCAAGGCCAGATGAACCCCTGTGAGCTGCTGATATGAATCTTCCCTTAGACAAAAACTCAGAGCAGTCTTCAAAGCTGAGAACTATGGTGTGGTAACTCACACAAGTGTACAGGGGGAAAAACAACCAAATAAAGTAAATGTTTGAAATAAACATCCTCTCCAAATCCTTTACATCAGATTAATCCTCTCTTTTCCGGGTAATCCCAGCCTTGCCGATGCTTCTGTAACAGAATCCCTTTCAGATTAGGTACTACATTATTTGGTTTACACTTCACATCTTCTCCACAACTGAAATGAAAACTCTGTGAACATCGAATCCAATATCCTGTATTATTTCATAATGAAAAAGTCTAGGCATAATAGTGAGCACTTACTATGTTGCTAATTCTGGCAATTTATTGTCTTGGTTCCTAACCATTATTGCATAGGCCACATCTCATATGAAGATAAAATTTCAATGCAAATGCTTTTGACAGACTTGCCAAAGCTTGATTAATGATTGCTTACTCATAGTATTCAGGTAAAATGTTAAAAAATGCTAGTTTATGAACTATGTTTATAACAACTATCATTCTTATAATAATGATTCTTATACTCCTTTACTGCCATGGAATTGGAATTTAAACTCTTCTGCTTGCCATGATGTTAGTTAACATATCATATATAAGTACAAGAAAGCCTGGGAAGTCACATAAGAAAAGCCTAAAAGAAATCTCTTCTGCAAATTATAAGTCAGCCAGCAGGATTCCCCAGCCAGAAAGCAAGAACGGAAGTATATTTTATATATATCTCAGAACCTGAGAGTCTGTTCTTTTTCTTCTTTTACTCTCTAGTCAAATTCAACATTTCAAAGCAGTTGGGTATAACAAAGAGAATCCAGAAGAATTGCGTATCCACTTCCCTACCTCTTTCTTCAGCGAGTCCAGTGTGGAGGAGAGTGAAATGAGAATTTCTTTATTCGTTTAAAAAAAAAAAAAGTCTTTCAGAGCTCCTAGCAGGTGCAGTTAACTGTGGCTGGTACCTGCTGCTGGTTGATCACTTTCCCTGCAGCACAAGAGAGGGGGGAGAAGGGGATACCTGATCAGATAGTTTTCCTCTGACTTCTGAAGTATCTGTCCTGGGAAGGCAGAGGTTCAAGGTCACACCATTTGAGGCAACCCAGGAAGAGGCTGTCTCAGCAGGTTTCTTGTAAAGTATAGAGATAATATTACCAAAAGACACAAAATCCCCCAGGAGCAAAGTTAACCTGAAGGAGCAGTTCAAGTATTTTGCTTTGGGTTGGATTTAATGTATGGAAGTGTTCAGGCCACATTTTGAACTGAAGAGTTTTGAAAGGCCCGGTTGCTTCCCTCCCCCAACACATCTCCTTAGACAATAAACTTAAATTGTCTATGCTATAGTTACCTTTTGTTTGATATGTTACTTCCTAGGAAGTCCATGTTAACATACAACTGCAACCCAGATGTTAGATGAGAATCCTCTCCATTCCAGCTCTCCTTAAGCCTGGCTGGGACTGGCTTTAATGCGGCTGGAAGAAAGGTAATAATTTATTAAAGATTTCTGCTAATACTCAAAGTGTTTGGGGGTCCTTTTGGGCTCATCTGCTCCATGGTGACTGGCTGAACCTCCTCCCCTCTACCTTTGGCTTTTGTATGACTCTCGACCTTGTAAAGTTTTACTCTCACGCCCATACACAATCCATTCACCAAGCACTTTGGGGGTTCAGCCAACTTTCATGTGAAGATTTGGGTGACATCATAGAGCACAGAGCCTTCTGTTAGATTCTCTCCAATCCTGTTCTTTCCTCCCACCACCTTCACTTCTTTCTGTCTCTTTCAGAACAAAAAAAGTGGTTTCTCTTTGCTTAGTCATAGCTATCTTCTGAGCATTCCATGTTTCAGCACGCCCTAGTGGATATATTCCTTTTCTCCAAGCAGGTTATCAAAATATTTCTCCTGAAGTCAGACCTTTCTCTAGCAGGAATTCTGTTCAATATTTTGTTCACCTCTTCAGTTTTGTACCCCAATGTGATAAAGGTAACCATTAATACTGATACACTGGTTGATAAAAATCAGTAAAGAGAGTTTAAGGGAATGGGAATGTGAACTTTCATGAAAGATACAGACAAGTGAAGCCACCAACCCAGAGCCTCAGAAAGATAGAATAAGATACTGAGAACACTGGTGGGAAGCCAAATCTCACCTGCTTCTCAGATTTACCACTGGATGATCCAAACCATGATTCTTGAACTTTCTACATGACATCATTTCTGCATCCTGGCTTTTTAGAAGAGAAAACTCTAACATGCAATAGCAAGCCAATACATCTAAAATCATCTAAATATGAAAAGCCAATACATCTGAAGTCATCCTTATCATCCTACATGAAACAATAGGAGAGTTTTTTTTTATTTTTTTTCTAATTTTTTTCCAGTTTTCTAATGAAGATTAGGGCAAGCTGCAAAGCCATTTACAACCTATCCCCTATTCCAGCTTTGAGCCACAAATGTTATAGTGCTTCATGACCAGCAGCCCTGTGCTAATATTGGTCCCCCAAACACTGTGCTGCCTCAGGTCTTCCTGCTTTCTCTGGGATGCTGCTCTGCCTGGACTGTCCTTTCCTACTGCCCAGACCCCAAAACTCAAATCAATTGTCTCCTTTCCTGAAAAGGCTTTTCTGGCCCAACCTCCTTCTGTAATGCTTATGGCTCCTTTAACTACCTACATAAGTTTTTTTCTAGCTTTGCACTTTCGAATTATGGTATGGTAATTCTTTGCTCACATGTCTGCTCCTGTGCTACAGGGTGATGTTTTTGAAAGTACAGGTAGCATCTTACTCATCGCCACATGCCCAATTCCTAACACAGGTTCATTCACAGAAAGTGTCTGATAAATGTTAACTGAATATATTTCTCCCATCTTCATAAACTGTTTAAGGAAGAACAGCATTTTCAATCTTTTGCAGCTCCCCACCCACCCAGTTATAATATTTGCAAATCACTTTTAAATTATGATAGTGTTATACAAGATGTATGAGAGTTAAAGCCACACTCCAGGGACACACAGTTGCCCTAATCACAAATGCACACTCCTACAAGGACAGCTACCTTTAATCTGAGAGGCCCTGTTCTAGAGGAAGAACAAGTCATGCAGCTTTCCATTCATAGTTTGGTCAACAGCAGAGGTTTTCCTAATTAGCATAAACAATCTCAAAATTACACTTATATAGTGGAAAGGAATGATATTAGGACTTGTGGATTGGGTATGTATTTTTGAGATACTCCTTAATTGTGAAAAATAGACTATAAGAATCTAGTGTCTCTCTAACCTATATCCTTAGGAATGGAGAATACCCAAACTTTGATTCCAAAATTGTTTGGTGTGCAGCCACTGGTATTGAAAAAAAAATCTGTTTCCTAAAAATTAACTACAAGAGAAATAGATTGCTGTCTCTAGAATATTATGACTTCTTCATCTGGTGAAACTTTTATAGTGGTGGTCAAATACCTTACAGGACAGAGACTTTGAACATTATCAAGTATATAAAATATTGTTCGGAATATTTTGTCTGCTTGCGTGTAAATGCTTATTGAATAAGTGTTTATATGTAATATAATTTGATCTGACATTTTTCTTCTTTCTAAGCTGGTAGCCAAGTTGTTGGTAAATAACTAGCCCTTACTCACCTCAAATTTGTCTTCATTGGGAGACTATCAAACTTCTGGGAGACTATCATTATCTGCCAAAAATAATATATTTTTATTTCGTTGCACGTGCTTTAGATGCCATATATAAGAAGTCACTGTCTAACCCTAGATTATGAAGATTTATACCTATGTTTTATTCTAAGAGTTTTAGAGTTTTACCTCTTATATTTAGGTAGTTAATTTCTATGTATGGTGTCCAACTTCATTCTTTTGCATGTGAATATTGAAGTTGTCTCAACACTAGTTGTTGAAAAGATTTTTTTCAAATATCCTGGCACTTTGTCAAAAATCAGTTAACTATAACAAGTGTGAAGATTCATTTCTGGACTCTCAATTCTATTCCTCTATCTGTATGTCTGCCCTTGTGCCTATACCACACTGTCTTGATTACTATAGCTTTGTAGTACGTTTTGAAATCAGGAAGTATGAGTCCTCCAACTTTGTCATTTTCAAGACTGTTTTGGTGGAGGAGCCAAGATGGCCAAACAGGGACAGCTCCGGTCTACAGCTCCCAGCGTGAGCGACGCAGAAGACGGGTGATTTTTGCATTTCCCTCTGAGGTACTGGGTTCATCTCACTAGGGAGTGCCAGACAGTGGGTGCAGGTCAGTGTTGCGTGCACCGTGCGCGAGCCAAAGCAGGGCGAGGCATTGCCTCACTTGGGAAGCACAAGGGGTCAGGGAGTTCCCTTTCCTAGTCAAAGAAAAGGGTGACAGATGGCACGTGGAAAATCCGGTCACTCCCACTCGAATACTGAGCTTTTCTGACAGGCTTAAAAAATGCCATACCAGGAGATTATATCCCGCACCTGGCTCGGAGGGTCCTACGCCCACGGAGTCTTGCTGATTGCTAGCACAGCAGTCTGAGATCAAACTGCAAGGCAGCAGCCAGGCTGGGGGAGGGGTGCCCACCATTGCCCAGGCTTGCTTAGGTAAACAAAGCAGTGGGGAAGCTCCAACTCGGTGGAGCCCACCACAGCTCAAGGAGGCCTGCCTGCCTCTGTAGGCTCCACCTCTGGGGGCAGGGCACAGACAAACAAAAAGACAGCAGTAACCTCTGCAGACTTAAATGTCCCTGTCTGACAGCTTTGAAGAGAGCAGTGGTTCTCCCAGCACGCAGCTGGAGATCTGAGAACCAGCAGACTGCCTCCTCAAGTGGGTCCCTGACCCCTGACCCCTGAGCAGCCTAACTGGGAGGCACCCCCCAGCAGGGGCAGACTGACACCTCACACGGCCGGGTGTTCCAACAGACCTGGAGCTGAGGGTCCTGTCTGTTAGAACGAAAACTAACAAACAGAAAGGACATCCACACCAAAAACCCATCTGTACGTCACCATCATCAAAGACCAAAAGTAGATAAAACCACAAAGATGGGGAAAAAACAGAGCAGAAAAACTGGAAACTCTAAAAGTAAGAGGGCCTCTCCTCCTCCAAAGGAACGCAGTTCCTCACCAGCAACAGAACAAAGCTGGATGGAGAATGACTTTGACGAGCTGAGAGAAGGCTTCAGATGATCAAATTACTCCGAGCTACTGGAGGAAATTCAAAGCAAAGTCAAAGAAGTTGAAAACTTTGAAAAAAGTTTAGAAGAATGTATAACTAGAATAACCAATACAGAGAAGTGCTTAAAGGAGCTGATGGAGCTGAAAACCAAGGCTTGAGAACTATGTGAGAAATGCAGAAGCCTCAGGAGCTGATGCGATCAACTGGAAGAAAGGCTATCAGTGATAGAAGATGAAGTGAATGAAATGAAGTGAGAAGGGAAGTTTAGAGAAAAAAGAATAAAAAGAAACAAGCAAAGCCTCCAAGAAATATGGGACTATGTGAAAAGACCAAATCTACGTCTGATTGGCGTACCTGAAAGTGACGGGGAGAATGGAACCAAGTTGGAAAACACTCTGCAGGATATCATCCAGGAGAACTTCCCCAATCTAGCAAGACAGGCCAACATTCAGATTCAGGAAATACAGAGAACGCCACAAAGATACTCCTCGAGAAGAGCAACTCCAAGACACATAATTGTCAGATTCACCAAAGTTGAAATGAAGGAAAAAATGTTAAGGGCAGCCAGAGAGAAAGGTTGGGTTACCCTCAAAGGGAAGCCCATCAGACTAACAGCAGATCTCTTGGCAGAAACTGTACAAGCCAGAAGAGAGTGGGGGCCAATATTCAACATTCTTAAAGAAAAGAATTTTCAACCCAGAATTTCATATCCAGCCAAACTAAGCTTCATAAGTGAAGAAGAAATGAAATACTTTACAGACAAGCAAATGCTGAGAGATTTTGTCACCACCAGGCCTGCCCTAAAACAGCTCCTAAAGGAAGCACTAAACATGGAAAGGAACAACCAGTACCAGCCGCTGCAAAATCATGCCAAAATGTAAAGACCATCGAGAAAAGGAAGAAACTGCATCAACTAACGAGCAAAATAACCAGCTAACATCATAATGACAGGATCAAATTCACACATAACAATATTAACTTTAAATGTAAATGGACTAAATGCTCCAATTAAAAGACACAGACTGGCAAATTGGATAAAGAGTCAAGACCCATCAGTGTGCTGTATTCAGGAAACCTATCTCATGGGCAGAGACACACATAGGCTCCAAATAAAAGGATGGAGGAAGATCTACCAAGCCAATGGAAAACAAAAAAAGGCAGGGGTTGCAATCCTAGTCTCTGATAAAACAGACTTTAAACCAACAAAGATCAAAAGAGACAAAGAAGGCCATTACATAATGGTAAAGGGATCAATTCAACAAGAAGAGCTAACTATCCTAAATATATATGCACCCAATACAGGAGCACCCAGATTCATAAAGCAAGTCCTGAGCGACCTACAAAGAGACTTAGACTCCCACACAATAATAATGGGAGACTTTAACGCCCCACTGTCAAAATTAGACAGATCAACGAGACAGAAAGTCAACAAGGATACCCAGGAATTGAACTCAGCTCTGCACCAAGCAGACCTAATAGACATCTACAGAACTCTCCACCCCAAATCAACAGAATATACATTTTTTTTCAGCACCACACCATACCTATTCCAAAATTGACCACACACTTGGAAGTAAAGCTCTCCTCAGCAAATGTAAAAGAACAGAAATTATAACAAACTATCTCTCAGACCACAGTGCAATCAAACTAGAACTCAGGATTAAGAAACTCACTCAAAACCGCTCAACTACATGGAAACTGAACAACCTGCTCCTGAATGACTACTGGGTACATAACGAAATGAAGGCAGAAATAAAGATGTTCTTTGAAACCAACAAGAACAAAGACACAACATACCAAAATCCCTGGGATGGATTCAAAGCAGTGTGTAGAGGGAAATTTATAGCACTAAATTCCCACAAGAGAAAGCAGGAAAGATTCAAAATTGACACCCTAACATCACAATTAAAAGAACTAGAAAAGCAAGAGCAAACACATTCAAAAGCTAGCAGAAGGCAAGAAATAACTAAAATCAGAGCAGAACTGAAGGAAATAGAGATACAAAAAACCCTTCAGAAAATTAATGAATCCAGGTGCTGGTTTTTTCAAACGATCAAGAAAATTGATAGACCGCTACAAAGACTAATAAAGAAAAAAACAGAGAAGAATCAAATAGATGCAATAAAAAATGATAAAGGGGATATCACCACCAATCCCACAGAAATACAAACTACCGTCAGAGAATACTACAAACACCTCTACGCAAATAAACTAGAAAATCTAGAAGAAATGGATAAATTCCTTGACACATACACTCTCCCAAGACTAAACTAGGAAGAAGTTGAATCTCTTAATAGACCAATAACAGGATCTGAAATTGTGGCAATAATCAATAGCTTACCAACCAAAAAGAGTCCAGGACCAGATAGATTCACGGCCAAATTCTACTAGAGGTACAAGGAGGAACTGGTACCATTCCTTCTGAAACTATTCCAATCACTAGAAAAAGAAGGAATCCTCCCTAACTCATTTTATGAGGCCAGCATCATCCTGATACCAAAGCCAGGCAGAGACACAACCAAAAAAGAGAATTTTAGACCAATATCCTTGATGAACATTGATGCAAAAATCCTCAATAAAATACTGGCAAACCGAATCCAGCAGCACATCAAAAAGCTTATCCACCATGATCAAGTGGGCTTCATCCCTGGGATGCAAGGCTGGTTCAATATACGCAAATCAATAAATGTAATCCAGCATATAAACAGAACCAAAGACAAAAACCACATGATTATCTCAATAGATGCAGAAAAGTCCTTTGACAAAATTCAACAACTCTTCATGCTAAAAATGCTCAATAAATTAGGTATTGATGGGATGTATCTCAAAATAATAAGAGCTATCTATGACAAACCCACAGCCAATATCATACTGAATGGGCAAAAACTGGAAGCATTCCCTTTGAAAACTGGCACAAGACAGGAATGCCCTCTCTCACCACTCCTATTCAACATAGTGTTGTAAGTTCTGGCCAGGGCAATTAGGCAGGAGAAGGAAATAAAGGGTATTCAATTAGGAAAAGAGG
Organism: Homo sapiens; assembly: GCF_000001405.40. Taxonomy (NCBI): domain Eukaryota; kingdom Metazoa; phylum Chordata; class Mammalia; order Primates; family Hominidae; genus Homo; species Homo sapiens. The sequence continues at coordinate 114,674,936 of NC_000005.10, forward strand.
AAGTCAAATTGTCCCTGTTTGCAGACGACATGATTGTATACCTAGAAAACCCCATTGTCTCAGCCCAAAATCTCCTTAAGCTGATAAGCAACTTCAGCAAAGTCTCAGGATACAAAATCAATGTACAAAAATCACAAGCATTCTTATACACCAATAACAGACAAACAGAGAGCCAAATCATGAGGTAACTCCCATTCATAATTGCTTCAAAGAGAATAAAATACCTAGGAATCCAACTTACAAGGTATGTGAAGGACCTCTTCAAGGAGAACTACAAACCACTGCTCAAGGAAATAAAAGAGGATACAAACAAATGGAAGAACAGTCCATGCTCATGGGTAGGAAGAATCAATATCGTGAAAATGGCCATACTGCCCAAGGTAATTTACAGATTCAATGCCATCCCCATCAAGCTACCAATGACTTTCTTCACAGAATTGGAAAAAACTACTTTAAAGTTCATATGGAACCAAAAAAGAGCCCGCATCGCCAAGTCAATCCTAAGCCAAAAGAACAAAGCTGGAGGCATCACACTACCTGACTTCAAACTATACTACAAGGCTACAGTAACCAAAACAGCATGGTACTGGTACCAAAACAGAGATATAGATCAATGGAACAGAACAGAGCCCTCAGAAATAACACCGCATATCTACAACTATCTGATCTTTCACAAACCTGAGAAAAACAAGCAATGGGGAAAGGATTCCCTATTTAAGAAATGGTGCTGGGAAAACTGGCTAGCCATATGTAGAAAGCTGAAACTGGATCCCTTCCTTACACCTTATGCAAAAATCAATTCAAGATGGATTAAAGACTTAAAGGTTAGACCTAAAACCATAAAAACCCTAGAAGAAAACCTAGGCATTACCATTCAGGACATAGGCATGGGCAAGGACATCATGTCTAAAACACCAAAAGCAATGCAAACAAAAGCCAAAATTGACAAATGGGATCTAATTAAACTAAGGAGCTTCTGCACAGCAAAAGAAACTACTATCAGAGTGAACAGGCAACCTACAAAACAGGAGAAAATTTTCGCAACCTACTCATCTGACAAAGGGCTAATATCCAGAATCTACAATGAACTCCAACAAATTTACAAGAAAAAAACAAACAACCCCATCAACAAGTGGGCAAAGGACATGAACAGACACTTTTCAAAAGAAGACATTTATACAGCCAAAAGACACATGAAAAAATGCTCACAATCACTGGCCATCAGAGAAATGCAAATCAAAACCACAATGAGATACCATCTCACACCAGTTAGAATGGCAATCATTAAAAAGTCAGGAAGCAACAGGTGCTGGAGAGGATGTGGAGAAATAGGAACACTTTTACACTGTTGGTGGGACTGTAAACTAGTTCAACCATTGTGGAAGTTAGTGTGGCCATTCCTCAGGGATCTAGAACTAGAAATACCATTTGACCCAGCCATCCCATTACTGGGTATATACCCAAAGGACTATAAATCATGCTGCTATAAAGACACATGCACACGTATGTTTATTGCAGCATTATTCACAATAGCAAAGACTTGGAACCAACCCAAATGTCCAACAATGATAGACTGGATTAAGAAAATGTGGCACATATACACCATGGAATACCATGCAGCCATAAAAAATGATGAGTTCACTTCCTTTGTAGGGACATGGATGAAATTGGAAATCATCGTTCTCAGTAAACTATCGCAAGAACAAAAAACCAAACACCGCATATTCTCACTCATAGGTGGGAATTGAACAATGAGAACACACGGACACAGGAAGGGGAACATCACACTCTGGGGACTGTTGCGGGGTTGGGGGAGGGGGGAGGGATAGCATTGGGAGATATACCTAATGCTAGATGACGAGTTAGTGGGTGCAGCGCACCAGAATGGCACATGTATACATATGTAACTAACCTTCACATTGTGCACATGTGCCCTAAAACTTAAAGAATAATAGTAATAATAAATTTTCAAAAAAAGATTGTTTTGGCTATCCTGGGTCCTTTGAATTTCTATGTGAATTTTAGGTTCAGCATGTCAATTTCTGAATAAAGGCCAAACTGGGATTTTGGTAAGGATGGCACTGAGGCTGTAGATAAATCAATTCAAGGAGTATTGACATGTTAACATTAAGTCTTCCAACCCATGAATGAAAGTCTTCCAACCCATATTTTTCCATTTGTTTAGTTGTTCTTTAATTTCTTTCAACAATTTTTTTTTGTATTTCAGAGTATAAGTTTTACATTTCTTGTGTTAAATTTACTTCTGTGTATTTAATTCTTTTTGATGCTATTTGCAAATTGAACATTGTTAATTTTGAGTTATTCATTGCTAGTGTCTAGAAATACAATTGTTATTTGTATATTGATCTTGTACTCTGCGAATGTACTGAGCTTTTTTATTGGTTCTAATAATTTTTAGTAGTTTCCTTAGGATTTTTTATATGTAAATTCATGTCATCTGCAAATAGATATAGTTTATTTTTTCAAATACGGATGACTTTAATTTCATTTTCTTGCCTAATTGGTTTGGTGAGAACCTCTAGTGCATCTTGCTCTTTTCTTGACATTTTAAATCCTGTATCAGTGGTCAGTCTATCCCCCCTTCAATCTACCTGCTTTGGATACTCTTAGCCAGATTGACACTTGGGAATTATGAAAACAACTGACTTAAAAGTTGGGGAATCAGCTACTGGGCAATAGTGTTAGAGGATATTGTTCTATGCCTGTGTTGTCCTTCTCAGACTCACTGGATTTTTAATCTTCTCATCTATAGAATTGGAGGATCCAGCTAGATAGTCTCTAATGTGGCAAATGAGTGGATGACCTCAGTCTAGCTTGGTAGGGAGCCCTGTAGTGTGCTCACAAGGGCAGCTAGAGAAGGCTGTAGGAAGAGAATGTTCTAGGGCTTCTACTTGTTGAGGATACTGGTATGGCCTCTACTGTGTTCATTCTGTGGTGCTCAGCACACTTAACATATTTAATAGTTGTTAATATTCATAACAACTCTCCTATAAATGACACCTGGAGGAGGATGAAGATCAGGGAAATTAGGATGTCGCCCCAAGAATGCACTGATTTTAATCAATTATTTAGGGAGTAACTTCATCTCATATACCTCTTATGCTTACATAAAACAAAAAAATCTTTGACTCGTTGGACTCACTTGAAAACTTCTGTTGTGATTTGTTCAAGCCAAGTAACTTTTGATTAATGAGAAGGCTGGGTTACCTAGGACCTTTTTAGGTTAAGCCTTAGGCTGTGATTGGCATTTTATTTCTTGCAGTTTTTGCTCATCTGCATATGTAGAAGGGACTGTGGGAGTTTGTGCAGGGAATACAGCAATGTGGTCTATGTAATTACTATGAGTACTACTTAGTGACTTGGTGGCAACCGACGAAGTAATCCGGAAGTTCTGAATTTTCATTTCCTTTTAAAATCATATCGTTGATTTCATCTGGATCCCGTTTCAATTTATCCTATTTGTTAAGCTTCTATCCCATGGTTCAAATACGTGTTTCAATGACCTTAAAAAATTTGATCAATCGTAACTTTTAGATTATTTTTGGCATATAATGGTAACTTCTCAGAAGGCTGAGGTGTGTGAAAGTTAGCTATTTCCCAATAACTTTACTATCAGGTTGTAAAAAAATTATAGGACTAAATCTTCTAATCTTGGGTGAGTTAAGCCTTCTTAGATATAAAACCAAAAGCACAAGCAAAAACAAGGAAAAAGATAAATAATGCTTCATCAAATTAGAAATGTTTGTGCTTCAGAAGATACCATTAAGAAAGTAAAAAGACAGAATAGGAGAAAATGTTTGGAAATCATGTATCTGACAGGGGACTTGTATCTAGAATATACAAAGAACCCTCACAACTCAATAATAAAAAGACAAATAATCTAGATTTTTTTAATGCAGCAATGATCTGAACAGACATTTCTCCAAAGAAAATATATGAATGGCCAATAAGCATATGAAAAGATGCTGACATCATTAGCCATCAGGGAACTGCAAAGCAATATGCAATGAAATACCACTTCACACCCACTAGGAGCCAGTAACAGGGTTGAGAAAATTATTTAGAAGGAATTACACCTGATAGAGGTAGCTTCTTTATCCAAAGTGAAGCATTGAGAATTCTCTGGCCATTGTTTCTTAGAATATTACATGTTTTAAAGTCCTTAGATGCAACAGAAATTTTTCTACTTGAGCGTTTTTGAAAACATTCTTAAATCAACAAGTGTTACATTATGTGTAAAGGGATTTTAAAATTATATAAATGTTCACTGTCAATCACATTTCTTCCTAATAATGAAAGTAAAATATACAGTGCTAACTGATCACCCCTTTACTTTGGATGGATTTCCTCTCTCTGATAGCCGTCGATGCAGCCGCTGCTTGTTATCTCAGTGTGATACTTGCTGTCACTTTACGGCCTTGTTGACATAGCTGGTCCCTCTCAGAACTTGGTTTGCAGTCAGGATAAACTGACAGTAGGTGCATCGGTGGATCTTTAATTGTCACATCCTGAAGGTCTAACATCTAGGTTTCCTGTCATATTATCTAAAGGCAGGGAATATGTTGTATTTTCTTCTAAATTATAACTGATTTTCTATAAAATGTAAAGATCCATATGAACATGATTTAAATAAATATAAACTCATGGGATATTTAGGATGGCTTTCTGCTAATTTTCAACTACAAATATTTACTGCAAAGTATACTCCCAAATTTCAAAACCAGAACTGAACTACATGTGACATTCTACATACCTAAACTATTATGCTTTTCATTATGTATCCTTTACTGGATAATACCCATGGTTCATTTATGACTTGACCTCTGACAATTCAGACTTACAAGATAGTTTGTATCAAAAGTTGGTACACTTTTTCATTCTGACAACGGCTGTAATTATGCAATGGCTTTATTAAGATGTTAGCTGTTAACATACACACAGATAGCCTTTTATATTTGGCCTTTCTTGCTTTCCTACTATATTTATTTTATTCACCTTGCACCTAGATTTTCCCTCATCTCATCATTTAAAAGCAATACATAAGCCATGCCTCACCTGTATTTTTTCTAGAACATATTTTCCTAACTATTGTTTTCTTGCTAATAATTTCCTCATACCTTGTTTCTAAATTTTTAAAAATTATTTTCACCTTGATCTGCAAGGTCTTTCATCCCCACATCACTCCTATTGGTCTGTGCCTTACATCTATTTATAATTGAGCCTTTTTCGCTATATAGTAACTCTTAACATTAGACTTAATCACTTTTATGTTGAGGCTAAATATTACAAATAAATGTAAGCTTTACTAAAATATACATTTTGAAAATACATTTAGCCTAAATATGATAAAGTTTTAAGAAAAACTACAAGCTATAGGAGACCATGTTCTTAGCTAAGGGAATACTATACTTTCAAATACAGAAGCAAGGAATAAATCTAATTGTCTTGGGATGAGAGAGAATTACACAGAGGTCATAAGTGCCCAATAAAGACCAACTAGAAACCATTCAAGTTCTGACTTTTAAAAATAGCATAAGTAAATAATACCATAAACAACAAAAGACAACAACAAAATATTTGGAACATATAACAGAAATAAAGTTATTATCCTTGATATATAAAGAATTCTTATAAAACCAAAAGGAAAATGTCTATTAAAAATAGAAAAGGATACTGATGAGCTAAAATACATATAATTGGTTAATAGTCACATAAAAAGGGTTTAGCCTTACTAATTATCAAATACAAGTTAAAATGATAGATTTTTATTCTCAGACTGGGAAAGGTAAGAAAAATTGAAAATCAGAATGTTGATTTTTTTTTTCAGTTATCAATGCATAACAAATTACCCCGAAATTTGACAACCTAAAATAACAACTGTATTCTGCTAACAGATTATATGGGTCAAGAATTCTGAAAAAGCACAGGGAAATAGCATGTTTCTGCTCCACAATTTCTGGAGCTTCCTGCAAGACTCCAAAGATGGAGGTGACTCAGCAACTGGGGCAGGTATCACCTGGAGGTGTCACCACTCACAGGAGTGGTGGTTGCCACCGCTGGCTGGGAGCTCATCCCAAACACCCTCCTGTATCCTTTCCATGTGGCCTGGCATGGAGGCCTCCCCCTTTTCACATGGTGGTCTGGGCCTCCAAAACTATCCTTTTCTTATTTTTCATAGATTTTTTTCCTTTTGGTTTTGTAAGACTTCTTTATGTATCAAGGATAGCAAAGTTTTATTTTCTGTTATATGTTCTAATGAAAGTAGATGGAAATTGCATCACCTTTTATAGCCTAACCTTGGGAGTCACGTAACATAAAGTCTGCTGAAGTCGCAAATCTGCCCAGACTCAAGGAGAGGGAACAGACTCTGTCTCTGGATGGGAGGAATGCTAGAGTCACATTGTATGAAGACCATGGGGGATGGGAAATATTTCTGTGGCCATACTTAGAAGATTAACTTGGAGGAAGATTCCTGGTAGCCTCAATTCACTTCCTGAATGTTCTACATCATCCAGAATTCCCTGATGGAGCCTGGCGGAATATTTGGAATGGCAAAAACAAACAACCCCAATCAAAAAGTAGGCTAAAGATATGAACAGCCACTTCTCAGAGAAGACATTTATGCGGCCAACAAACGTATGAAAAAAAGCTCATCATCACTGATAGTTAGGGAAATGCAAATCAATACCACAATGAGATACCATCTCATGCCAGTTAGAATAGCAATCATTAAAAAGCCAGGAAACAACAGATGCTGGAAAGGATGCAGAGAAATAGAAACGCTTTTACACTGTGGTGGGAGTGTAAATTAGTTCAACCATTGTGGAAGACAGTGTGGCGATTCCTCAAGGATCTAGAACTAGAGATACCATTTGACCCAGCAATCCCATTACTGGGTATATGCCCAAAGGATTAGAAATCATTCTACCATAAAGACACATGCACACGTATATTTACTGCGGCACTATTTACAATAGCAAAGACTTGGAACCAACCCAAATGCTCATCAATGATAGACTGGATTAAGAAAATGTGGCTCATATACTATGCAGCCATAAATACTATGCAGCCATAAATAAAGATGAGTTCATGTACCTTTGCAGGGACACGGATGAAACTGGAAACCATCATTCTCAGCAAACTAACACAGGAACAGAAAACCAAACATCATATGTTCTCACTCATAAGCGGGAGTTGAACAATGAGAACACATGGACACAGGGAGGGGAACATCACACACTGGGGCCTGTTGGGGATTAGAGGCCAACGGGAGGGACAGGATTAGGAGAAATACCTAATGTAGGTGACAGGTTGATGGGTGCAGCAAACCACCATGGCACGTGTATACCTACGTAACAAACCTGCACATTCTGCACATGTATCCCAGAACTTAAAGTACATAAAAAAAAAAAAAAAAATCCTTCTTCCTCTAAATTTTACACCACCAAATCCATCATGGTCTAAATCCTTTCTTTCCCCAGTGAATCTGAGTTAATAGACCAAAGTTTATGTAAGATGAACACTCAAAATACTGATTTCTACGGGACTGCCAGCCATTAGAATAGGTAGCTTTCACTATAATTCACTTAGATACACAGTAACAGGATATTAAAGCTGTTAGAAGATGCCATGAAATGAGAAAAGTCCTTACAAATTAAGAAATATTAATAACAAAAAAAGTAGGACAGAAGATCGTTATTTTTAGTTGAGCAGTAAAGCAGCAGGGTTTTGGCGAGAGGATCTAGACATAAAGCAAACGTGCTAACTCTCTGGGGCTGTGTGGGATTTTCTCAGGTACTCTGATTCCAGCTCCACCTTTCTACATACTTCAGAAGGTGGTCTCATCTCTGGGTTAGATTACAGCCTTGCTGACATTTAATTTATCTTTTAAAATATAAAATAGAACTGGAAATCTTGAATTTTTCCATACTCCAAAGAGTATTTTTATTTATTTTTTCAAAGGCTTTCTGAAAAATTCACCTATGAATCTGCACTAAGGGGAGGAGGAAGAGAAGAGAGTTCAAAGCACATATAAACTGAGAGGCAATCCAAGTATCATTATGTCAAAAAGTATGGAACAACCAGACTTCACAGTTTGTTCCTTAAACATTGTTTCTCATTGTTGTTCGTTGTGCACTGAGGCATCATCTACCCTAACTCTTGTCATCATCACAAACTCATCTCTCTCTCCACACTTCTTAGTATATTTGGACATAACATAGCACACCTCTACCCTCACTCTTGACTCTAAATTTTAACCTGACCCTTCAGGTCACCTTTCTCTGAAGGAATATTTCCTTAACAAGAGAACTGGTAACATTTCAGGTTGATATGGTGAAGGTACTTAAACGTGTATGAGCCTTGACACCAACGATCAGATTCTAACATCATGCTTGATACCTGATCCATTTATTCACACAGAAGTAAAATTTCAATAGAACACAGATTCAACTTTTAACACTGCCAAACATAGCTGCAGAAAGATGAAATTCCTGAGTGTATTTGTTCCTAGATACTAACACCTTACCTATGAAAACAGTGCATTCAGTTGTTAACTAGAGCTGTGTGTACACTGAGATATGTTGTTTTTTTCCATTTGGTAGAAATTTGAAAAATTCAAACTGTGGGGTTGGATTCCAAACACATTGGGTCCTCTCTATACTTTAGTTCCAAGATATTTCATATTGCTGAAAAGTTCAATTTTGAAATTTTCCAGACTCACCCAAAATAAGAATTGTGCAGGTAATCAATTGTTAGCAACAAAGTAAGGGCTGGTATAACTGCAGGCATGATGGTGACCAATTTTTAGAGAAAAAAATAATTTCTTCATTGCCCCAAGTATTTCCCAACTAACTTTCATCATGGGCATATGCTTTTTCCATCTCCTGGGTCTGAGATCCCCAGTTGTAATTACTTCTTTGAGTTGGGTCTTAAAGAAGTCACTAAAAAGACATAGCATAGAATTTTAGAAATGGCAGATATGCTAGAGAGTATCTAGCCCATTATTTATTTTGACAGACACAGAAGCTGAAGTCCAGAGAGGCCATGTGACCTGTGCAAGGTCACCCAGAGAAGCAGCAGTGTCATCCTTACACCCTGATATAGAGTTTCTGAGTTCCAGTATTCTTGATGTATGTGCAAGGGCCAAACAGAGCTTCTGGCACAAAGGGGCCTCAACACAGATTGCTCACATCACTATATGTTAGTGGTTCTCAAGTGTGTTTCACCCTTCCAAACAGAAGGATCAGCATCACCTGGAAACTTGTTACAAATGGGAATTATCTGGCTCCACCCAGACCTAGTAAATCAGAAATTCTAAGGGTGGAGCCCAACAATCTAAGTTTTAATAAGCTTTCCAGATGATGTTCATGCACACTGAATTTGGAGAGTCATTGCTCCAAGTGAGGCTTTTCATACCCTTCCCTATGTCAGGGTGCTTTATCCCTATTCTCACCAGAAGCCTGACACAGTAAAGAATTTACTTTTACTGAAACTTCGTATGAAATGTGTTAATATCTCTCAAACTTTAATATGAATAATAATTATTTGGGAGTCTGTTAAAAAGCAGATTTGGATTCAGTAGGTCTGGGTAGGACCCGAGATTCTGCATTTCTAACACACTCAGGTGTGACGTTAATATTACTGGCAAGGACCATACTTAGAGCAGCAAGGTGGTATAGTTCATTAGCCTCAACTCATATCAAAATTTGGGGCCAAGTATCTTGGATTGAGGATGAGTGAATACTGTTATCCCACCATTTATGTGCTCTTTCATTGTGTCAGTATCACTGACGTCCCAGAGTCCTCCATAAAGAAACCTTTATCTTGAACACGTTAGTAGTTATGAGGTAGCTGTCTAGTCACAGTTGTTGTGCTTTTAGAACAAGGAATAGGACTGAGGAGGACCTGGGGGAGTTTAGGGCTTCAGTCAAAGCAGCAGCCTGAAAGAACAATGTTCTCAGGAGTCTCTGAGTCCCTGCGAGAGAGTTCGGGAGAAGAGACATGGTGCCAAAAAAGGAAAGTTGGGAGGCACCTATAACAAGCACAACTGACTTCACCATTTTGCCAAGGGCCAGCTCAGGGCAGTGGTGACAAAGAATGTCATTTAACTCTACATAATTTTATTTGAGGCAGGGACAAAACCGAGCATGACAGAATGCCTTCATCCAGGCTGTTTCAATTTTTATCTTAAAACCACCCTGTGTTGTGATACACAGTGACCTCAGCTCCGCCTTATTTTCCTTTTTCTTATTTATATTGGTAACTTTCATGAGAAAAATATTTTCTCCACAGTTCTTAATAAAGAAGCAGCCCAAGTGCCCAAAGTCCAAAAATGCTGTTGGATTATATGCAAGGCAGCATATGACACCGTGAATTATTGATTGATGTCCCAGTGATGGATAAATGTGTACTGTGTTAGAAGGCTCAGCACCAGCATGACAACAGGGCAAGAAAGGCTTCCACTATCTAAGAGTTGTAGGCACTAACAAAGGGACTTATCCTCTCTGGTTCACAGGCCTCCATTTTATCCTGAGTTTGCACACTGCTTCTTGCTCCTGACTTGCACATCTGGACATTTCCTGGCATTTGTATAGCACAAAGGTCAGATGGACATCATGATTAAAACCTCATTCATGGGAGAGAATGCGAGGGCAGGTCCCTGACTCCCATTCATGGACAAATTGAAAGCTAGACACACTGTGGTTCACTCAGAGAAGATTCAGTGTCACAGGCCAAATTACTACTGCTCTCCTGGCTGACCCCACGTAATAGGTCTCAATACAATGATATCCCAGAGCATATTAATGAGGATGGCCCCCATCTTCCAACAGAGTAAGACTTCTAATGCCAGGTGGTCTCTGTGTCAAGAACAAAGTAGGAAAATATCACCTGTCTTACCTTCCAAGTGAATTGGATAACAATGAATTTGTTGGCACATTAAATTTAGTTGAATTTCACTATTTCTGTTGCTACAAAATAAATAAATGAGATGGTCAAGACCAGAATATCCCCTTATTGGTTGCTCTCTCTATATATATTTTGTTTCTTTTGAGACAGAATCTCGCCCTGTCGCCTAGGCTAGAGTGCAGTGGTGTGATCTTGGCTCACTGCAACCTCTGCCTCCCAGGTTCAAGTGATTCCCCTGCCTCAGCCTCCCAAGTAGCTGGGATTAAAGGTGCATACCACCAGGCCCGGCAAATTTTTTGTAGCTTTAGTAGAGACAGGGATTCACCACATTGGCCAGGCTGGTCTTGAACTCCCAACCTCGTGATACACTCGCCTCAGCCTCCCAAAGTGCTGGAATTACAGGCGTGAGCCACTGTCTCCAGCCTGGTTGCTCTGTATTATGTTAGTTGGTGACTTGAATTTCTTATGAGCCTAGAACCCTGAATTTATTCTCCTTGGTGGTGGTTCAGCAGCTGACATTTATGTCAATTCTTTCCCAGGCCAAAAGAGTCTCTTTGCCTTTCCAAATATTCTGCCAGGCTCCATCAGGGAATTCTGGATGATGCAGAAGATTCAGGAAGTGAATTGAGGCTGCCAGGAATCTTCCTCCAGGTTAATCATCCCTGTAGACTAAAGAAGCAGGCAGGCTGGCTGAGTAATGCAGATAAGCAGATGGCATGGGCACAAGTTAAATGAGCTGCATATTGGCTTCCAAGTTCTCTTGCAACCAATGCCATCAAAACAACGTGATATTGCTGCAGATTTCATTATCAACTTTATGAACACCATCATGAGAGAGAAGGGGAGGATGAATTCAACACTTCATTATCTTTTAAATGTGAAATTCCTTTTGACAACACACATCAAAAATAGTTAAGAAAATAAAATCTTAAAGATATTTTCCAGTATGTTCTTAAATTTCATAATTTTTAAAATATTTTTTATGGAGATGATTAGGATTCCAAGTAATGTCTTAAAATTGAAGACGGTTATTCAAGGCAAATAGGGCCAAACACTATATAAAATTTTTTACTATGCAGTTACTAATAGACAAAAAAGATTTTATCTGGTTGTAGATAGATGAGCTTAGGAAATGAAAGAAAAAAAATTACACATTTCAGCATAATGGAAAACACTGTTTCTTCCTAGGGAGTCCCATGATTTTAGCCTATCTCAATAAGTTCACAAATACAAAATAACTTTAGGGGCTGGGCGTGGTGGCTCACACATGTAATCGCAGCACTTTGGGAGGTTTAGGCGGGTGGATCACCTGAGGTCAGGAGTTCAAGACAAGCCTGACCAATATGGTGAAACCCTGTCTCTATCAAAAATACAAAAATTAGCTAGGCCTGGTGGCATGCAACTGTAGTCCCAGCTACTCAGGAGGCTGAGACAGGAGAATTGCTTGAACCCGGGAGGTGTATGTTGTAGTGAGCTGAGATCGCACCACTGCACTCCAGCCTGGGTGACAGAGCGAGACTCCCTCTAAAAAATAAACAAGCAAACAAAAACAAAATAACTTTAGGGTCACCATTTATCATTAGATAACTTAGATCAAACCTGAAGCAGGGAGTTATAATTATCAGTCTATATTGAGTTATATATAGGCTTGGAAAACAACGATGATGGAAACTTTGTGTACTGGTTAGTGTATTGCCCCAGGAAAAAAAAAATCTATTAGTTTGAGTTTTTTTTTAATCACTTTATGAAAAGAGTTGAAAAGAAAAATGTTTTGTTTGTCTTCATGTATGTTGTTTCTCACTCTGAAGCACCAAAAGCGGCCAAGTACCATAACCAATAGGAAAGGATCCAGCCCTTTAATACACAATGAGATACACTGAGATTTATAGGTCCTGATACTGAACATTCTTACTTAGTACTAGAGAAATTATCTATGTCATTATAAAGGCTTTACTATTACCTTGAAAATCTGTAAAGTCTAGAGCAAAGTGGAATTTTTGCAAAAAAAAAAAACAACAACACAGCAATCACAAGTAGGATGTTTCAAGAACTAGGGAATCCATATAGCAAGCAAAAGTCGGCATGACTTTAGGGAGTATGTTCTGCCAAAATACAATCTTTCTACAAACCAAATGTATTACATAAAAGCAAGCAGTATTCATTGATTCCATTGATTTGTCCACAAAATTTTGTCGAGCATCTGCTATATGCGAATATTCTGTTGGATGCTGGAGATACAAATGTATACAAATGATACATCTATTATTTTTGCCTATGCAGCAAACATTTTTCTTTCTTTGGATAACAGCACTCTGTTTCCATGAGGAATTACTTCATACCTATGCTTATCAGAACAATGAAAGCCCATCACCGTCCTCCCCCATCATCATCATCACAGAAGTGGACACTTGGCCCATGGTAGGCCAGCCAGAGTACCCACTTTCCCTGGAGACAGTAATAATTGGCCTACAGATGGGAATATGTCTTAGGCCAGGCCAGTTAAAGCCTTGATGTTGAAAGGACACAATCCCTAAACTGCTGTTTACCATAGCTGCCAAAACATGAAAGTGTTTATGAGAACAAAACTGTTAGTGAGAGGTGAGAAAGATAGAGACAGAGGGTGCTGATGACATTCAAGTCCCTGAAGTCATCAGAATTTCTAGAGCAGCTAAATATTCTGTAACTTTTCCTTCAGTTCTGTGAGCTACACCTGTGGCTTTGCAAATAATTTTCCTTTGTGTTACATTTAGTTTGATTTGGGTTTCTGTCTCTTAAAACCAGAAAAGCTCTGGTTACTTAAACCGGGATGCCAAACAGTTTATTTTCTTCTGATATTATAATCTAGTGGGAAAAATTACAATTAAATAATAAGTAAACCTGTAGTTCAAGGTGTGGTAGCACAGGCATACCTCTGAGATAGTGCAGGTTTAGTTGTAGACCACCACAATAAGGCAAGTATTACAATAAAGCAACTCCACACCACTTTTGGTTTCCCAGTGGATACAAAAGTTTTGTTTACACTAGACTGGAGTCTATTAAGTGTGCAACAGCATTTTGTCTAGAAAAACAATTTACATACCTTAATTTAAAAATACCATATTGCTAAAAATAAAAAAGCTAACAATCCGAGCCTTCAGTAAGTCATAATCTTTTTGCTGGTGGAGGGTCTTGCCTTGATGTTGATGGCTGCTGGCTGGTAAGTGTGGCTGCTGGCAATTTCTGAAAATAAGACAATGATGAAGTTTGCCACACTGACAGACTCTTTGATTCATGAAAGATTTCTCTGTAGGAAGCAATGCTATTTGATAGCATTGTATCCACATTAGAACTTCTTTCAAAATTGGAGTCAATCCTCTGAAACCCTGATGCTGCTTTATCAAGTTTATGTAATATTCCTAATCCTTTGTTGTCATTTCAACAATGTTCACAGCATCTTGACCAGGAATGGATTCCATCTCAAGAAACCACTTTCTTTGGTCATCCATAAGAAGCAACTCTTCATCCATTCAAGTTTCATCAACGATTGTAGCAATTCAGTCACATCTTCAGGCTCTACTTCTAATTCTAGTTCTCTTGCTATTTCTACTACATCTGCAGTGACTTCCTCCACTGATGTCTTGAACATCTATAAGGTTTAGAATCAACTTCTTCCAGACTCCTGTTAATGTTGCTATTTTGACCTCTTCCCCTGAATCAGGAATGTCTTAATGGCATCCAGAATGGTGATTCCTTTCCAGGATGTTTTCAATTTACTTTACTCACATTCATCAGAGGAATCACTATGCCAACTATAGCCTCAAAAAATGTATTCCTTACATAGCACGACTTAAAAGTCAAAATTACTCCTTGAGTCATGGGCTCCAGAATGAATACTGTGTTAGCAGGCATGAAAAATACATTAATCTCCTTGTATATTTGCATCAGAGGTCTTGGGTGATCAGGTGATTTGTCAATTAGCAGTAATATTTTAAGAGTTTTTTTTTTTCCTGAGCAGGTCTCAACAACAGGCTTAAAATATTCACTAAACCATGCTGTAAATAAATGTGCTATCAACCAGGCTTCATTGTTCCATTTATAAAGCACAGGCAGAGTGAATGTGGCATAATTCTTAAGGGTTCTAGGATTCTAGGAATAATAAAAGAGCATTAGCTTCAACTTAAAGTCAGCAGCTGTATTAGTCCCTAACAAGAGGGGTGGCCCATCCTTTGAAGCTTTCATGTCAGGCACTGTCTTCTCTCTAGCTAAAAATGTCCCAAATAGTATCTTCTTCCAATAGAAGGCTGTTTTGTTACATTGAAAATCTGCTGCTTAGTGCAATCACCTTCAACAATTATCTTAGTTAGATCTTCTAGATAGTATGCTGCAAATTCCACAACAGAACTTGCCACTTCAACCTTGGACTTTTATGTTGGAGTGATGGTTTATTTCCTTAAACCTCATGATCCAACCTGTGCTAGTTTCCTGTTTTTCTTCTGAAGCATTCTCATCTTTCTCAGCCTTCATAGAACTAAAGAGAATTAGGGCCTCTTGCTCTGGATTAGCCTTTGACTGCAGGGTATATTGTTGCTGGTTTGGTCTTCTTTCTAGACCACACGGCCTTTTTCCGTATCATCAATAAGGTTGTTTTGCTTTCTTATAGTTTGTGCCTTCACTGTCCTAGCACTTTGAATTTCCTTCAATTTCCCTCTACATTCATAACTTGGCTAATTGATTAGTGCAAAGACATCTAACTTTCGGTTTTGACATGCCTTCCTCATAAGTGTAATCATTTTTAGCTTTTGATTTAAAGTGAGAAATGTGTAACTCTTCCTTTCCCTTGAACACTTTGAGGCCACTGTGGAGTTATTAATTGGCCTAATTTCAATATTATTTTGTCTCAGGAAATAGGGAGGCCTGAGAAGGGAGAGATAGGGAAATTTCCAGTCTGTGGAGCAGTGAATTAAGTTTGCAGTCTCACATGGGTATGGTTTATGGCACTTCAAAGAAATTGCAATTGCAATATCAAAGATCACTGATCACAGATCAGTATAACAGATACCATAATAATTAAAAAGTTGGAAATGTTTCAAGAATTACCAAAATGTGACACAGAGGCATAAAGTGAGCCCATGCTGTTGGAAAAATGGTGCCAATAGACTTGCTCAACACAGGGTTGCTACAAACCTCAATTTGAAAAAAGCACAATACAACAAATATGCCTGTATTGTGAAGGGACGTGACACAGATTCTAACACTCCACATAGCACAGTCATTAGAAACCTAGAAAACAAACTTGAAATTAGTGCTAAGCGACCCGCAAACTCTACCAGTCTTACAACATGACCTGAAGTTTAATTTCAGAAGTCTTTTTAGAGATGACTGGTTTCAATCTGTTAGGCTCAGGAGCCCCATGGTAACTCTGGCAGACAAAGGGTAATGGTCAGTTAATTTGCCTGACAGGCAACTGTGCTTTCTCCAGGGAATGTGTTAGTGGCAAACTGGCCATCAGCCTGAAAGAGTTATTGTTGGCAATTAAAATAAAGAATTAAACATTTATTCCACCTTCCCTTGAAGAAATATATTTGGAGGTAACCATATAGTCTAGTTAACCAGAGGAAAAACTTTCCTTACAGAATAATTCAAGCTAACTGATGCAAAAAGATAAGCAGTATTAGAAAAGTACCCATTTTACAACCTCTGCAACAGTAGCCAATGAATAAAGGTATTAGATAAAAGGAGGATGGATGATTGCAATGGATAGACCAGCTGTTACCACCTGAACCAATGATCTATTTTAGCATGCTTAAAAATGAGAAAACCAGACACTGTGCATCAGGATGGGATGCAGCATGAAGCACAGACCAATCTGGGAGGTGTTCTTCCCTAAACAGGTGAACCAACATCTAATCAAGCCTGTAGGCACCTCCCATTCACTGAAAGGGAGGATACAGAGGGTCAAGTTGAACATCAAAAAGTAGCAGACAGACAAATCCAGAGGGAAAAAATTCTAAAGAACTAAATCAGTTTCTTTAAGTCACTTGCAGAAGGTAAATAGGAGGGAGGAGGAAGAGTAAGATCACTTCCAATTACAGAAATTTAAGGGAAAGAACCACCAAACTAATGTGTGAACCTTGTTTTTCTCATTATTCAACAAAACCAACATAAAATGACCCACAGTGACAACAGGAGGAATATGACTGGGAAATAGGTATTCTGTGAAACCAAGGAACTTTGACAGGTATAGTAACAAGATTGTGGTTATGTTGTGGTCCATATTTTTCAGACAGGGATACTGATGTGGGAATTAAATGAGATGATACGTGAGGTTTGCTTTAAAGTACTTCGGCAAAAAAAAAAAAAAGGAGAGATAAGTATGGCAAACTGGGAAAAATCTTGATAAATGATGAAACCGAGTGACTGAAAAGTAGAAATTCCTTGTACTATTCTCTCTTCTTTTCTTTTTTCTTTTTTTTTTTTTTTTTTTTTTTCAGACAGAGTCTCGCTCTGTTGCCCAGGCTGGAGTGCAGTGGTGTGATCTCGGCTCATCGCAAGCTCCGCCTCCTGGGTTCACGCCATTCTCCTGCCTCAGCCTCCCGAGTAGCTGGGACTACAGGCGACTGCCACCACGCCCGGCTAATTTTTGTATTTTTATTAGAGACAGGGTTTCACCGTGTTAGCCAGGATGGCCTCTATCTCCTGACCTTGTGATCCACCTGCCTTGGCTTCTCAAAGTGCTGGGATTACAGGCATGAGCCACCGTGCCTAGCCTGTACTATTCTCTTTAATATACATTTGAAATTTCCAAACACGTTTTTAAACTTTTGTTTTGTACAGAAAAAGCATCTCTAATTTAACAAGCGTAATATTGAGAATCACTGTGAGATAAAACATATATTGCAATTAAGCAACTTAAAAGTCAGTCAAGAGAAAACAAGAGAAGCCAGCTTTCCAAAATATCTTACTCAATAACAAAAAATAACCAGAGCACTGCACCAAGATACTGCACTGTGTGACAATTTTTAGCTTTTGAAATTTCATCCAGGAAAAATACCCTTTAGTCGCACATAAATAATAAAAGATTTAAAACACATGCAGATAACATCTTTCCCAATTAAAAAATATTTTTCATAAAAAGAAAACTTTATAAACTGATCTTTATATACAATCTTATTCACAAAAAGAAATGAATATAAACAAAGTCATTATCAGTGAAGACATATAGAGCAATTTGATCAAGAAAGAAACCATAATCTTTGTACATCAAAAAACATCAGGTTTGCAGTAAGAGATGTGGCAATTTTAAAGGAAACTGAGATAAGCTCCTTGTTAGCAATGTCGTAGTTACAAAAGCAAAGACAACAGCCAGCAGATCTGCCCAGCATTTTTCCTTGAAATAAAATTTGAAATTCATAAGGACATATTTATTTAGCCCATCAGAAGAATGTTATTTCTACAATGTTACATAAGACTTTATAAAACACGTAACACTGCTCTCTTCTTCAAAGAAAAGGTGGATGACTGTTCTCCATGACTTAAACACTACCTCCCTACTGGTCAAACAGTGACCTAAAACTCTCTGGGTGTCCCACCCATCCTGCACTCTGTAACCTCTACCTTGGAACAGTGGGTATCACATACATAGCTGTCCAACACTCAAAAATAATAAAAAAGCTTCTTCTTAAATTCCTCTCTTCTTTGAGGTAGACAAGAAATACTCAAAAAGGTTTCAAGTATTCAGGCAGTATTTCATTAAATGACAACAAAACAGACTAAAAACAAATTTGGCCAGAATTTTATCACTATTACAAAAACAAATAAACAAAAAAATAATGTTGCAGGCAGACATCTAAAGAAAATGCAAACAATTCTACAATTTGGCCCCAAATATTCTCTTCTTCTAAGAGAAGGGCTTTTAGTTTGGCACTAAATTGCTTATATAATGAAAATAACAAATTATTCCACAAGTCTAATGTGTGACAATGCTTGTTCCAATGGATAATGTATTTCTTTTGAGAAAGAAAAAAAACTTGTCTTGAAAAAGTAAAAAACAAAACAAAAGAAAACCCCAATCATTTACTAAAGCTAAGCATTAGAATAACATCTGTCATGTTTTTTCTAGTCTATTATGACTACAACTATTAGAAATATTGAATTTCACTAGGACAGGAATTTTTCACATACCTTAATGTTTCCTATCTCCAGGAGTGTGTCGAATTGGAAAATCTCCTAACCTTTCTCTCCTCCTCTTCTCATTTGTTTCACTCCATGAGAAGAAGAGACGCTAATTTTTGAGACAGTGATAACAAGATCCCCGTAACAGGGAGAAGGAGTGAATTATATCAAACATTTGGGGAAGATATAATGCCAGTTTTAAACAAACTATTTAAGAACATTGAAAAGGATGAAATTCTTCATAAATATTTCCGTGAGGCCAGTGTTAGCCTGACCAAAATAAAACCCCCAAAATGAATAAATAAAAAGATAGAAGAAAACTAAAGACCAAACATGCCTCATAAACTTACATGTAAAAAACATGAAGTTTAATAAATCAAATCCAAAATTGTATTTTAAAAGAACATATTATAACCAGTGGAGTTTATTCTAAAGCCTCAAGTCTGGTTATACATTCAAAATCAATATAATTCACCATATTAACAGACTGAAAAAGAAAAATCAAATGATCATCTCAAGAGATGCAGAGAAAGCATTCAACAAAATACAAAATCTTTTTTGATAAAAACTTTCAGCAAACTAAGAATAAAAGGGAACCTCCTCAACCAGTAAAAAGAATCTATGAAAACCCTATAGCTAAACTCCCAGTTATTATTTAAAGACTGAATGCTTTTTCTTTAAGATCAGGAAAAAGAAACAATGCCTACTCTTACCACTTCTATTCAAAATCATATTGGGGGTTCTGGTCAATGCAATAAGACAAAAAAATGAAACTTATCCAGGCTGGAAAATAATATATAAAATAGTAGTTTTTCAAAGATAACCTGATTGGATTCTGTAAAAAATCCCAAGAAATCTATATTTTTAATGTCTTAGAACTAATGAGTTTAACAAGGTGGGAGGATACAAGATCAATATACAAAAATCAGCAATCAGAAATTGAAACTTAAAAATACTATTTACATAGCATCCAAAACTATGAAATCATTAAAGATAAATATGACAAGAGATGTGCCAGATTCCTACACTGACAACTGCAAAGCATTGCTGAGAGAAATGATTTAGGTCTTCAATTTCTAATCTACCATGAAAATTTCAGAACCTTTCCACTTTGATCCACAGCTCTCACCCTATATACAAATTAACTAAAAATTAATTTGACCTATTATAAACCCAAAGACAAAAACTGTGGAAGGAAACCAAGCAGCAGAAAATCTTTGTAAATGTGAGTTAGAGAAAGATTTCTTAGATACAAAATGAAAAGCGTTGAGAGGTGACAACATGCTAGCAGCCCTTGCTCACTCTCAGTGCCTCCTCAGCCTTGGTGTCCAATCTTGCCATGCTTGAGGAGCCCTTCAGCCCGCTGCTGCACTGTGGGAGCCCCTCTCTGGGCTGGCCGAGGCCAGAGCCAGCTCCCTTTGCTTGCAGGGAGGTGTGGAGGGAGAAGCGCGGGCGGGAACCAGGGCGTGCATGGTGCTCGTGGGCCAGCCTGAGTTGAGCTCCTGGTGGGCGCAGGCTTGGTGGGCCCCGCACTTGGAGCGGCCAGCCGGTGCCACTGGCCCTGGGCAGTGAGGGGCTTAGCACCCAAGCCAGCAGCTGCGGAGGGTGCTCCAGGTCCCCCAGCACTGCCGGCCCACCCACGCCGCAATCAAATTCTCACCGGGCCTCAGCCACCTCTCTGAGGCGGGACCTACAGCCCGCCATGCCCCTCCCCTGCCGTGGGCTCCTGCAATGCCCGAGTCTCCCTGACAGGCTCCCGGTCCCATCGACTGCCCAAGGGCTAAGGAGTGCAGGCGCACAGAGGGGGACTGACAGGCAGTTCTGCCCGCGGCCCTGGCACGGGATCCACTAGGCGAAGCCAGCTGGGCTCCTGAGTTGGGTGGGGTCTTGGAGAACTTTTATGTCTAGCTGGAGGATTGTATATGCACCAATCAGCACTCTGTATCTAGCTCAGGGTTTGTGGATGCACTAATTAGCACTCCGTATCTAGCTAATCTGGCAGGGACTTGGAGAACTTTTATGTGTAGCTAGAGGATTGTAAATGCACCAATCAGCACTCTGTCTAGCTAAAGGTTTGTGAATACACCAATCAGTGCTCTGTGTCTAGCTAATCTAGTGGTGACTTGGAGAACTTTTATGTCTAGCTAGAGGATTGTAAATGCACCAATCAGCACTCTGTGTCTAGCTCAGGGATTGTAAACACACCAATCAGCACCCTGTCAAAATAGACCAATCAGCTCTCTGTAAAATGGGCCAATCAGCTCTCTGTAAAATGGACCAATCCGCAGGATATGGGTGGAGTCAGATAAGGGAATAAAAGCAGGCTGCCCCACCCAGCAGCAGCAACAGGCTTGGGTCCCCTTCCGTGCTGTGGAAGCTTTGTTCTTTCACTTTTTGCAATAAATGTTGCTGCTGCTCACTCTTTGAGTTCACGCTGACTTTATGAGCTGTAACACTCACCGCAAAGGTCTGCAGCTTCACTCCTGAAGCCAGCGAGACCATGAATGCACCGGGAGGGATAAACAACTCTGGACGGGAGGAACGAACAACTCCAGATGCGCCACCTTTAAGAGCTGTAACTCTCACCGAGAAGGTCTGCAGCTTCACTCCTGAGGCCAGCAAGACCATGAACCCACCAGAAGGAAGAAACTCCAGACACATCTGAAGGAACAAACCCTGAACACACCATCTTTAAGAACTGTAACGCTCACCACGAGCGTCCGCGGCTTCATTCTTGAAGTCAGTGAGACCAAGAACCCACTAATTCTGGACACAGCGTGATGCATAAAAGAAAGTGTGAATAAATTTGTCTTTATCAAAATGAAAAACTTCTGTTCTCTGAAAAATGCTCTTAAGAGAGGGAAAAGACATGCCACGAACTGGAAGAAAATATTTGCAAATCACATATTTGGTAGAAGTCTTATAAATAGAAATAAAGAACTTTCAAAACACAAGAAAATGAACAACCCAGGTTATAAAAAGGCGAACAAGTAAGCTCGATGTCATCAGTCATTGGAGAAATGCAACTTAAACTCATGAAACACCACTGCACGCCTATTTAGAATGCCGCAAACCCAAAATACTGACCAAACAAAGTTTTGGAGAGGATGTGGAACCACTGGAACCTGCCTACACTGCTGGTGGAAATGTAAAATGGAGCAACCACCTTGGAAAACAAGTTGCCAGTTCCTTATAAAGTGAAGCATATACCTATTATCTGACACTGCTGTTTCACTCTTTCAGGATGTGTTTTAAGCAAGGTTCCTGCCAATAATAAAGACACAAACTGGAATATATGTTTTTCTTCCACTGTGGAGATTGTCATCTGGCACATGAACCTTGGAATTGTTGCAGATGTGGTATGACCATGAGTGATGATGTAACCACCAAGCCAAGGATGGCAGAACTCAGAGATGGAAAGCTTCAGGTGCTCAATGGCTTAGCTGAGTCCTCAACTCACAAAGGTTTGTTTCTTGTTTTGTTTCTCCACATTTCTTGTCACATATGAAAATAATCCCTTTTTAAAATTATCTCCCTATTACTTTGGTTAGGCCTCTGATTATTTGTAGTTTAACACTTTTTTTTTTTTTTTTTGGAGACTGGGTCTTGCTTTGTTGCCCAAGATGAAGTACAGTGGTACAATCAGGGCTCACTGCAGCCTCGACCTCCCAGGCCCAAGTGATCCTCCAACTTCAGCCTTCTGAGTAGCTGTATTACAGGCATATGCCACCGCATTTAGCTAATTGTTTTTTAACTTTTTTTGTAGAAATGAGGCCTCACTATGTTGCCCAGGCTGGTCAAAAACTCCTGGGCTCAAGTGATGCTGCTGCCTAGGACTCCCAAAGTACTGAGATTACAGGTGCAAGCCACCACACCTGGCCAACTAACACACATTTAATTGGCACCCAGTTACTACACAAGTGAGCTAGAAAGAAGCCTCTATCCAATATATAACACTATAGGGTATTACTATTTCCCACATTTTTCCTTTTCCTTCACCACTTGACTACTCACCTATCTTTTCTTTTTAAACGCACACTCACACAACTATAGACAGCAATGCTGGGGCTATTTTTTTTCTTTTGTTTTAATCTTCCCTTGTACTCTCTCATCTGAAAGTAATTTGGGAGCTCTTTTTCCTCACTGTATTCAAAAAGTTTCTAGGTCATTTCTAAGGAAATGATTTCTCCAAGTATGTTAACTTGATCCTCACTACTAGGTAGGCAGAATGACCAGGTGTGCTCTCTGAAATAGTAAAACAATGATTAAGGTTAAAACACTTTGGAGTCAGTTTGCCTAAATTCAAATCCTGTTTGGCCATGAACTAGCTGCATGGCCTTGGGAATAAGCAACAACCATCTATCCCTGCCTTACTTTCCTCATCTGTGACAGTTAATGATAATAATACCCGTCTCATAGAGTTGTGAAAATTAAATGGATTAATACATATAAGGTGCTAAGTCTATCTATTATTAGTGATAGTATTATCATTATATTCCCACTATAGAGATGAGAAACTACACCTCAAGAAATTATATAACTTATAAGCTTATGTGAGAACTAAAGGAAAAATTCAGATCCCTCATTTCTAGTTCAGTGTTCTTTCCCATACAACCCAGATTTCCTGAAGACAAAATATACTGGTAATCTGCAGGATTTCAAATCCTTATAAAATAAAAGCAGATGAGACTATTCACTTACCAAGTTGGCAAACCAAAACCCAGAAAATTTAGTCTCTGTGCTTATGTGGGAAGATCCTGCACCCAGCTAATAGAGACCTTGTCTAAGAATGATTGGAAACCCTAAGTAGATTGAAAGGGAGAGTTGGGAATTGGTGATTACAGACTACTAAAGTGAGCCCCAAGTGAGGCACAGCTCATCCTTGACAGGTCATAAAAAGGCAGAGAGGTCACAAGTTAATTTAAGTGTTTTGTCTTTCCTGGAAAGCAGAAGAGCCTTCCCTTCAACTTAGTTACTGTTTCAGATAATATAACTCACAGGCCACCTCCCTCCATTCTGAGCCTTCCCATACACTATTTCACCAGAGTACACAATGTGACCTGCCCAAGTCATTGCTGGAAAAATCAATTAAATTCAACCTGCTGTTACCCCTCAAGTTTATTTTGTCTTCACATATTTAAGAACTCCAAATTGAAACAATCCAAGTATCTTACCTGAATTCTAACTTCCTGTATGTCTATCAGCCTTTCCACAGAAACTCAACCTGCCATTTGGAGTTCTAATGCTCTTCCAGGTGCAAGAAAGGAGACTGAAAATGCATAAAAGATGTAAGATGTAACTCATTTCTCTCACTGTATTTTCTTTGAGGGGATTAGAGATCTCACATCACCTTATTCAGCTTTCGTGGATCAAGTCCTGCAGAGAAAAAATCAAAAGCTCTGAAATACTTAGATTTTGAAGAACACTTCCTGGCCTCCTCTGCACACTGAGGCCAAAAATCACTTTCTTCATTCTTGCCTCGAGTAACCAGTGTGTGCCATCCTTGCCCAGTAAGTCTCCCACTGGACATTCACAAGTACCACCTCTCCTGTATCCACGGTCTGTGCTCTCAATTTCCTTCTCTTCAATTCCTCTGTATTGGTTTGTTTTCACACTGCTGATAAAGACATACCCAAGACTGGATAATTTATAAAGAAAAAGAGGTTTAATGGACTCACAGATCCACACGGCTGGGAAGGCTTCACAATCATGGCGGAAGGTGAAAGGCACGTCTTACATGGTGCAGGCAAGAGAGAATTGAGAGAGAGTCAAGTGAAAAGCGAAATCCCTTATAAAACCATTAGATCTCATGAGACTTATTCACTACCACGAGAACAGCACACGGGAGAAACCACCTCCTTGATTCAATTATCTCCCCCTGGGTCCCTCCCACAACATGTGGGAATTATGGGAGCTACAATTCAAGATGAGACTTGGTTGGGGACACAGCCAAACCATATCATACTCTCAGAGAAAAAAATAATCATCATCAAAAGGGATTTGCTTGGGTAATCCTAGGCACACCTTCCCATATGCACTCTCACAAAAATGCTAATTAAAGCAAAGGTCCCCAAGCCCTGGGCCATGGACCAGTGCCTGTCCATGGTAGGACAGGTACCTGTCCATAAGGAGGTTGCATGCTCCTTATGAGAATTTAATGCCTGATGATCTGTCACTGTCTCCCATCACCCCCAAATAGGACCATCTAGTTGGAGGAAATAAAGCTCAGGGTTCCCACTGATTCTACATTACGGTGAGTTAATTATTTCATTATATATTACAATGTAATAATAATAGAAATAAAGTGCACAATAAATGTCATGTACTTGAATCATCCCAAAACCATTAGTCCACCCTGGTCTGTGGAAAAATTGTCTTCCATGAAACCGGTCCCTGCTTTCAAAAAGGTTGGGGACCGCTGAATTAAAGAATTCCCACATGTCAGGAAAAATGATGGTGAGTACCAAATACTTCTGAGAACTTCTTAATGAAAAACTTCTGGAATCTAGAATGTAATCATTTGGCCAAGGGCTTGTATCTAATTTGAATAAGGACAATCATTCACTGGAAATATTCAAGACTTCTTGAATGTTGAGTTTGAGAATACACTGTTTTTTCCTCCAAATTTTGAGGTAGTTTGAGAATTCATCTGATAGTAAGTTCAGAACTCTGCTTTGCAGGTTTATTAGCCACGTCCAATTAGCAAATACTATAAAACATGCATCTAAAAATAAAAGGATCACAAATGTGCACAGAAAGGAGATGGAGAAGTCAGCCCACCAGGTATGATTCCCATGAAAGGAGGGGGTAGCTCCTCTTGACAAAGAAATGACACCCAGAGCATGAATTCATATGGAATACCACTTGATAGTGGCAAAGATCTTTTAAAAGCATTTTCACAAATACCTCACTTCTTCTCATAAAGCATATAGAACAACACTGTTAACTCATTTGTCAGATGAAAAACAAAGAACCACAGAGGTTCATTCACCTGCCGGAGCTCACACAGAAACAAAACTGAAACCCAGGGTCTCAGCTCACAGGACAATGACCTAAACTCAGACATATTTTCCTCTTAAATTCTCACTAGATGCTGCACTTCGAAAGACTTAAATTTTGCCTGTCTCTAGCTTGAATTTTATCCCCACATGAGTTTCTAGCCTGTGCTCTTCCAAGGGTCATTTAGTCAAAGGGTCAAAGGCTCCGCCTCCAGAGTCCTTTGTGGGTGAAGAAAAAACTCCTTGGGGTAGGGTAGGGTAGGGGGGGAACCATCTTCATTTGGAATTCGTCTCAAAGCTTCTTCTCATTTAAATTATAGAACTGATGAATACAAAAGTGTATTAATGACCCATATTAAAGCATATTAAAGTCCATATAATGGACTTTTGGTAAGTACATTAGCAGAAGCCAACACTTCTTTCTCTTTCATTCGGAAGTGGTTAGAACAAATACATCATTTTTTCCTTATCACAAACTAAGACAAAGCCCACCTTCCCTCTTCTACCCCATTAGCTGCTTTTTAAAAAAATTAAGAAATTAGTAATTAAAGACATTTATATCAGGATTAGAGGCTTTAACATCTGTCCTAATGAAGCCAAGAGTCTATGGTGATTTTTCAATCCAAAAATGCAAATAATAATCTTAGAGAAATCCAAATAATGAAATAGGAGCTTTAAATCAGTACATGTATTTGTTTTCTGCCAACTTCCAAAAATAATTTAAAGAATATTGATAAAATATTTATAATAGGCTAAGATAAGAGGTGGAAGATCCAATTAATGGCTAAAACTACTGGATTGCTTAAAACAAAAATTGAAATTTGCAATGTCAAAAACTAGACCATGGTTCTCTTAATAAAGGTGCTACAAGAAGGTTAGGGTTAAATTATTCTTTAACAAATCCTCTAGACACTTAATCAGAAATAAGAAAGAGACTTTAAAACCCGAGGTGAGAACAGAGATTCTTTTTCTTGCCTTTCATTTCTACTCCTAAAATCTCCATGGAAGAAATTCTCTTTCTCTTAACTTTCTGCTCAGTTATTTTCCCAAAAAATGTAGTAATATTCAAGACAATTTTTGTTACCTTTCCTCACAGGGATCTTCCCAGCAAAAACAAAGTGTGGTAAAATGGAAGGGCACTGGACTAGAAAAAGTAGTGTGGGTTTGGCCCAAAATGTGCCCTTAAGCTCACATTTGATCTTGGGGAGGACACTTCACCTGCCAGGGTTCCAGTTTCCTCATTTGTAAAATAAAGGGAAAGAACCAGATGAACTGTCAGATCCTTTCCAGCACCAGCCTTCTATATTTACTGAAGCAAATGTCTGCCACTGTTATTTTCCAGATGGCTACTGCCAGTGTTTGCTAAGTGTAATCAGCAAAAAGTCTAGTCAATATCCTGGGATTTGCAACAACGTTTCTGAGGGACACTACACGGCTTAGGTTACTACTTACATATATGACCATTATACTGAGCAAACCACTCTTGGGTAATTAAGTAGTCTCGATATTATTGGATTATCATCTTTTCTACCAACTATTACAGACCCTGGTTCCAGACAAATCAGGAATACAGAAGCAGCACCCACATCACTGTGGAAATAGATAACAGAAGGGGCAGGGGAGACATGGGTGGTGGAGTGAGCAGAAAGATCGTAAGAGTCACTCAAGATCTTTGCAAGGCAACTAATTGTCTCTATGTCATACTTTCTAGAAAGGTGTCACATAGCATCTGGCAATGCTTACAGTTTTCCAAATTTACAGCATCTCCTGATTATGTCCTATGCGATATACTTACATGGATTAACAATAGATATCACCATTTATTTCTTCAGACAACACCAGTAAGTTTTTTACAAGCCAAATTCTCATTGCATGCTGTCCTATGTGGTGTACTTATGTGGATTAACAATAGATATCACCATTTATTTCTTCAGACAACATCAGTAAAAGATTTTTTACAAGCCAAATTCTCATTGTATGCCATTAAGATCCATTTCTGATCCATGAAGATAATTTTTACATCCCTTGTTCTTTTTGGCAAGAAAAAAAATTATCTCCAAAACAAACAATCTAAACTTAATTGCTTTGAATCATTGCCTACTGGAGAGTTTCATGGATTTTTGCTTGATATTCCACATGTGACATGTGTAATGGTGTAATGGTGTGTTATGTGACAAATCCCTGAATAAGATGTCCACTGCCTTTATATGCTTCTGTGTCCGGAATTCGTGGGTTCTTGGTCTCACTGACTTCAAGAATGAAGCTGCGGACCCTCGCGGTGAGTGTTACAGCTCTTAAGGTGGCGCATCTGGAGTCTGCCCCTTCTGATGTTCAGATGTGTTCAGAGTTTCTTCCTTCTGGTGGGTTCGTGGTCTCGCTGGCTCAGGAGTGAAGCTGCAGACCTTCGTGGTGAGTGTTACAGCTCTTAAGGTAGCGCGTCTGGAGTTGTTCCTTCCTCCCGGTGGGCTCGTGGTCTCGCTGGGCTCAGGAGTGAAGCTGCAGATCTTCGCAGTGAGTGTTACAGCTCATAAAAGCAGCATGGACCCAAAGAGTGAGCAGTAGCAAGATTTATTGCAAAGAGCGAAAGAACAAAGCTTCCACAGTGTTGAAGGGCACCCGCGGGTTGCCAATGCTAGCTTGGGCAGCCTGCTTTTATTCTCTTATCTGGCCCCACCCACATCCTGCTCATTGGTAGAGCCAAGTGGCCTGTTTTGTCAGGGCGCTGATTGGTGCGTTTACAATCCCTGAGCTAGATACAAAGGTTCTCCATGTCCCCATCAGATTAGTTAGATACAGAGTTTCGACACACAGGTTCTTCAAGGCCCCACCAGAGCAGCTAGATACAGAGTGTCGATTGGTGCATTCACAAACCTTGAGCTAAACACACGGTGCTGATTGGTGTGTTTACAAACCTTGAGCTAGATATAAAGGTTCTCCACGTCCTCACCAGAGCAGCTAGATACAGAGTGTCGATTGGTGCACTCACAAACCTTGAGCTAAACACAGGGTGCTGATTGGTGTGTTTACAATCCCTGAGCTAGATATAAAGACTCTCCACGTCCTCACCAGAGCAGCTAGATACAGAGTGTCCATTGGTGCACTCACAAACCTTGAGCTAAACACAGGGTGCTGATTGGTATATTTACAATCCCTGAGCTAGATATAAAGGTTCTCCACGTCTCCACCAGACTCAGGAGCCCAGCTGGCTTCACCTAGTGGATCCCGCACTGGGGCTGCAGGTGGAGCTCCCTGCCAGTCCTGCGCCATGCACCTGCACTCCTCAGCCCTTGGGCGGTGGATGGGACTGGGCGCCGTGGAGTAGGGGGTGGTGCTCGTCGGGGAGGCTCGGGCTGCACAGGAGCCCATGGAGTGGATGGGAGGCTCAGGCATGGCGGGCTGCAGGTTCTGAGCCCTGCCCAGCGGGAAGGCAGCTAAGGCTCGGTGAGAAATCAAGTGCAGCGCCGGTGGGCCGGCACTGCTGGGGGACCCAGTACACCCTCCGCAGCCACTGGCCCGGGTGCTAAGTCCCTCATTGCCCGGGGCCAGCAGGGCTGGCCGGCTGCTCCCAGTGCGGGGCCCGCCAAGCCCATGCCCACCCGGAACTCCAGCTGGCCCGCAAGCGCCGCACGCAGCCCCGGTTCCTGCTCACGCTTCTCCCTCCACACCTCCGTGCAAGCTGAAGGAGTGGGCTCCAGCCTTGGCCAGCCCAGAAAAGGGCTCCCACAGTGCAGTGTGGGGGGCTGAAGGGCTCCTCAAATGCCGCCAAAGTGGGAGCCTAGGCAGGGGAGGTGCCGAGAGCAAGCGAGGGCTCTGAGGACTGCCAGCATGCTGTCACCTCTCACTTCCAAAGGCTTCACTTGGCTCTGGTTGGATTTACTGACTTGTCATGTGGTGTCAAGGTCAATATCAGACAACCAGTTACTGGTGAGCCAGTAACTTTCTAACACAGTCAGGCGTCTTGATTTAAAAAGCAGACAGCAGACTGGGTACAGTGGCCCACGCCTGTAATCCCAGCACTTTGGGAGGCCAAGACGGGCGGATCACGAGGTCACGAGATTGAGACCATCCTGGCTAACACGGTGAAACCCCGTCTCTACTAAAAATACAAAAAATTAGCCGGGCGTGTTGGCGGGTGCCTGTAGTCCCAGCTACTCGGGAGGCTGAGGCAGGAGAATGGCGTGAACCCAGGAGGCAGAGCTTGCAGTGAGCTGAGATCGCACCACTGCACTCCAGCCTGGGAGACAGAGCGAGACTCCGTCTTAAAAAAAAAAAAAAAAAAAAGGCAGATAGCAAAAGAAACCTGTTTTTCTTTCCTTCATCCATTTATTAAAACATTCATAAAAGGCCAAGAAATACAAAGTAGAGCAGCACAGGTAACATTAAATAGCTATTTGCAATATACCTAGAGGAATTATGACTAAGAAAAAGGAGAAAATGTTTCTGAAATAGAAGAGCCAGAACCAAAAGACATGAGGAAATTGCCACCCAACAGCATTGCAGATGCAAACTTCAGAGACAGGACTTCTCAGACCATAAAATCAGGAGTTACACCCCTCTTGCACAAAATGGCTTTTTGAGTAAGACAAAGGCATTTCTTGTCCCTACTACCATCAGCAGTGACTCTCTTGTTGCATCTATTTGCTTAATCTGACTCCTAGGAACGTGACATATTTGACTGTAGAAGTGGGCAGGCAGAACACCACATCCTGAGTAAGAGCTTGGTAATAAGAAAGTAGGGAAGGCGAGAGAGCCTGTACCACCATTGCTTTCTTGGAGGCTTGCGTGCGCTGATACAAGGAGAAAACAACACACCGAGTTCTCATATGAATAGCCTAATGCGAATAGACGACGAGGGTGCAGGAGTAAGAGAGAATCCCTTCACAGTCTAGCAGAATCACACCAGGAAAAATACCACAAGCTTGGCATGGGAGAGTAAACATCTCTCTGTCCTGTAGGAAAGGAGGCCTGCATTAATTCACAGATGAAAAGGCAGGAGGGAACAAGGTAAAACTAACAATCTAGTCTATTAACAAATACTACCTCTGTATATAGGTCTATTCTTTTTTTAGAAATAACCAACATGGATTATGTAAAGATTCTATGATGTAAAAAGAGAATACAGCACTCAATAAAGAGAATAAAAGCTTTCATATAAAAATATACGCTATAAAAGATGAAAAATTTCAAGAGAATTCATGTTACAAAAAAAGCTAACTAGAACCAGGATAGAAGCAGAAATGAAAATTAAGCTGGATAGGGCTAGAAATGACTGTAACAGTTAAAGGCAACATTAGAATTGACAGTGAATTGGGGGATGATATGTAGGATAAACTTTAAAACTCTCAGAATGTAGACAAAATGACAAAATGAAATTGTGAAAAAATATATAAATGAAGAGAGATGATGAGTCAGCCTAGACATTACCAGTATTTCTGAAAATGTGTAACTACAAAGCATTACATGTCTCATATTCTGTTTAATAATCTTACTTTGACCTCTCATTTATTCTAAGTTTTTAGCTCCTTGGATATCTTTTCCTCCCAGTGTTAATGGAATTTCAGCACTTCGTCTTAAAATCCATGGGTTCAACTAACTATGCTGAACAAGATATCTGCATAAGTAGAAAATTTATCCCTCTCTTTTGCAGCTGCAGGAAAAATGTTATTCCAGATCATAAACCCTCCTTGCAAGAAAAAAGTATTTTGCAACATCTAGAATTTAGATATAATTGCCATCTAGAGTGAGCAAATCTCAAACTCTGAAATATCTATCATTTTGATTGATTGTATTATTTACCAATGTGTTATGCCCAGGTAATAACATCTCTGTTGTCAAACGAAAGCTAGAAAGATATTACACAAAGGTAAAATATAATAAATCAACTCTGGTAGATGTCTTAAAGTGTTTTGTTTTTTGCATTTCCAATGGCAGATGAAATCAGGGCAAGAAACCGAAGTAATGATTACTCACAAGTAAGAATACTTGCTTGCTGAACACTTGCTGAAGACACACTTAATAATTTGAAATTGTTCAATCAGCATCATACAATATTATTAAAATTAACTAATATATCCACATGCACTATCTAAATGCCAAACACCAAGAAAAAAATGCAGCAGAGCACGAAAAATAATTTTTCATTGGAAACAATTTCTCAGCATTTTCTTACGTACAATGAAAGACAGAAGACAACAAAGAGAAACCCCTTTAAAGGTAAGTCTGAAACCTAATAATTCTATGCATAGGTAAGCTATAATTAATGTGTGAAAGCAATAAAATGTCTCTTACAGATAATCAAATATGCAAAGTATTACCTCAATATATACTTCCTTAAACCCACATGCACACACACAGATATCAAAGTACATTAAATGAGAATAAAAATTTAAAACAACCTTGAATAAATGTTGCAAATACCGTTTTATAAACAGCACTTAACACAAATGGTTATTAGTCTATCAGCTTAGTAAAACATGTGGAAGATAATAAATTACAGGTATTGAGAGATACCTAGAATAAAATAATTTGGTAACAATAATCTAAGCGTAAAAGTGTGGACTATAATAAGAAAAGGGCATTAACTCAGAATGAAGAAAAGTTGCTCCGCCCTATCATAGAAAATAGTTTCATGGTTTTAATAGCTAGTATTCCATTCTCAAAATTTAAAAAATTGAGACATTAGATTATAGTGTATTTTTTAAAACAAAAGTCTAGATTTTAGGATAGCTCTCAAATCAGTAGAGAAAGAAGAACAAAAGAAAATATTGATTCAACAAATTTTTTAGAGGATTACATAAAAAAGACCTAGTATTAGTCATGACAATAAGTTTAATGATTTGAACTACTATGGGAAGGGAAATATTTTTATACTGTCTTAAAAAATAAGATTCAATTTTATTAAGTTTCTAAAATATATAAAGCATGAATGTTAAAAACAATGCCAATCAAACAATAGAAACTGAATATTTGTTATAAGAATAATAAAATGATAACAACAGGGTTTTCTTATGCTAATAAAGGTATGGTTCACTGCTGAGATATATGGTTCATAAACATGTGAATCACAAACATTTTATATTTACATGGTGTGTAAATATAAAAAGCAGAAATACAAATATGAGATGAAAAGGTAAGCCACACAATAGGAGAAAATATTCATAATTCATATATCTAACAACAATCTTCTGCCTTATACACATAAGTTTTGTGACAATCGTAAGAAGCAAAAAACCAATAAACATGGGCAAAAGATTTGAGCAGACATGTCCTAATACACACAAAGACGCTCAACAAAAAGATGCCACAAAAGATGCTCAACATCATTTGTCAGGGAAATTAAAACCACAATGAGATATGACTATATCCTAGAGGGTGGCTAAAATTGTAAACACAGTATCAACTGCTGGTGAGAATAGGGAGCATGTGTGACTCTCATATGCTGTTATGAGAATGTAAAAGCATACAACCACTTTGAATAATTGTCAGTTTCTGAAAAAGTTAAACATATACCTACAATAAACCCAGCCATTCTACTCCTAGGTAGTTACCCAAAAGAAATAAAAGCAGATGTTCACACAGAAACTTGGACATGAATGTTCATAATAACTTCATTTGTAATATATTTTAAAATGGGAATAATATTGTATAACTGAGGATAAAATCATTTTTATATGTCCAAGAAATTGAATAATTCTCAGCGATAAAAAGAAAAACATTATTGATACAAGAAAAAATGTGCCTGGATCTCAAAATCAATATCTTGCATGAAAAAAGCTAGGCCCCAAAAGAGTGCATCATATACAGTCTTATTTATTCGAAATTTTTAAAACTGAAAATTAATCTATAGTGACAAAAAATAGGTGGGTAATTGTCTGGGGTGAAGGAAGGGGAAGAGACAGACTGCAGAAAGGCACCAGGAAACCTTGGGTACTATTGAAAATGTTCTGTATCTTGAATGAGACCTTATTTTCACAGATTTATACAGCACAGGTGGTTTTAGGTGTATCTATCAGCAAATTGTACACTTTACATGGATCCATTAACTTATACTTCAATAAAGTGGATTTAAAATATAAGAAACTGACAGATATTGTTACAGGAATTACAAATTTATTTTCCTACGGTGGCCAAACACATAATGTAAATGAATAAAGAATGATTAATTCAAGATTTTAAATTTTTTCCCTTAAATGCAATGTCTTTTCGAGCCTATCTTTCAACTTGATACTCCCAGGGGTTAATTATTTTTTCAGTTTCCTCTATTCTATCACAAGTAGTACAAGAGAGCAAGAACAAAGATAAATGGCAACTCACATTCAAGGCCAGAGTCCTCAGTCACAGGCAATAGGATAAGCCCATGTCAAATGGGGAGTGAATGTATCATCACAAGAGGCCAAACACTTAGCTCTAGTCAAACATTTCTGTGTGGCAATGAAGACACAGATTTAGTAGATTTTCTAATTTTTCAAAGGAAGTTAGAAATCAGGATGTTATATAAA
Source organism: Homo sapiens (assembly GCF_000001405.40). Taxonomy (NCBI): domain Eukaryota; kingdom Metazoa; phylum Chordata; class Mammalia; order Primates; family Hominidae; genus Homo; species Homo sapiens. The sequence goes on from NC_000005.10 coordinate 114,709,512, forward strand.
ATCCCCTGGCTTTTAAATGCTGGTGATTAATTTTAAAAATAACATTGCATGCATAGCTAACTGCAAGGGCAAACAAGAAACATCTATATGTGAATGATTATTTGTAACTTGTGCTTTAATATTTCACCCTCTTTAGTCCTTCAGAGAACAAGTGAACAAAATACAAATAAGGATGGAGAGCATCTGAATAACATAATTTTGATCCAACATATATGATATTTGTATTCTGCCAGAGAATAAACATTTTAAACATCCATGAAACATTTATAGCAGTTATTAATTGAAAACATCAAACTCTAGGAGGTAGAATTATACAAGTTGCAATCACTGGCCAAAATGCAGTTAAAACTAGAAATTAGTATGAAAGGTGTCTTAAAACAAACAAAAAAATTGGAAAGTGAAAATACTAACCTACACAATGCTGAAAACAAACAGGATATAAAGTGGTAATCCTGTTTTATATGTGTGAAATGCTAGTTTATTTTCTTCAATTGAAATCAGACTAGAAAGGCCAATATAGTGTATAAGACAGACAAAATTGGTGGTGTTCTCCAAGCCAGTTCTATACCTATCACCAGCAGTGGTCATAGGAGAACCTACCGTTTCAGGGAACAAACTTCCAAAACCACTATTTTAGAGTTATTTTTGTAAACTAAATATTTTAAAGTTTTCATTTGCTAAAATATGTGTATAATTCAGATGTCAAACAGACTGTATTTCTTCTCCTCAGTGAGGTGAAGTTATGCTATTAAAGTTATGCTGAAAATGTTAAAATACAACTGCCATTTCTTCATACCAATTTGATGTTTGATGAAAAAGAAAATCAAATATTTTGATTCTTTAAGTCTCCTGAATGTGTTCTATTGCTGGAGAATGATATTTGAAGATGTAAAAATTATGTGTTTTTTCCTCTGCAGTGCCACAACTAAAATCAATTTACTAATATGTATTAGGCTGGTGAAAAAGTAACTGTGGTTTTTGCAACTACTTTTAAATAATAGCTGTTAAATATAGTAGATGAAGTACTGACATTTGATTGTTTATTGATGACAAAGGACATCCAAGCCCCAGATTAATATCTTCAGAAATGTACATCATGCAATGCTTATATTTTCCCCAGGAAACTGAAGCTTTAAACAGATTTTATTTAACCTCTCCAATTAGCTATAACGAGGTTATTGTTATTCCCCTTTTATAGATGAAAATACTGTGGCTTAGAGATACTCAGTATATTTTCCCTTGTCATAAAGACAATAATTAATAGAGCAATCCCAGCCCTCTCTGACTAAAAAAACTCATTCTTTTCAACCACATTTACTTCATTGTCAAATTCCCCAAAAAGTATTTACAAGGAACCTAAATAACTACCACATATTTCATCAGAAAAGCAAACTCTATCTAGTGGATCAAAAAGTAAATTAGCACACATATAAAATGCTACAAGGCAGTTAGAACACATGTTTTATTAACATTATTACCAAACGTTTCTAAGATAGAACCAAGAAACTGTGCTTGGGAATCTTAAACTTAAAGAGAGAAATTTATTTCAACTAAAGTTTTTCAGCTGCTGTTGAGTTAATTGATCTAACAATCCTAAAATGTGCAGGATCCTGTGATGATTCATAGTGCTGACCCACCCTGTTAGAATCGGCAAATTCCCGGCTTCCACTGGCAATATCTTCTTGGATCTAAACAGTAAAGCATGCCATGCTTTTGCTTTTCATATAGGAATAATGTTGTTTTCATAATTGTGTACCTAAACAAGGATGAGGCACAAAATATATCAGAAATAACCAGCGCTAGGTCACAAAAGCAAAATTAACATACCTGTTAATTTAACTGTAGTGTGAACTCTTACAATGTTGCTCTAATTTTATGATATTTATATGAACACAATATGTTCTTCAAAAGAGATGTCTCAGTGTATATTTGGCATAGAATCCCTCTTTATTCTCATAAATTTTATTTAAGAATATGCTGGTTTTAATGAATACTAAACAAATGTAATCTAGGCAAATGAAATTAAGCTTCTATGTTTCATACCACACCTAGAAAAAGTAGTAGATTTTGTAACAAGTTTGGAGTTAGTGTTTTATCTAGATTAGAACCTAGATTATGTGACATATAAAACTCCACTTCAAGGACCCTAGCAGATGCCTCAGTCCATGAGACAGCTATCAGCGAGGGCTGGGAGAAGGTGTACCACCTAGTTAGGTGAGGCTTCCTCTATTTCTGTCTTTTCCACAAGCTTCCCTTGTTCTCCTTTCTGTAAATAGTGTTGCCCAGTGCTTAGTTCTCAGATTTCTACTGGCTGCTCTCCATCCCTTCACACTACAGATTAGCCATCCAGACAGTTTTAACTTCACTTCCATTCAAAGAACACCCAAGCGCATCTGCAGGTCTGACCTTTCATCCTAGTTAGAGACAGTATTTCCAAATAAGTGCTGGACATTTCCACAGCTGCTCAAAATATAATTGTGGCAAAATTAAGTTCATCTCCATCCTCTTCTCTCTCTTCTCTCTCCAAGGAAAGAGCTGCATTTCCAATAGCCAATTACTATCAATGATACCACTATTTTTCAAGCCATTATTTTAAAAATGTTGAGATAGTTTATGATTCAACCCTGTATCTGATAAGACACAAAAGCATGTGAACTTTTCCTGAGAAGCAGCTTTTGAATACGTCTTTATCATTCTTATTACTCCACCTATGATCAATATTACTACATTTATCATCCTGTTTGATTCTAAACTTCCATTTCATTGTACTTATTGGATAACTCTCTAAATTTCTGCTTCAATCAGATTACATCCCTGCTGAAGAACTCATAATGTCAAACACATTCTACTTCATCACAACAGACTGCCTTACTGGCCCTAAATGTCACTTAAAGAAAATGATATCCACCCAACAGGTATATATGCTATTTATTTTGCCAAGCATGCCTCCTCACCTACCCCTTCCAATGACCACGTTTATCTTTTGCCATGACTTACTTAGATACTAACCCCTTCATGAATTCTCCTCCATTCAATCCAGTACATATCTTTGAATTTATATAGGACTTATACCATCTCTACTGGTTACTGACATTTTCACTGTAGTGTCTTGAATGCTTTTTACCTCTTAAAGCACTTGCATCTCTATTTACTTACAAGCAGGATTAGAAAGTCCTTGCTAACTAGAATATTGAGACATATTTCTATTTTCTAGCGTTTTCACATAGTGATTTCTCAGCAAATGGTGTTGAACTGATGTAACAATAGAGAATGAAAACATTATCTAAGCCTACTGCATTATGCTTATTTTTCCAAGGCATGGGGATTCTCAACATAGTGTGAACTCTTGAAATCTTTGAGTTGCAATTTGGAATTTAATATAGGATTTATGTGTCTAGACTTGTGGTTCCCAACTATTCTGATTTTCTGATTGCTTTGAAAATTAAAACCCAACTAACCATAGCCTAGATAAGAAAGGGGATTACCACTACTATGCAAGACATCCAGAAATTGTCCATCGGGGCTAACATAATGACTCAGTGACCTCACCAGGAACTCGTGCTCTTTATGAGTCTCTGCCCCTTCATCTTCAGCTTGAGGCTTTCCTTGCAGGTACAATGTAGATCCCTGAAATTTTCCCAGAAATCTTACTTGGAAATTTCTACTTTATCTTGTGGGGAAAAGAATTGGGCAATGATAAAGGTATTTTATTACACAGTTTTCTAAAAGAATCAAATTATTTTTGGAAGAAAGGGAGAAATTGACGTTGGGTAGACAGCTTAGAGTATCTGATCAAGATACAGGCCCAAGTGCTGATAAAGAAAACAGTCATTAGTAATCTCATTCTCCGTATTTCTAAGTATATATTTTATTTTGATGTTATTTCAGACTTAGAAAAAACTTACAAGACTTGTAAAAGGAATACACAGATACCTTCACCCAGATTCCCTATGTACTAGTCCGTTTTTATGCTGCTGATAAAGACATACCTGCGACTGGGAAGAAAAGGAGGTTTAATTTGACTTCCAGTTCCACATGGCTGGGGAAGTCTCATAATCATGGCAGAGGGCGAAAGGCACTTCTTACATGGTGGCAGCAAGAGAGAATGAGGAAGAAGCAAAAGTGGAAACCTCTGATAAACCCATTAGATCTTGTGAGACTTACTATCATGAGAACAGCACAGGAAAGACCGGCCCCCATGATTCAATTACCTCCCCCTGGGTCCCTCCCACAACATGTGGGAATTCCGGGAGATACAATTCAAGTTGAGATTTTGGTGGAGACACAGTCAAACCGTATCACCTTACTACAGTTGTCTTTCTCCGATATTAATAGGAACGTTTCTATTGTTTCCCCATTAAGGAAGACGCTAGCTTCAGTAATAGGGCATACATGTTTTATCATGGAAAAAAATATTCATCAATTGCTATTTGCTTGACTGCATTTTTTCAGGAATGCAGTGAATTGTGTTGGAAGCTTTTTCAGTTTCTATAGAGACAATCCTTTGATTTTTTTCTTAGATATTATTTATATTATATTGATGGATTTTTAAATATTGAACCATCCACACATTCCTAAAATAAATCTCATGGGGTCTTTATGTATTATTTTCTTATAGTAATGCCAGATTCTATCAATATTTCACTTGGAACTTTTGCATCAATATTCATTGGTGATAGTGGTCTATAAATTTCTTTTTCAGGTACTGTCTTATTAACTTTATAATATCAATGTTACATTCACTTCATAAAAGCATCAGCTAATTTTCCTGTTTTCAGTACTCCAGGATAATTCATGGAGCACTGGGATCATCTGCTCTTTGAAGTTTGCTAAAATTCCCCTGTGAATTTCCACCTGGACATGTTAACCTTTTGTAGAGTAGTTCTTGGATAACTTTCTCAGTTTCTGCTCTAATTGAGTCAATTTGGTAAATTATAACTTCCCAGGAAATTACCCATTTCGTCAACATTTTCAAATTCATTTTCTTAGACTCTCCAAAATAGTCTCATGACATTTTAAAATTATGTCTGACTCAATTTTTTTCCATGTCATTTATTATTTTGTATATTTGTGATTTTTTCCTTTTGTTTCTTGATTATCTTATCTACAGGTTTGTCTATATTAATGTTTCAAATAAGTTTTATTAATTAGATCTACTCTTATTAATTTCTGCTTTCATCATTTTAATTTCTTTGAGCTTTCTTCTGATTTACATTGGGGTTTTCTCTAACTTTTTGTGCTTTGAATTTATTTTCATTCTTTCATTTTTATCAAGTAGAGTGTTTTGTGCTACAAATTTCACTCTAATACACTCTGAATGTATTCTGCCAGTTTAAATATGTCGTGTTTTCATTAGCATTGTTAGAAATTATATAATTTTATATTGTATTTGCTCTTTTAATCAAGAGTGGATAACAGAAGGTTATGAAGTAAGTGTCCAGGTACAAGAAGCATGATTTTTTTTTTTTTTTTTGAGACAGAGTCTGTCTTTGTCCCCCAGGCTGGAGTGCAGTGGCATGATCATGGCTCACTGCAGCATAGATCTCCTGGGCTCAAGTGATCCTCCCACCTAAGCACCCTCACCCTTCCCAAGTAGCTGGGACTACAGGTGCGTGCCACCATGTCTGGCTAATTTTTGTATTTTTTGTAGAGATGGGTTTCACCATGTTGTCCAGGCTGGTCTCCAACTCCTGGACTCAAGGAATCCACCTGCCTCAGCCTCCAAAAGCGCTGAGATTAGAGACATGAGCCACTGTACCGGGCCTATGATTTTTTTTTAATTTAATAATAATGTGTAGTTTTATTCTTTTTGAATCCAACAGTGATGTTTGTAATATTTCTACTGACATTTTCTTATCTGTTTTTTTTTAAGTCTTTCACATGTGTTTGAGAGAAATGTGTGTCATCTAGATCAGGGTATAAAGTTTAACATATCCTAACATTTACCTTATTGGTTATGAGGTTAAAATTTTCTATAGCCTTTTTTTTTTTTTTTTTTGGTCAACAAAATCTGTCTTGTGTCTTAACATTTCAAATTACTAACATGTTTTCTCTGTCTCCATGCCTTATGTGTGGTTTTTGTTTTATAAAGGTAGTTGCTGTGTTATTTTGTTGCATATTCATAATTGTTATGTATTAATTATAAATTGTAGTTTTTAACATTAAAAGGCATCTTTCAATTTTTATGCTTAGTACTTTTTGGATTGAATTATACTTTGTATGATATTTGTTTGCTAACCTTGCTTTCTTATTGTTTTCATTTGCCAAATTTAGTTATGCCTACCTCTTACTCTTTTCGAACTATTTTGATATGTCTCTTGTATACAGAACATATGAGAGCCTTCGTTTATAAAACAAATTGAGAATCTTTTTTTTCTCTTAATAGGTAAGTCCATCAACATTTTTTGGTAAGACTGCTACTTTTGATCTCAACTATGTAATACAACTTCTTTTAAAGATTTTTTAATTTTAAAGTTCTTTAGCGACAGAGTCTTGCTTTGTCACCAAAGCTGGAGTACAGCGGTGTGATCTTAGCTTATGGCAGCCTTTAAATCATGGGCTCAAGCAGTACCCTCATCTCAGCCTCCTGAGAAGCTAGGACTAACAGGCAAATGCCATCACACCCAGTTAATTTTTAAAATTTTTTTTGTAGAGATGATGTCTCGCTATGTTGTCCAAGCTGGTCTCAAACTCCTGTGACCTGAAGCAATCCTCCCACCTCGGCCTCCCAAAGTGCTGGGATTACAGGCATGAGCCACTGTACCCAGCCTATATAACTTTCTACAATTTTTTTCTCTATATGATTTTTTTCACTGTTCCTTTTGTTTTCAGTGTTTAAGAAGGTTTGTATTTTTGTTCCAGTGGTTACTTTTTTATTCATATTGTTTTCAATGCCCTTGTTTTTCTGTTTTCAGAAACTAATACTATCATTTGAGTTTTTAATGTTATCTTTTAATCCTGATTTTGTCTATACAATAATTAATGAACTTATTCTACTCTCCTCTTTCTAGTCATATTATTTCTACTTTATCAGAATATGGAACACATATCATTGATACATGTCATACAACATTTTATTCTGTACTCTTCCTTCTGTCTTTGTTTTAGTCTTAGATCTATAATCAAGTTATTAAATGCTAACCAGCACTCTTTTGCTGAAGTTCCCTAGTTGTTTCGTGGTAGCTGAAGTACATTTTCTAGTAGATTCCTCAAAAAGGGTACATGGACACAGAATTTCCTGAGCTCTTCTGTGTTTAAAATCATTTTTCTAGAGCCTTGACCCTTGAAAGACAGTTTGACAGGATGGAAAGTCTTTGGTTCACACTTTATTTTTTCGTGTTTCCTAAAAACGCTGCTCCAATGTTGGCTTGATTTGTCTTTGGTTTTTGAGAAGTCTCATGACAATCTAGTCATCTTTCCATATAAGTTATTTAATCTTTTTCCCTGAAGGCCCTAAAGATTCTTTGTCTACTAGTCTTATGAGGATATAATATTAAGGTGATCATTAAGAGTTAGTTTTCAATGATACCAGCGAGCACTTTAAATGTGTAGATTTAAGTATTTACACCCAGAAAGGTTTTTTCCATAATTACAAATATTAGTTCTATTCTAGTTTCTGTTGTTTTTCTTTGGAACTCCAATTATATAGATGTTACTCCTTCTTTGGTTATCTTCCAAACCAATTACTATCTCTGATTTTTTTACATTTTCCTTTATCCCATTTTCATTCCCTTAGTTTTTCTCCTACCTTTTTCCAATGTCTCTTATTATGTTGTTAACTTTTTTCTTTGTAGACAACTATTTTTATTTTTTTCTATTCTTCCCCCAAATTTAATTATTATTTCATTTCTTCCAGTTATTCATCCACTATGTTCTGAGTTTTTGAACTTTCGTTTCAAGGTATTCTCTAATATCCCCAAATGCTTGTTTGAGAATACTCAACCTAGTTTGGAGTGTTGCATGACAGTATCATTCTGTTTTATCAAAGGCTTCTGATGAGAGTGAATTTTTATCAATGGAATGTTTGGATTATTTTGATTTTCTTTCTTTTTTGTAGGTTTTTAAAAATAGATTAAATGAAAACTTTGCTTCTGCATTTCTGTGGCCATGACCCACAGTTTTAGATAAGATTTCCAGTTCAAGAGCATCCTCTTCTGGCCGGGCGCGGTGGCTCACGCCTGTAATCCCCGCACTTTGGGAGGCTGAGGTGGGTGGATCGCGAGGTCAGGAGATCGAGACCATCCTGGCTGACAGGGTGAAACCTCGTCTGTGGTAAAAATACCAAAAAAAAGTAGCTGGGCCTGGTGGTGGACGCCTGTAGTCCCAGCTACTGGGGAGGCTGAGGCAGGAGAATGGCGTGAATCCCGGACGCAGAGCTTGCAGTGAGCCGAGATCGCGCCACTGTACTCCAGCCTGGGCGACAGAGCGAGACTCCGTCTCAAAAAAAAAAAAAAAAGAGCACCCTCTCTGTCAGCATATCGAGAAGTAGTTTGCTTACCAGGTTTGTGTGTGTGTGTGTGTGTGTGTGTGTGTGTGTGTGTCTGTGTGTTTTTAAGGGAAAGTGGAAGATGGGAGAAGGTTTGTGTGTCCTTTGATATTTTGATTTTCTTCTATCTAACTTTCCCCATCTTGTTTCTTATTCCTGTCACTAGACACTTCCCAAAGCATGGCTGCCCATTGCGTTAACCCTCATCTTTGCCTGGGTGTTACCTTTCCAAGACTGTTTACTTGTGTCCCACATATACTTTTAATTCCCCTCCATATAGTCAGTGCTCTGGCATACCACTACACTTTTTCTGTATCTTCATATAGAATTTTTTTTCTGCTTATAGTTTCTGTTGGATTTTTTTCCCTAGTGCTATCGCCCCATTTCTCTCTGCCATGCAGTTTTTTGTTTTGTTTTGTTTCTGAACTGCCCATGCAGTTCCCAAAGGATTATATCCAGAGCATGGGAGATAGCATGCTGGGATTTGGTGTCTATTTTTCCACTGTTAGTTTGAAGTTTGGACAATTTTTTTTTTTTTTTTTGAGATAGAGTCTTGCTCCGTCACCCAGGATGGAGTGCAGTGGCACAATCTCGGCTCACTGCAACCTCAGCCTCCCGGGTTCAAGCAATTCTCCTACCTCAGCCTCCCGGGTTCAAGCAATTCTCCTACCTCAGCCTACTGAGTAGCTGGGACTACAGGCATGTGCCATCACGCCCGGCTAATTTTTGCATTTTTAGTAGAGACGGGGTTTCCCCGACTTGGCCAGGCTGGTCTCGAACTCCTGACCTTGTGATCTGCCCGCCTAGGCCTCCCAAAGTGCTGCGATTACAGGAATGAGCCACCACGCCCGGCCGACAATTTCTTAATTCTAGTTATGCTAACATAACGGGGTTTGTGCAGTTTTGTTCTTCTTCTTGTTCTTTACCATTTCTTGGAGAAGCTGGGAAAGTCAAATTTACGTACTCACCCTCACCTCATCTGTCTCTCCATTTTTTGAGATACACAAACATGAGAAACCTATATGATAAACATGACCACACAAAATATCTGATTAGAGCAGTCATAGAAAAGTAAGTATAATAAAATATTGTTTAGGGAGTTGAGCCTCTTGGAATCTACCACTATCACATTTTAGCAACTTTCCCATGACTTCCAGGGCATAGGCCTTGGAATGGGCAGAGTGAGAAAGTATTAAAAGATAGTGATAAACTAATCTAAAGGGTACCATTTAAGACATTAGATATTTAAAGGTGCTGTCCACCTGTGGCACTGTATCAGTATAATATGGATAATAACAAATACAGATGAGGGGTATTTAGAGTCTTCAGAATCACTTTGGTTTCCACCACAGACAGGAACACTAAAATTGTCAACATGCTTCACAAACAGTTACCAACTGCCACATTCAAGATGGATGGCTTATTTTACTTTCATGGCAAATTATGCCATTTCATCACATTATGTTACAATAGAATATCCTGAACCACCTCCTCAGTGTGAAAAATTGAACATCTGCTCATATCAGACACTGTTTAATGATGTGTGCCAAACTTAATGTAATTTCCACCTGACACTTCATCACTTATGCTTTAAAGCACCATCTTATATCACCAGCATTCCTTAGTGTTCCAACATTGTTTTCATCAACTGAACACTGAAAAAATTAATTCAGTCATTAAATGTTCTCCATTCTGTGATATATGTGAAAAAGTAATTAGAGACACTTCATTTCCATTTTCATGTGAATCAAGATAACAGAATATTGCTTTCGTATGATTACAACTACCTTAATCTTTACTTCTTTTTTTCATGGATCAAATATTACTAAAGAAGGGAAAATGTTTCTTCCTGCAAAATTTTTTTATAATGAGTTAGTGGTGTGCTTTGGAAAATCAAATATCTTGGAGTAGGCAGCAAATAATTTCATTGTCAAATTTTTATAAGAACTTCCAGGGTCTCTGCAAAGAGCAAAAAAATAATGGGCTTATTTCATTTTTTCTCAAGAATTTCTAAAAAAGCTATAAAAAAAGAGCATATTTTACTTCCCATTCATAATACTCATTATGTTTATAATTTCTTGATGATTAGTCTCCCCTCATATTTTTTGGTCCATAAAAACAAAAATTATTTTTAGAAGGTTATACATATATATATATATATATTTTTGAAGTTCTGTACTTTTTCTCTTTTTTTATTATTATACTTTAAGTTTTAGGGTACATGTGCACAATGTGCATGTTAGTTACATTTGTATACATGTGCCATGCTGGTGTGCTGCACCCATTAACTCGTCATTTAGCATTAGGTATATCTCCTAATGCTATCCCTCCCCACTCCCCCCACCCCACAACAGTCCCCAGAGTGTGATGTTCCCCTTCCTGTGTCCATGTGTTCTCATTGTTCAATTCCCATCAGTGAGTGAGAACATGTGGTGTTTGGTTTTTTGTCCTTGCGATAGTTTACTGAGAATGATGATTTCCAATTTCATCCATGTCCCTACAAAGGACATGAACTCATCATTTTTTGTGGCTGCATAGTATTCCATGGTGTATATGTGCCACATTTTCTTAATCCAGTCCATCATTGTTGGACATTTGGGTTGGTTCCAAGTCTTTGCTATTGTGAATAGTGCCGCAATAAACATACATGTGCATGTGTGTTTATAGCAGCATGATTTTTGGTTATATATATTATTATTGGTATTTTTACTTTTCTGCTTATTGCTCTATATAGATATTTTCCTTTTTTGTGTCTATATTGGTCTTTTTGCTTTAGAAATCTATCCATTTCTTCTAGTTTCTCTAGTTTATTAGTAAGATGCTATATTTGCTCTTTATTTAAATTTTTCTAAAATTGGTAATTCTATTCCCTTTATAATTATTGAAAGCTTCTGGCTGTTCATCATATTTATCAGGTTTGTTCAGAATTTTTCTATTTTCTAGTTAAAGAAAAAGATGTTATATTTTACTTGATAAAGTCTACACTTTATTTTTGACTAATTTATGGTATTATCTTTATATATTTCTTTTCCTTTTAAAATTATTTGTTTTCTCCAGAGTTTTTCTAGTTGTTTAATAAATGCATTAAAAAGTATAAATTTCCATCAGAGTTATTCTAATGCTAATTAATTAATAACTTCACATTTTAGATTTTTTCCCCAAACTTTTCTGTGAATATGACATGCATATCTGTACTCTGTAGGTTACAAGTTTGTATATCTAGTTATTAGACTAAATTTGTGGACATAACTGTATATTCTAATTCACTTTATCTACTAGAGGTATATATTTCTGAGTAAAATTTTTGGGATTTTCAATGTCTTCCAACTTGGAAGACACTGGATTATGAATTTGTCCATTTCTCCCTTCTTTTTGATTAAATTTGCTTTATACAACATACATTTATGTTACTGGGTTTATAAAGGTTCATCATTCACCTTTTCTTAATAAATTCATCTGATCAGTATGTGTCTTTCAATGCCGCTCACCTTGATTTCTATTTTTGCTTGCTATTTTTCTCTACATGCTAGGCAGAGAAAGACAAACCTAGATAGAATGCTATGCTGTTTTATAAGATAAACCTAAATAAAATGCTAGGTTATCTCTTTTCATTACTTGATTCCCAAACTTCTAGTTTTCTTTCATTTAAAAGTTTCCCAAAATAGCCTGGAGTTTGATTTCTTTAACTCAATAGCAGAATTTCTATCCAGAATTGGGGGATTTTATGTATTCACATTTACAGGGGCAACAAGTATGTTTAAAAATTATGCTAGCTCCCTTTTTTTATTCACTGTATTTTCTTGTTTCTTTTCCTGTCTTGTATTTTGTTTGACTGATCTGGTTTGGATTTTTTTCCCATTTCAATAGTCTGAAATCCAAACATCCTATTTGAAAACTAATATTTGTACTTATTTTCCTACCACATAGTTAATATCACATTATCTCATTGAAAAAGGAATGAATGTTAGTTCATACCTCTAATTCTACATGAAGTTTATGCAGATTTTTTTTCTAATAATGAACATTTAGGTCTAACTGCAATATTATTTTCTTGGATTCTTCCTTTCCCAATTTCTTGTAAATCATGGCTTTTTCTTTACGCTTATGTTTACTTTGCTACAATACATACCGTTTGCTTCTTCACTGGGATTTGTAGTTAGAAGAATTTATTTTTAAAAAAATATATCTGAAAAATTTTAATTTTGTCCTCACAGAGGTATGAGAGTTTGGCTAAGCACAAAAACATGGGTTCAAAACATTTGTCTTTCTGTATCTAATGTTGCTGGGAGGTTGGATGTAAATCCAGTTCTTTTTCCTATATATGTTTGTCTGTTTCTCCCTTTGGAAGTGTCTGTCTATATACTTGGTGCTCTGAAAGCTCTCTCTGGTGTGTCTAGGGGAGGATCCTTTATCTCTTCCATCTGGCAGGCCTCAGTGTACTCATTCAACTGCAAAATCCGTATTTCTAAGTTGTGGGAAATTTTCATTTGTTATTCCCTTAAGTATCTTCTCTCTTCCATTTTTTTCCTTTGGGAGCTCCTATTTGATAGATTTTGAAACTTTGGGGTCTTTTGTTTCACTTTCTTTCATGTTTTTTGCCTCTGTACCTTTTTGTGCTAATTCTGAAAAAATTTTCCTGCTCAATATTTTTGTTGCCACCACCTTGGACAAACCATTTTAAAGTTCCCCTTGATCAAAAACCACCTAAATCCAACCTAATGGCTAACATCAGCCTGACCATAAACCATAAATGACATCTCCAAACAGAAAAACACTCCAACCCTAAGATAAAACCCTCCTCAATCAGAGACATGCCAGCCCTGAGATAACCTCCCCTCTGGCCAGAGAGATGTCTGCCCCAAGATAACCTCCAGAGACATTCCATCCCCACAATAAACTCCTCATCCACACAGAAACATTCCAAGCCTGTATGTAAGCTCCCTCACCTTGAAACCCTTAAATACTCTTAGTCCATAAGAGAGGACACTCCTGACCGAAATCAGCCAGAAGCCCCTCTCAGGTTAATTCTCCAAAATAAACCTGTCTTTGACTGTTGAGCCACTTTTTGTGTTTCTTTCCACTTTCTTTAACTCATATATTTGGTACCAAAACCCAGGAGGGGTGTTGTGGGTAGGGGCTCTCCTGCAACCCAGGAAGCAGTGGGCAGCAGCAGCTCATCCTGCTGAATACCGAGAGTCTCTGGCCACCCACCCCATCTTATCTCTCACTTCACTTTTCAAGCGATTTGTGTGAGAGGGACCTTGCAATTCACGTGACTTTAGTCTTTAAAACTTACTGGTACAGTAAAATTAGAAATGCCTTAAGAGTTTCCAGCATACATTTTTTTTTGTATTTATTGATCAAGCAATTTCATACTTATCTCTGCCAAATACTATAAGGTGTCAAAATTTGGCATAGAGCTTACGAAACTATACTCAGCCCAAACAGAATAATCTTTGCTTGTGTAATTTTTAAATAAATGAAACATTAATATTTGTTTAATAAAGATAGCTACATCTTGAACTATTTAATGAAATACCATAACTTCTAATCTTGTGGCCTTAGGCAGTCTAGTTCGCAGACATGAAGGAAGTTCATTTTGGGAAAGGACTGTTATCTTTGATACTAAAGAAAACAGAATTTACATAAAAAAGAATCTTGCATGGTAAATTCTTATCCTAAAGTAAATTAACTGGTTGTTTAAAGAGGTTAAACTGGTTGTTTAGAACAAGTCAGAAAGTCAAAGCATGTCAGAGATTGTGTAAGTCATGAAAAATTTTATAAAAGGGAATTTATGCAAGAAATATTGTACAATGTAAAAGTGATTAGGCCTCCTGAGGTTTATAAAATGCCACTATAACTCTTAGCTGTACAATTTGCTTGCTTTGTAGCTAGGTAAGACCTAGAATACATGGAGTTAAATGCTGGAATAAGTCAGACCTTATCTGCATTTCTGTCTAGGTCCTAAGCTCTACACCTAGTACATAATTAAAATCCCAAACTTACCAACAAAAGTAAAGGTTGCTAAAAGTTGACAGTGTAGCATGTATTTAAGACTATTGAAAAAAACAATTTATATATACTTTTAGTAAAGAGATTATAAGGAGGCATGAGAATGTGGATTTTTACCTAGATTGAAAGGTTAAAGAATTCTTTTAAGTTAAATAAAGTAAAAATGAAAGTTTAAGCAAGTTTTGGAAGGTTAATTGTAAAGGAAATTCTGTGTGTAAACATATTGACTAAAGATGAAGGGTTATCGTCTAGTTTTTCTGTAAATTGATCATTAAAATAAAAGCACAACTGGTTTCTCTTAAAGCACTAACCTGTTCTTTAACAAAAATTATAAAGGGTTAAAAGGGTCTATAAAAAATCTTAACTTACAGTGAAACATTAAAATTCGGTAACTTTGTCTACAAGGTTTCATTAAAAATTGAGTTTAACATTAAAAGCACACTAATATAAAGGTAAAATTTGGCTTATTTGGTATGAAATCATACAGGAAGTATTGTCAAATATAAAATGGTGTTTGGCTTTCTTTGGGCTATATTTGTATAAATATGTTATTGGTATGTGTTCCAAAGTTATGGGAGACTCCTATAATTCTGATATATCTTGGCGTACATTAACATCAATAATTATAATTATTATGTTAAAATTATTGTGTGTCACAAAGGTAACAGATATCCTTGTCAATTGTGTCTTTAACTATGGCTACCCTAAAACTTTTTGTCATCCATAAACAATTGTCTTCTTTTGGTCCTCTTTAGAAGGCGGTTTTATAATCACCTATAAAGCTCTAGCAGGTGCTCTTGAATGCAGATTTCTGATAACTTTGGAGATTGTGACATCAGAATAGAGGAAAAATGTTCAGGACTCTTGAAGAGCTAAAAATGTTCATTAATATCAAGCAGGACAGGAATTAACTGCATGAACTGAATTAATAGGAGACTGGAGTGATCTTTTGAATGTTTTGCTTAAAATATTGCTAATTCTTTGTTTTGCTTTTCAAAGTCAAAGAAACTTTTCTTTTAAGCTACAGACTGCTTTTAGCAATTTAGTACACTCCTGTGAACAAAATTTGGAGCATACTTGTTTCTCTCTACCTGATTTTCTCCAGAATTTGGAAACTATCTGTGAGTATTCTTAGATTATGGCAATGTAGTTATTTGCATAAGTACAATTAGCATCTGTTTTCTTTTGTAACAGGACACAATTGGAAAATCTAGTTATATTTACCAAGGCTTTGGCTGGAATGGTGTGCTCTCCTTTAAGGAATCAAACATGACTTATGAAGCCAATAAAGCCCTTGGAAAACTGGCCTCATATTTTGTGTACACAGTCCCTGTACAGGGTTTCTGATCTGTGGTAGGTAAAAAATGTCATTTTCTGACAGGCCGGGAACCCTAAGTTATCTTGGAACCTCAAGAGGAGAGCAATTTACCCAACTCATAGGTATTTGATGGTACAAATCCATGGCTGGGCTGGGCTTTAAAAAGGTCTTATCTCAGATTCCTTCTCTGGAACAAAGTTCCATCAAAGCCAATTTAAAAGGCCTATGTAACTATTATTCTTGCTGCACTCTATGCAAATAATTAAACCAAGTATAATAAAGCAAACCAGTCCTACCATGATTTGCCTTTAAATAACGGTTACTAACAGAACATAATACATGGGCCTTTCCAAACATGTGCCTCTGCCTCTCATTAGGTAAGGAATGTTGTTTCTATCTCAACCAATCAGGCCTCGTAAGAAGCATTGCTAAATACCTTAAAGAAAGGGCTAAAAAGCTAAGGGAATACCAAAACAACCAAATAGATTATTGGTTTGGGAACAAAATCATAGTATGGGTCATCTCATTCCTGGGCCCTCTACGCATATTATTAATATGCGTAAGACTAATGTTCTTACCCTGCCTGATTAACATTTTTCAAAGATTTTTAACTGACAGAATCATGGCCATTTCACAGACAACTACCCAAAAACATCTACAGACAGCATTACCCCTACAGTCAATCCAAGACCAGAAAACTCTCTGTTCCCCCATCAGCAGGAAGTAGCCAGAAAGAACACGTTGCCCCTCATCCTTTTTATAACTATAGGGTCTGGATTGACAGAATAGAAGCATCACCATCTTGGAAAAGCACCACCATTTTAAAGTTCTGATTGATCAAAAATCACCTAAATCCAACCCAAAGGACATCAGTCTAATGGCTAATGTTAGCATGACCATAAACCACAAACAACATCTCTGACCAGAAACATTCCAACCCTAAGATAAACCCCTCCCTGACCAGAGGCATGCCAACCCCGAGATAACTTCCCTTCCGGCTGGAGAGATGTCAGCCCCAAGATAACTTCCCCTCCCATCAGAGACATTCCAACCCTGCAATAAACTTCTCCTCTACACAGAAACATTCCAAGCCTGTAATGAATTCTCTCACCCTAAAACCCTTAAATATTCTTAGTCTGGAAGAGAGTGTGCTCCTGACCAAAATCAGCCAGAAGCCCCTCTCAGGTTTATTCTCCAAAATTTCTGCTTTTTATGTTTCTTTCCTCTTTAACTATTAAAATTTTGACCACAGCCTTTCTCAGTTACTGGGGGAAGGTGTGCAGTGTGCCAGTGGCTAATCTTCTAGATGAAATAGCCCCCATCTGCCCCACTGGCTAAGGTGATAGGAGGATGTTGGTCTACCTACTGGTACAAAAACCAGTATTCTAATGATTCTCTTAGGACCTCCTTCTGTGCCTGATACCCAAAACTGATTTTTAGAGAATCTCAAAATCTGTCTCCACATGCAGCAGCCATCTTCTGTATGTATTTTGAGCTTAGTTTTCCTATTAAATTTCATCTGCCTTTTTTCAAGTATTCTACAAATTCTGTTCCATTAATAATCTTTTTTTTAGTGTTGTTATACTTTTATTCATTTTATATATGTGATTTGACTCATAACCTGAGAATTCAACAAAATGAAGAAACCAACTGCCTAGAAAAGCTCATATGCACTGAGGCTTTAGGGCCCCCCGACTGTTCCCAAACCTCCTGGGAAAAATGGGTCCAAAGTGATGTCACTGATTGACTTGTCTTCTTTCATTACAGCTTTTAAAAAAAAAAATTTAAAATCCCCACCTCACCACTTCACCCTGACCTTCTACTCACCTTTTAAGATCCTTCCTAGACTCTCCTTTAGAGACTCATTCCTTACCTGGTTAAACCACCAAGACCTCTACATGGCTGTTTGATGCTAACATAAAAGTACTTTGCATTTGCTTTGCTTCTACAGCCACAGGACTGTACTGGAAAAGAAGAAAATGTTTGGAAGAAAGAGATCAATAAGACAACAAAGCAGACACAATATGACTGAGAACAGAGAAGCCGGGTGGGAGAGGACCCCCAGGCCAATAGCCTCAGCTGCAAACAATCACAGGCAGTGATGAATGGTGTTACAAAGGGTCGTCATTACCCTCAGGGATGGGGACAGCATGAGATGATAATGAATATGTTTGAGGAAGAATAATATAACCTCATCTGGTATGGATGGGTGGCATCAGCATTTAGGCTGCTGGATAGGAGAATGTGTTGACATTATTTATAGCTACAATGCAGAGCTGTGACAGAGATCCATTGTAAACAATGCCTTCCAAGGCAGCTGCTTTCCATTGAAAATATAACAGAAGAGTTTGTAAAGGGTGGCTTAGGATGACAGCATTAAAGAGGGCTGTCATCTCCACTAAATCTGGGACTCATTTTCGTTCCTATTTTTATTTCCATTTACATTTTTTTTATATCTCAGCAAGCTTTCTAACTTTTTTTAAACCAGCAAGTTTTTTTAAGTGTCATTCTATTTAGAGTTCTCATTACTTGAAAATGGGCCAAATTATAAATTTTTCCAAATAAAAGGGAATTTTGTATAATTTCTTCCTAACCCCATCCCCACAATGTTTTTCTCCATAAACAGCTTTAATACATAAGTCTTTTCAGGAATTGCCATTCCCAGAGGAGAGGTTTTACTTTATATAAAAATAGGTTAAAAGGTCGTTAACAGTAATATAAAAAATGAGATAAGTGAAAAGAAGCTACTAATGTCCTGAGGGTAGAATACATTAATCATGAAACATGACCTAGATAAATCCCAATGTATCTAGGGCCAATCTTTAGTTGTAAAACCACAGGATCTTGACATTAGAGGAAATTCAAGCCCTTGAAATGAATAATATTGAAAAGTTCTGGTAGAGAAAGAATTTCAGGACTATAATTCTACTTCAAAATGTTTTTTGCGTGATTGACTTTAGAAGCCAAAGAAACACACATTTTATAAAAAAATACATAAATATCTCTTCTAAAATCTCCCTTTCCTACACATTTTGAACTCCTTTTCTGTCCTGTGTGCTGGGACAAACCAGTACTGTTGATGGAAGGTCACAGGTCACCACAGGGACTCATTTGTCCTAATTTCATGTCCCAGGAATTCTCAATCTCCCTGAATTCAGTTACAGGCTTTTCTAATTTCTATACCACTCAGCCAGACAATTTGACCTTTAACAACTATTCCTTGTCTCCCTTTGCTTTTCCTCTGGTCTGGATTTCTAATCCCTTCCCCATCACAAGTCAGTTAATGACATCACCTTGCATCCATTCTCCCCAAGAGGTTTGGGGAGAGTCAGGGGTTCTAAAGCCTTGGTGCATATGGGTTCATCTTGTTGTCCTCCTTGATACAGAACACTGGGTGGGATGATGGCTCCAGGATCACTGCTGTGTGTACAGTTTCATTCTAGTCTTCTACCTGCCCACATTCCAGTTTTCACTCTTATCCAAAACAGCCAAAGGCCTGGATTCCCATTACCTGCCACTTCCCTGTCTCGATGGCATCTTCTATTTCTGAACCAAGTCCAGCCAGAGCTCATTTTTGTTCACCTCACCTCTCAGACCAGATAGCTCAGCAGGCAATCCTTAAGCATAGGCTCAAGTTGTAGTCTTAGAATAGCAAAAAGTGCAGCTTCTGAATTGAAGCTTCCACAGTCAATGCTGAGCTCTGACACCTACTGTCTAAATGACTTGCACAGCCACTACTCTTCTCTCAGCCTCAGTTTATTTGCCAATGAGATGGAGATAATAATGTGGCCTGCTTCACAGGGTGAGAAGCATCTTCACAGTGTGAGAAAAATGAGTTAATCCACATGGTATTGTTAGATGATAAATTCTTAATCACTGTTGGGGTATTACTCCTTCTAAATGATTTTCCTTTTTACTTAATGGTGAAATCAAAGGACAAAGAAAAAGAGAAAAGACATTTATGCCTGCTCAAGAAGGCTTAACAAAAACCAATGAGGAACTCTTCTTTAACTCCTTACACAGAACTTTCCATAGTAATTTGGCCTCCCTTCTTCTCAGACGACACTGTGCAATGTACAGTCATTCTCTTGCTCAGGGGTCTCTTCACAGGGACTTTTGGTTTTCCTTGTTGATTTTAGTTTTCCTTCACAGGGGCTTGGTTTTGCTTATTGAGCCATTGGTGATCATGGCCATTAACATTACATATATACTGGTAAGTACTAGCGAAGCCCCATTGCCTCTTGGGATTCATCTCATAGCAACAGGTCTTAATTTTATTTCCAAGCCATATCCTTAGAACACTCTCCAAAGAGTTTTCAACAGGACAAATGGGTTGATATGGTTTGGGTAATTACCATTATCTCAGAAACTTGTGGAACCACACCAGCTGAAAACGATATGTTATCATTTACCCTCTTGCAGAAAAAAATATATTTTTGAGATATCCCAAACTGATTCTCTCAAAGACACAAAATCATTATCCCTATTTTTGTGTTGTGTGTATCCATGACTAATTATGATAGAAAATGAGAGTTTGAGAAAAAAACACAACCATTAAAATTGCCTATGTCAATTTTCCCCTCACAGTAGGATCAGACCAGCCTCCACGAGGAATCTAGTTATTTATTTGGCAATCTGGCTCTTCAGGTTTGGGAGGGGAAGAGTTTCCGCCTGAGACAAAGGAAGAGAACAAGTAGTGTGAGGTATTGCAGAGCCAATGAGAAAATGAAAAGATTCCAGCTGAGTGGGATTAAGAGCAAATTCTAAGTCACTTGGGCTAAGGTGGGACTGTGGTTGAGATGTGATACACCATGTGATATGAAATTTAGAGAAGAGAGAATTGGAGCAAGAGTTCAGGGCCAAGTGAGTGAGTCAATTCAGAGTGGCACTAGACTCTGGTGGTTAAAGCTCACCTTTGGCCCAGCAGATGGGTGTATCTGGGTGTTTTCTATACCCCAGGGACAGGCAGACACACTGTGACCCAAAATATCTCATCTGCTTGTGTCACCTTTCACTTCTACTGATTATCCAACCTGAAATTCTCACCAAATGCCATTCTGATTAGAGGGTCACCTATTCATTTATCCAACATTCCACCCAATATACGGCAGGACTGATCCAAGAACCAGAGGCACAGAAGTGAATTTCTACCTGCAGAGGCTGTTCTTTAAGTACATTTGATTAATAAGAAAACAGATTTTTGATGAGTGATCAGTGAACACACTATGAGTCAACAAAGAAGAGCACTGTTAACCCTGCATTGGAAGCTCTGGAGAATTCCTCAGAGGAGGTAGCATTTAGGCTGGTCTGGAAGGAAGATGAGCCTGATACTAAAAATATGGGGTAAGTGGTACTCCAAGCAGAGGAGCAATATACAGTAACCAATGTGTGAAACTCAACTGAGTCATGAGACAAAGTGTTCAGAGAATAAAATAGCTCATTGTCACTGGCCCTGGGATATATATTTATGGGTCAGGGCAAAGATAGTGGTGTGAAAGTTAAACATGAAAGGAGGAAGTAGGAAGAGACAACCATGAAGAACACTACCAGTCATTCCAAAGAGTTTGAAGGACTTTTTTCTGGATTTGGTTGGACACGTTCCACGGGCAGAAAGGAAAACTAGAGCTATTGCAATAATTACATGTGAAACTAAGTATCGATATCTGACATAAGGCAAAGGCTGTCACAGACAAAGAGGTAAGAAAGTATTTGGGATACTTAAACCCAAAATTACTAGGATTTGGTGATCAACTGATGAAGGGGGCCAGGAGCAAGCAGGAATCTTGATACTTTCATTTGTTTCTAGGTGAGGAAGCTGGATAAACAAAAGGACCATTTAGCAAGACAGAAGAACATGAGAAGAGAGATTTTGTTGGAAAGGTAACAAGTTCCATTCTGGATATATAGAGTGTGCAAAGCCTATAAGACACCCAGTGTGAAATAGTCAGTGTGCATTTCAACACGTGAAGCAGGGGCTCAGGGGAGAGTAAGCAGGTATGTGTTGCTCAGAGCACCAGGAATGGAGAAGGCCACAGGGGAGGATATGGAGACAGAAGAAGGCAGATGAAAGCTTTCAGCTTGAAGCACACCAGTACCAAGGGGTGAAAGATAAGAAGGGCTGGTGTGGGGCGTGAAACAGGTGAGGATGGCCAGAGAGCAACAAAGAGAGAAGTGGTAGGCATGTGTCAAAGAAAACAGGACAAGGTTGCAAGAACAGAATGGTGGAAAACAGTGTCTAGCAGAGGCTAAATAAGGACTGGAAAACAATTCCTGGATTTAGGAAACTAGAAAATCATTGGTAACCTTAGTGAGGATAATTCCACAAAGTGGTTTTTATCTCCCTGGCTGTGGTGAGTGTTGGAGGAGCTGGGGAGTACTGACAGTGGAAGACATGCCTGGAAGAAGAGGTGACAGTGCAGGAGATGCCAAGTCCAGCCAGCAAGGGTGATCCACTCTGTGAAATGCTGGGCTGTGGGGGAACAGGAGGAGGATGCTAAAGAGGACAAGACGTTTGAGGAAGGGGTTTTGTTTAAAGAAGAGACACCCGAGCTTATGTACAGCTTGGGAAGCAGAGACATCAAAAATACAGGAGGGAGTGGCTTGATGCTGCCAGGCTCCCTGGAAGTGGGAGGGGACTACTGGAGTCAAGGTGGAGAATTTTCCTTCCACTTTTGCAGCCCTCCTCTCCTGGAGAGACCAGGGCTAAAGGCATATAACTCTGCAAGCAGGAGCAGCCAGGGAGACTTTCAGATGCTAAAAGGAGGAGGTCAAACTTCCGGACCTTCCCACCTCTGCCCTTAAACTTTTAATGTGATACCCAAGTTATCAGAACACCGTGAGAAACAGGGACCCCAGCATCTATGGTTTTTAAATCTCCCCTAAAATGACTTCAGTGTCCAGCCATGCTTGGGAATGACCACTTTCAACTTTTTGCCACTTTCCACACATAGCCATCCTCTCTCTGACAATTTGGTAAAATGTGCCTTTTATCTTAGAAACAAGTATTTATTATCTCAGGTGGCCTTTAAATACCTCTTCCTGATACTGTTAGTTGGGACGTTTGTTGCCTTGTGATTTAAATTCAAAATCTTCTAATGAAATGGGTTATTTGTTTTCCATAAGGATTTTAAAAGGCAGCTCTCTTTATATTCATATACCTCAATTCTTCAAATTTCCCCCCAAATAATAAATCTAATAATTTAAGAAGAAAAAAAAGTCTGTATCTTAGAAATTCAAGTTCATGATTACCTACAGGGTAAACATAAGTTTCATTGATTCCAAAAAACATACGAAGTATATTATAATTAATGGCATATATGAAATTATAGCTAATGACCACAAAAATTAAGTGCACAGTAGAGACACTTAGAAATCAGAGACATGTTTCTGATTTCCTCCTTTGGCAACACGTAAAGCGATATATTATACTTTACTATTTTTCCTATTTGTTTTTATTTTGTGAGTTTTTTTCTCTTCTGGTAATCCAGTATGAAGTGGAGAAGTAGAAGTCTGAGTGATTTACTAGTCAAAGGATAAGCAGGGGTCAAAACCAAAAAACCCATAATATGCCTCAGTCTCAAGAAAACTCCATGCAAATTCTTCCATCATTTATGGACTTCACATACTTAGTGTTTCCCTATTATGTGCCAGGCAATGGAGATAAATGGATGATACCAAAAGGCACGTAGATACCCATAAGCTTCCTGGCCCTGGAATTCCTCACCATGACCCACAAAGCTCTGGATGTGGCTGCTTCCTGATCTATCCAGTGCTGCTCTTGTTCCTGCTCCATGCACTCCAACAACACTGGCCTTCTGAAAATTTTGTAGTCATAGAACCATTACTGCCTTTCCCTTTTTAGTTACTGTTCTATATGCCTCGAGTACTATACACACCCTGCAGTTGGCATGGCCCACCCCTTCTCTTGATGGCTCTGCTGGATGGTTCCTCAGCCCCAAACAGCAGGGTCCCTGGTGCTCTCAATTGGGCAGGCCATGAAGCCAGCGTTTCCTCTGCCCGGTGTGTTTGCCCATACCTACTACACAAAGTCATTAACCAGCATTTATGTCACTGTCCTAAGCTTGGCTGAGGGATGAGGGTCGGGTGGCAGGTAAAGTGGGAAATAAAAGTAAAAATTGCTGAAAATGAACATGGAATGAAGAGTGCTCTACACCCTTTTATGTCTGTGAAGTCCAGCTTGCTGAGAGGTTGACTCACCACTAAAGCCAAAAAGCCTCTGGTTAGGAGAAAGGTGGTAGCTCTTTAAAACCAAATCCATTTCCCCTGCTAAGTGCATTCATTTCTCCTAATCTGCACTGTGAGGCTGATGATCTTACCTTGCTTTTCTATTCTCTCCCTCATCTAGAAAACAAAGCTATTTTTAAAACCACGAATCTCTGACAAGAACAAAGTCAACATTTTGGAAAAATAGTGATTTTTTTTAAAAAGTACCTTTTGAAAAAATATTAAAATGTACAAATAAAAAACTGTATAGTAATGTTTCTCAAATGAGTAGACTTTTGAGATTAAATCTAAGGCTAAAATTGGTTTGGGATGGAGGAGGGCAATAGAACAAACAAATTTAGAAGCTTGGGAAAAAGGAGAAGTGAAGCTCAGAGAAAAGTAGATACATGCCAATATGAAGTAGAAAAAAAAACTAAATGCAATGCTTTGTAAAAACCTATGCATAAATGTGAAAACCAAGAAGAAACAGAGAGAAGATTATACATCACTTAAAACTGACCCTAGAAATGAAAAGCAGTAGAAAAAAAATGTTATCAAAAAACTTCCTCACAAAAAGCACATGCACTGATGGTATCACAGGTGAGTTCTGTAAAACCTTCAAGGAACAAACTCAGTTGTTTAAAATTTTCCAAGAGACAGAGGGAACAAAAACTGCCAGTTTTTAAAAAAGCTTGCATGATAGTGATACAGAAATTTGATAAATATAGCAATAAAACTATAGTCTAATCTGACTTATAAATATTAATGTGAAATTTCTATATAAAAATATAAGCAAATAGAAGCCAGAATCACAGTAAAAGAATGATATATCACATACCACACCAGGATGATTCAACTGTAAGACATTTATTAATGTAATTCACTCTGTCAACAAGTCAAAAGAGAAAAGCACTCCATATGTTCAGCTATACAGATGCTGAAATGGCATTTGATTTTAGAAATCTGGAAAGGATAAAGAATTTTAATTTTTAACAAAGTATAAGTATGTGGAATCTCCAGTGCATGGTAAAATAAATATATTTCAGGTCAAATGTCAGCCACTCTTTTTTTTTTTTTAACGTTTAAGTTCAGGGATACATGTGCAGGTTTGTTACATAGGGAAACTTGAATCATGGGGGTTTGTTGTACAGATTAGTTTATCACCCAGGTATTAAGCCTAGTACCCATTTGTTATTTTTCTTGATCCTCCCCTTCCTCTCACTCTCCACCCTCTGACAGGCCCCAGTGTATGCTGTTCCCCTCTTTGTGTCCATGTGGTATCACAATTTAGCTCCCACTTATAAGTGAGAACATGCGGTATTTGGTTTTCTGTTCCTGCATTAATTTGCTAAGAATAACGCCCTCCAGCTTCATCCATGTCCCTGCAAAGAACATGATCCTGTTCTTTCTATAGGTGCATAGAATTCCATGGTGTATATGTACCATATATTCTTTATCCAGTCTATCATTGATGGGCATTTATGTTGATTCCATGTATTTGCTATGGCGAATACTGCTGCAGTGAACATACACATGCATGTGTCTCGATAACCATGATTTATATTCCTTTAGGGACATACCCAGTAATGAGATTGCGGGGTTGAATGGTGGTTCTGTTTTTAGGTCTTTGAGAAACGGCCACACTCTCTCCCACAATGGTTGAAGTAATTTACACTCCCACCAACAGTGTAAAAGCTTTCCATTTTCTCCACAACTTTGCTAGCATTTCTTATTTTTTGACTTTTTAATAATAATCATTCTAACTTGTGTGAGATGGTATCTCACTGTGGTTTTCATTTGCATTTCCCAGATGTTGAGCTTTTTTCATATGATTGTTGGACTCATGTATGTCTCCTTTTGAGAAGTGTCTGTTCATGTCCTTTGCCCATTTTTAATGAGGTCTTTTTCTTGTAAGTATGTTAAAGTTTCTTACAGATGCTGGATATTAGACCTTTGTCAGATGCATAGTTTGCAAAAATTTTTCTCCCATTCTGTAGGTTGTCTGTTTACTCTGTTGACAGTTTGTTTTGCTGTGCAGAAGCTTTTTTAGTTTAATGAGATCCCATTTGTCAATTTTTGCTTTTGTTACAACTGCTTTTGGCATCTTCATCACTAAATCTTTGCCCGTACTTCTATATCCTGAATAGTATTGCCCAAGTTGTCTCCCAGAGTTTTTACAGTTTTGGGTTTTACATTTACATCTTTAATCCATCTTAATTTTTGTATGTGGTGTAAGGAACAGGTCCAGTTTCAATCTTCTGCATATGGCTAGCCACTTATCCCAGCGCCATTTAATAGGGAATCCTTTCCTCGTTGTTTGTTTTTATCAGGTTTGTTGAAGATCAGAGTTGTAGGTGTGTGGTCTTATTACTGGGTTCTCTATTCTGTTCCATTGGTCTAAGTGTCTGTTTTTTGTACTAGTAGCATACTGTTTTGGTTACTGTAGCCATGTAGTATAGTCTGAAGTTGGGCAATGTGAGGCCTCCAGCTTTGTTCTGTTTGCCTAGGATTGCCTTGGCTATTCAGGTCAGCCACTCTTAATAAGTTAACAAGTAAAACGCTTAGAAGAGTTTTTGAACATGATTAGTACCACATGCCTATGTAGTTTTATCATCATAATCATTATGAGAAAAATTTCCATAGTATTATTTTTCAAAAGGATTCACATTATCATAATATTTGCACTGTTTTAGAAGTTCTCATTTGTTAAGTTACCCAAGAGAAAGATATCAGACATCAAAACTGGAATAAAGTTATTGATCATTTTAGAATATATGACTTCACATCTGCAAGCTCCAAGAAAATCAGGTGAAAATTAATAGGAAACGGTAACAGAATTTAGTAATATAACTGGTTATTATATTATTAATACCAATGGGTTTCTTATATAAAGGTAACAAACAATTTCAAAATACAAGAAAAAAGCTCACTTACAACACCTAC
The DNA here is from genome assembly GCF_000001405.40 of Homo sapiens. NCBI lineage: Eukaryota > Metazoa > Chordata > Mammalia > Primates > Hominidae > Homo > Homo sapiens. The sequence goes on from NC_000005.10 coordinate 114,736,493, forward strand.
AAAAAGATAAAATACATTTATATAAAATTTTCAAGAGATGTCCTGGTTCTAGATGAAGAAAATTTGAAACACAGAAAATATATTGGGTGGTGGAAAAATAGAAAGAGATACCTTATTCTTGAATATGAAGACTCAGAGTTATAAAGACATCAATTTTCTCATTAGTTTTTAAGATGGACAAGTTGACTCTTAAAATCATGTATAAAATAATCAAAAACTGCCACAAAAATAGAAAAAGAAGAGCACTGAAAGGTAACCAGCCCCACCAGGTAATAAAACTTATAAATGCATTACAAATAGAATGGCTGGTACTAGTACCTATGTAAAGAGACTAATAGAACAGAGTAGAAACAGGCCTAAACACATAAGGAACTTACGATATGATAAATCTGGCATTTTGAATCAATGAATAATGTTGCGATAACCACTCACCAGTCTGGAAAAAAAAATACTACCTCACTCCTTACACTAGGGAAAATTTCAAATGGATCAAAGATTTAAATCTAATTTTACTAAAATTTCAGTAAAAGTGCAAAACATTAGACCCATTGTGTCGTATGGAAGCAAGAAATTTTTGTCCAATGTAGTGGCCCAAGGTCTTAGTAACTAGCTGCTGCTGAGTGATTTCTGCCCCAGACATTTATTCTGATTGATTTGAAATGGCCTAACTCTGCTTCCACTACTCAGAATTATGGGTTCAAATACCATTTGCTTAATTTTTTTTCCTGAGTTATATTTCACTCAAAAGAAAGAGGAAATCATAAGTTTCCTAAGAGCAGAGGCAGTGACTCATCTAGCTCTTAAAGGACACTGATGTTCACTTTTGGTGGGACTGAGCCTGAAATCTCACCCTCATGGAAGGGTATCTCTGGCTTCAGGACCCTCTCTTTGCCCATCCCATCTCCCTTCCACCTTCCTGTGCACTACCCTCATCTTACATCTATTGGAAAAGTTGGCTTCACCGATTCCTATCTCTGTTCTCTTCCTAAGCCACCCCCTGGAAGTACGTCTGAACTGACATTGTTCTATGTAATGGGCTCTTTCTTTAAAAAATAAATTTCAGGCTGGGTGTGGTGGTTCATGCCTGTAATCCCAGCACTTTGGGAGGCCGAGGTGGGCAGATCACGAGGGCAGGAGGTCGAGACCAGCCTGGCCAACATGGCAAAACTTCGTTTCTACTAAAAATGCAAAAATTAGCCGGGCATGGAGGCAGGCACCTGTAATCCCAGCTACTCGGGAGGCTGAGGCAGGAGAATTGCTTGAACCCGGGAGGCGGAAGTTATTGTGCCATTGCACTCCAGCCTGGGCAACAAGAGCAAGACTCTGTCTCAAAAAATAAATAAATAAATTACAGAGTATTAAATGTTCTGCAGCTGTTCTAACTATACCAAGAAATCTGCAACCCTTAAACATCAGTTTGAGAAAGAAAATACTAGTAATACAGTTTCCAGTCTCCTTTTTTTGGGGGCATTTATAAATGCTAAAATTTGCTTGATCAACCCAATCATATTTTAAAATGCATACATATGAACTAAAACGAGAAGAAAATATAAATATAATTGTTATCACTGTAGAATGGTTAAGTTTTTCCCTTCAATTTTTTAGTGTTTTATAACATGTTATATTCTGATTTTAAAATCTATTAATTGTAAACAAATGAAAAATTCAAAGAAAAATTAAGGAAATCAGCAGTCTATTACATCATCCAAGAAAGGAGTTATGATGATGATGTGTTTCCTGTCTCTTTTCTATTTACACATGTGTGTAAATAAAATGGTATAGAAAAGTTGTCCTTGTGAACTGCTTTGTTCAGTTAGCTTTAGATAAACATTCCATGTCACCTAAAATTATTTAAAATTTTATTGCCTATATAATAATCCAAAGAATGGCTATATCATAATTTTGTTTACTTATTTCACTATAGTTGAACATTTAGAGATCATAATTGCAAAAGATTTAAGGCAAATGCTGTAACAGCAATAATAGCATTTCTGGCCATTTATTATACTCTATGCAAGTGGTATTACTGGTTCAAAAAAAAAACCATTTTCATGTCTGGATATTATAAAGTTGGTTTCAACGATTTTATTGCTCAACAGTAAGCACTATCAAATACAATTCTCACCTTTAGAATTTCTTTCTTCAGAGAAATGACAGGAGGGTCCAATCATATCAATTAAGTCTTCAAAGACTGACAGATGAGGATTTCAAGAGCCTACCTCACTGGCTTATTTCTATAACTTGTAGTCTCATCTTCACTAACCCACTCTATAAAGCCTTGGGTGAAAAAGCTAAATGAGAAGATCCACATTTGAGAAAAGCATACAAAAATCCCCCAGAACACCGTCAACTCTCCTAACTTAAGGACTCATTAAACCCATGCTTCTCAAACATTAACGTGGATCCCAGTCACCTGAAAGGCCTGTTAAAACCCAGACAGATAGGTCTCATGCCAGGTTTCCAATTCAGTAGGTCACGTTGGGGCTCAGAATGGGTGTTACTAACAAGTCTCCCATGCTACTAACAAGGCTAATATTGCTGATCTGGAGACCCTACTTTGAGGATCGCTGCACTGCGCAATCATATCATATACTTAATGTATGTTCCAAGTACTGTTCCAGGTTCAGGTGATGGCAGTAAACAAAACAGGCAAGGTTCCTGCACTCATGGAGCTTACAGTCTAACAATAGAACATCTAATAACAGACATCAGACAATAAGCAAATAACCAATGAGCAGAATTAGGGGGCAGTGACACCTGTTACATTCTCTCAGAAATTCCCTAGGATGGGAGATGATTTGGAACTGGCATCTCCAACTAGAGTGCTGGTATCCGTTGTGCTTCTGGTCCTTTCTCGGGCTAGTATGGGGTTGGAGCCAGCAAGGCAGAACAAAGTAAGTATTAAGTTTTAGCAATTCCCTTCTCAAGCTGGACAAAAAGGCCAACTAAAAGCAGAAAACCCAGCAGTTAGCGAATGAAAGGAAGAGTGTTTCTTCCATTAAGAAAGCACACTGTTATACTTTTTAGAACCAGGAGGGAAATAGGTTTTTGATCAGAAAATTAAATTATCACTGCCACTCTTATAAAAGGCCTAATTATATATAAGCAGAATGTATTGATCAATACAATGAAATTACATATTCAAGTTATATATATATATACACCACGTGACTTAGCAAAAATCAATGGAAATGGGACAAGCATCTCTTGTGCTAAAAGTGCATCAAACAAAATGGAAATAAGGTACTCAAATGTAACTGAATACCACATACCTCTTTCATATTTATAAGATGCCTTCTTCACAAATGCATTTACCATTAGGTACTAAAGAACATTAGATGACAGCAATTATCCTGATTATCCACCCCACCTATTCTACCCCTGTACACCGCTACGTGATTTCCTTAAAGATGTTCCTCTTCATAAAGCAAAATGCCCTGTTCCCTTTTGTTTCTATAAGCAGCTTGCAGGTGAGATCTAATAAATTGTCTTTGGCATTAATAACTAAAAGAGCTTCTAAACTTTCACTTGCTGCTTGCTATTTGCTGCAGGATTCAAGACACTTCATTTCAGTTTTTCAACTTCAGAGTTAGCTTTCAAATATATTTTAAACATGATTCAGATACACAATTTACACACTGAACCAATATATCCAAACATATACATATCTGAAACAAAATTTTACCAAATATTATTTACCCTCACTACACAAGAAGCATGCTGATATTTTCACTCTATTTCTTTTGTTTTAATGCCTGTACAACCCACTAACTTATAACCTAATGGGTCACAATCCACAGCCTGAAATAATCTCTTTATAATATAAAATCCTACCAATCCATGCAGAACCACTCCACACATACACACAAAAGTTACCCTTCCCCTAAGGTTTCAGAGATAGAAGGAAAAAACAAAACAAAGGAAAAAATCCTGTGCACTCACTTGGTTATGCTGCTCAGACTCCGACAACCCTCCAGAGCCAGGAAGTGCATGTAAGTGCCTAATCCGTGTTACATGTTGTAATTTCCACCTGTGTCTGTCCTTTCCTTAGTGGAAACAGGAAAAGCTGTGTCCAGCTTCATTATCTAGATCAGCTGTGACCAATAGAACTTTTTGTGATGAGGGAAATGTTTTAGATCTGTGCTGCCCAATACAATAGCCATGGACCTTGTGTGGCTATTGATCATTTAAAATGTGGCTGGTGTGGCTACGAAACTGAATTTTAAATTTTAATTCATTTAACTTAGATTTAAGTAGACACCAGAGTCCATTTCTGTCAAATTGGACAGAGCAGACCCAGGTTATCCCTAAAAAGCTTCTCTACAGCGAAGCCTCATCTCTGTTATGAACATTTTAGCCAAACTAACATTTTGTAAGGCCTTTCATATCAAATTTTGTATCCTCCTTGTCACCTGAAATGTTGTTTTCCTAGGATTTTAATTCATTCAATTTAGGACTGCCCAAGTAAGCAGGGATTTTAGAGATGTCTTCAGAGACCAGAAGAATCAACTATCCCTACCATCACCAATTAGCTTTACACTGAGAAGATTTAGGTAAAGGGTAAGATGGACTCGTTCCTCCCTCTCATGTATTTCTACCCCAGTCCAAGGAGGTTTCCATTCTTTCCCTGGCTCTCACGCTAGCTGATTGCTCTGGGACACTCTTCTCTTCGCCTGTGTTCCTCCTCCCTGCAAGAGAACTAAGACATCACACACATGCCCAAGACTGCTGTGAAGACTGGTCCACAAGCAATTACTATTCACCTTGTTTGCTCCTTTTAGCAACTTGGTAAATAGCATACACAAGCTAGAGAATGATAATGTTGAATGGAAACATCTTCCTTCGATTTTTTACCAAGGAAATTTGATTGCTTAGTGGGACAAATGCTTTTGTGGTGGCTTTTATAAATGAACAGCTGGAGCCCTCATCTCAAAGTGACCAGGCATGTCTATTTCCTGACTTATCCCTCTCCCAGTTGGCTCAGGATTGCATGCCATGTGCACCTTTGCAATTCATTGCAAAATCCAGAAACCATATTTTGCTATCGAATGTCACAACCTTTTCTATTCCCTAGGTTTTCACTGGCAACCATCATCTGAAAGGACTAGCCAAGGTATTTTATTTTCTTCTAAGGCAAGCCATGTTTGTTGATCAAGGCTGCTTTAAAGCAAACATTAAGCAAATGAAGCTCATCCTCCACTATATTCATTTCATCTGCAGGAACCCCCAGTCCCATTAAATATCAATCTCCAAGACCCCAGATGCTTCCTACTGTCCAATCTCATTCTGAGACACACCTGACCAGACACATCACCCAACTTTAAATAGGTAGCTCACCATTTAGAAACCCTCACCAGTCTCTTGTTATCAAAACTGACCATTCCAGCCGGTAAGATCTTGCTAGATCAAGTAATCTAATAAAATATCATGCCCTGAGGTGTAAATCTAATATAATAAGAATGCACTCAGGTATAATAACCTTACAGAAATGATGCCTCAACTCATTTTATGGTTTAAATTTCACACCTTATATCAGAAAAGCAAATGCAGAATTATCCAATTCACCTTTCGAGAAATTGTTGACAGCCCATTTAAAAGTGGAGAGAGTAAACAGTAATACCAGATAGAAACCAAAGATCTTCTCAACCTGTGCAATAGGAATAATAGAATATGACTGATTTGAACTTTCAAATGATGAAAATCAAAAAGGTTCGCTCAAGTGTATTAACTAATTGCAAGCTTCAGAAGGTTTACTGGTATCACAGAAAAAAGAGAAGAAAGTCTGTCCAAGCATATCACACTGACATTTCCTTTCTGAGAGCTATGAGCCCTAGACATTGCTTTTCAAAAGCATTTTTCTCCAGGGACACCACACTTGCCACTCTGCTTAGGGATTTACCCTGCCAGGGGCCTTCCCCTCTATGAATTCATTTAACCAAAATTTGTGGACAACATCAGTGACATGAATTTGCTTTGACTCTCTGTCACTTCTAAGAATTTTCAATATTTTTTTACTTTATTTGATTCAATTAATCCAAAGAGTATTCTTCAGTCTCAGCAAGTCTTGGACAAAAATGAGCATACATGAACATTTGGATATTTAATAGGTGTCCCAAATTAACATATGCAAGCCTGAGCTTGTGATCCTTATACGCCACAAACGTACTCTTCCTAGTCTTTTCCATTGCAGAAATATGTCAAGTCCATTCTTTCATATGCGCAGATCAAAAACACAGGAATCATTCTGGACTTGTCTCTTCATCTCATACTCTACATTCAAGCCATAAGCAAAACCAGATTATTTGCAGAATCTGACTCCTGCCACCAATTCCACTGCTATCAACCTGGTCTAAGCCACCATCATCTCTCACCTGGATTATTGCATAGCCCCCAAACTAACCTACCTGCCTTCTCCCTTGACCCTATTTGCAAAGAAAAAGCCGGAGTGATCATGTTTAAATGTTGACCAGCTGATACTACCTCAAGGTCTTTCATCGGCTTTCCATCTCAGAACAAAAGTAAAGGTTCTTATAGTAACCTGCCTTCTGCCCCAACTTCTCCAACCTCATCCTCTAGTACCCTGCCCCTCATTTACTCTGATTCAGACACCAAAATGGCCCACTTGCCATTCCTTGAACAAGCCAGGAATTCTCTGGCCTCTGAGCCTTTGAACTTGCTGTCTTCATTGTTCTACCATTCTCTCCCCGACCCCCGTATGTGTGATTCATCTTTTATCTCCTTCACCTTAGAATTTCATTAAGTATTACGTTCATAGTAAAGACTTCCCTGTATTTCCAATCTAAAATTGCAAGTCCCCCACCCCAGTCCCACACTTCCTATCCTTTTCCCTGCTTTATCTGTAGCATTTATCACTATGTGTCATGCCATGTGTTGCATTTTACATACCTTCTTTGTTGTATTTCTTCTCTGATTAAGCTCTATGAATGAAGGGGGTTTTGTCTGCTCTATTCTATTGCTGAAATTTCAGCCCCTAGAACAATGCTTGACGCATAGGTGCTTAACAAATATCAATTGAACTAGAAAAACATTAACGTATATACAAATTTTGTGAGCTTGCAATTTCCTCCTGCATTATTTTAGGACCTCAGTTTACAGTTTGAGGTTCCCTCTTCCCTCTCCAGCAGTTCCTGCAGACATCTAACATGAATAGGTACATTCTTGCCACAGCTGCCCTGTCTCCCCCGCTCTGCTCTAGCTTCTCCTCCATCACCATGACTGGACCTACCCTGTGCCTCCACTGCTCACCTTGATGTTCTTGATGCTCCCACTCCCATGGACCCTCCTGACAGTCCACAGTCTCTGGTCACCACCACAGGCCTGGGCTGCTGCTGCTAAGGCCACCCTGGTGTTAAGGCCCTTCTCTACCCTTAACACTTATAGCCCCAGTATGGCCACAGCATTTTTCTTAATTTTTTGGGCAACTTCTTCACTGGTATGGTTTAGATTTGTGTCCCCATCAAATCTCATGTTGAATTTTAATCCCTAATGTTGGACGTGGGGCCTGGTGGGAGGTGACTGGATCATGGGGGCGAATTTCTCATGAACAGTTTAGCACCAAAACCTTGGTACTGTCCTCATGATCATGAGTGAGTTCTCAAGAGATCTGGTAATTTAAAAGTGTGTGGCACCTCCCCCACCTCTTGCTCCCCCCTGATCTTATCATGTAAGCTTTCTTCTCCCACCTTGCCTTCTGCCATGGATAAAATCTCCCTGAGGCCTCCCTAGAAGCAGATGCCACCATACTTTCTGTAAGGCCTGCAGAACTATGAGCCAATTAAACCTCTTTTCTTTATAAATGCACCATCTGTAGTATTTTTTAATAGTTATGCAAGAGCGACCTAATACAGAATATTTAGTGAGGTATATGGTGATACCAGGAGTGGAGTATCACTATAAAGACACCTGAAAATGTAGAAGCAGCTTTGAAATTGGGTAGCAGGCAGAGGTTGGTAGAGCGTGGAGGGCTTAGAAGAACACAGGACGATGAGGGAAAGTTTGGAATTTCCTAGTGACTGGTTAAATGGTTGTGACCAAAATGCTAATAGTAATATGGACAGTGAAGCCCAGGATGAGGAGGTCTCAGACGGAAATGAGTAACTTATTAGAAATTGTAACAAAGGTCACTCTTGTTATGCCTTAGCAAAGAATTTGGCTGCATTGTACCCCTGCCCAAGAGATATGTGAAACTTTGAACTTGAGAGTGATGATTTAGAGTATCTGGCAGAAGAAATTTCTAAGCAGCAAAGCTTTCAAGATGTGGCCCTGGCAGCTTCTAACAGCCTATGCTCATATGTGTGAGCAAAGACATGACCTAAAATTGCAACTTATTTAAAGGGGAAGCAGAGTGTTTTAAAGTTTGAAAAATTTGCAGCCTGGCAATGTAGAAGAAAAGAAAACCCCATTTGCAGGGGAAGAATTCAAGCAAGCTTCAGAAATTTGCATAATTAAAAAGAAGCCAAGTGCTGACAGCCAAGACAGTGGGAAAAAGGCCTTGAAGGCATTTCAGAAACCTTTGCAGCAGCCCTACCCATCACAGGGCCCAAGGCCTAGAAGGACTGAATGGTTTCATGGGCCAGGGCCAGGGCCAGGGTCCCTCTGCCCTGCACAGCGTCAAGACAGTTCTCCCTGCATCCCAGTGACTCTAGCTCTACCCCTGACTCAAATGGGCCTAGGTACAACTTCAGCTGCTGCTTCAGAATGGACAAGCTGTAAGCCTTGGCAGCTTCCACACAGTTTTTTTTTTTTTTTTTTTTTTTTTTTGAGACAGAGTCTCACTCTGTCGCCCAGGCTGGAGTGCAGTGGTGCAATCTCGGCTTACTGCAAGCTCCACCTCCTGGGTTCACGCCATTCTCCTGCCTCAGTCTCCCGAGTAGCTGGGACTACAGGCGCCCACCGCCACGCCCAGCTAATTTTTTGTATTTTTAGTAGAGACAGGGTTTCACTGTGTTAGCCAGGATGGTCTCGATCTCCTGACCTTGTGATCCACCCGCCTCAGCCTCCCAAAGTGCTGGGATTACAGGCGTGAGCCACTGCGCCCGGCCAGCAGCTACCACATGGTTTTAAGCCTGCAGGTGCACAGAGTGAAGAGTTGAAATTCGGGAACCTCCACCTAGATTTCAGAGGATTATGGAAAAGACTAGAGGTCCAGGAAGAAGCCTACTGCAGGGGCAGAGCCATCAGCAGAACCTCTACTAGGGCAGTGTAAAGAGTAAATGTGGAGTGGGACCCCTACACAGAATCACCACTGGGGCACTGTTTAGTGGAGTTGTGAGAAAGGGGCCACCATCCTCCAGACCCCAGAATGGTAGATCCACTGACAGCTTTTACTCTGCATCTGAAAAAGCTGCAGGCACTTAATACCAGCCTGTGAGAGCAGCTGCAGGGGCTGAACCCTGCAAAGCCACAAGGCTGAGCTGCCCAAGGCCTTGGAGCCCACGCCTTCCACCAGTGTGCCCTGGATGTGGGACATGGAGTCAAAGGAAATTATTTTGAAAATTTAAGATTTAATGACTGCCCTGTTGAGTCTGACTTGCATGGGGCCTGTAGCCCCTTTCTTTTGGCCAATTTATTCCTTTTGGAAAGAGAATGTTTAGCCAATGCCTGTACTCCCATTGTATCTTGGATGTAACTAACTGGTTTTTTATTTTACAGGCTCATAGTGGGAAGGGACTAGCCTTGCCTCAGATGAGACTTTGGACTTTGGACTTTTAATTATGCTGGAATGAGTTAAGACTGGGGATTCTTGGGAAGGCATGATTGTATTTTGCAATGTGAGGTGGACATGAGATTTGGGGGTGCCAGGGGTGACATGATATGGTTTGGATCTGTGTCCCCACAAAGTCACATGTCGAATTGTAATCCCTAATGTTGGAGATGAGGACTACTGGGAGGTGATTGGATCATGGGGGCAGATTTCTTATGAATGGTTTAGCATTATCCCCTTGGTACTGCCCTCATGAGTGAGCTCTCATGAGATCTGGTTGTTTAAAAGTGTGTGGTACCTCTCCTACTCTCTTGCTCCTGCTTTTAACGTGAACTTTCTGCTCTTGCTTTGCCTTCTTCCATGAGTATAAGCTCCCTAAGGCCTCCCAGAAGCAGATGCCACTATGCCTCCTGTACAGTCTGCAGAACTGTAAGCCAATTAAACCTCTTTTCACTATAAATTACCCAGTCTCATGTATTTCTTTATAGCAATGTGAGAATGGCCTAATACATTCACTTACTAGTATAATCAGAAACAAATTATTTAAACTCTCTATCCTTCATTAGTCTCATCAGTTAAATGCATATAGTATATATCTCATTGCATTGTTAGACAATTATAACTAATATATTCAAAGCACTGAATACTGTCTGCTAGAGAAGTGCTCAATAAATACCAACTATACTCACAATCATCATTATTACTATTATTATCCCTTGGAACAACTCTCCTGGGAACCCACAGTCTCAGGCTGTCCTGTGACAAAGGAACATAGCATATCTACAATGCAGGAGCACCCCGAGTCACATCTGGGCACTTATGGGTCCAAGCTCAGAAGAGTGAGGCTCATGGGAAGGCAAGATCTTCCAGATCTAAGGTCCACCTTCCTCTCCAGGCCCTGACTCCTCCCCAGAGGAGCAGCAGTGTACCACTCCCTTTAAGGGCAGCCCTGTGCCTAAACCACACAATGGAATCATCTATCTAATCACAACACATTAACCAACACCAGCAGCGGAAAGTCGTTTCCTTCAGCTCACCTTTCCTTACAAGAAAAAGAGAAAAGCATCAGCTCTGTGACAATGGGCATGTTTCTTAAACACTCAGTGCCTAATTTTCTCAACTATAAAAGTAGATAACATTGTATCTACATCATAAGGTTATGTGGATTTAATGGGTTAGTACATTCCACATGCTTAGAACAGTGCCTGGCACACAGGTAACAATTTTTTTAAAAAAACAGCTATTACTACTCTCCCATAGCAATAGTACAGAGATAGTCCTTTCTTCAAGTATATAGTTCATTGTAAGCACTGCCTGGTTTATCTGATCATGGATCTCCAAGACTGGAAATCCTGAGGGCTAGAACGAATTTATATTCACATTTCTATTTTCAGTACATTATATAGTGGGACTAGCGCAAAGTGACTCTCAATGCATTTTTATTGACTAAATGAATGAATGGATAAATGCATCCATGAACAAATGATTTTCTTATTCAGTCATGTAAAGCCCAGATTACTGAAGAAAAATAATCCATACAAACGAGAAACAGTAATGAAAATAAGGAGAGAATTAAGCATCTCAATGAACCAGGAGCTTCCTTGGGGAGGGGGCTGCGTATTCATCTGATGATGGATCGGGGCCCCTGGAAAGCATCCATCATTTCCAATCCTGGGCTTTGCTGGAGGAAATGAACCTCACATGGATAAATTAGTGATGGGCATGATAGTCAGTGACTCGTGTTCCTTTTGCAATTTCCTGTTCTACACAGCAGCTTATGCAGATTGAACAAAATGCCAGTGATACATCAGAAGCAAACTAAGGCATGGAAATTTATAAAAATAAAGCCCTATTTTGCATTTGGTTAACTTTTAACTAAAGATACTCCTTCAACAAAAATGGTCTGTGAAACAGGCGACCTGCTATTTTAATTCTGATATTTAATGATATTGCAAAAGCCATCCTGATGTTCTGATCATAAGAAAGCAAAAAAAAATTACAATTGTAAAACCAGATAAAGAAAGGAGAGTACAGAGACAGAGAGAATCTGACTAAGAACAATTCCTAAACTTTAAATTAGTATCTGAGCATTGACTGAGAAATTAGAGTCCACAGGCGTGGGGGCAGAAAATCCAAGTCCATAGGAAAACATTGCTTTTTCTACGTTGTGAGGAAGATTAAGTAATAGATGCTTTGGGTTACCATGTAGCTCACTGGGAATGATCACTAGGACATTGAGGCCAATGTAGCTAGACAAATACTTACAACAAGTATTACATAAAAGTTTTAAGTTGATCCTCTTAACTAATTTGCCATCTGCATGTCAAAATTATTCTCATTTTACAAACAAAACTGAGAGTCACAAAGTGACTGTCTCAAGATTAGATCATCAGTAAACTGTGGGGTTTGGCTTTAACACTCAGGCATTTTACCCTAAAGATTCATTCTCACCTCTCTGTCAGGTCTCCTGCATGTCGCTCTCCTATTTAAGCTATGTGTACACTGATAGACATTCGTACATGAAATTCACTTCAGTATTCAATCAGTAACCATAAAAATAAAGGAACTATAGGTAACTTATGGAATATGACATGGAGAATATCTGTTGGCATCAGGAACTACACTAAATTCCTCAATTAATATTCTTTTCTAGAAGGACAAGTGTGATGGTTTAAATATATGTGCCCCTCCAAAATTCATATGTTGAAACCCAATAATCCATGTGATAATATTAAGACATAGGGTCTTTTAGGAAGTGATTAAGTCATGAGCACTCCACCATCATGAATGGGAAGCACTTCCCCATCATGAATGTGATTAGTGCCTTTATAAAAGAGGTCGAAGGGAGTGCCCTAGCCCCCTTTTGCCCTACCACATTTTGCTATGTGAGGATGTAGCAACAAGATATAATCTTGGAAGAAGACATCTATTCCTCACCAGACACTGAATCTGCCAATGCCTTGATCTTGGACTTCCCAGCAACCAGAACTGTGAGAAATAAATTTCTATTATTTATAAATTACCCAGTTGTGGAAGCTTGTTACAACAGCAGGAAGGGACTCAGATAAGATAACAAAGCACAACAATATCTCAGCAGCTTTGGTAACAGTGAATCCACCCACTGTTGCCACTCTGTACTGAAGAGCTGTGAGGGCAAAATTTTAGAAGGAAAACCACGTTACAGCCTTATAGCATGGGTTACGATAAATATTAATATATCAATCTAATGTAGGGAAAAGTAACCAAAATAGCCACACTGGCCTGAAGAAAATCATGTATGTAGAAAGCTAACTAGATATTTATTTAAATATCTGAGTAGATATGTTAGAATTAAAAGACAGTAAAGTAGAATATGAATACTTATTATTTATCATATTCATAGGATTTAATGTTCTATAAAATATTTCACAATCGTGTTTTTACTATTCTTCTGAATTTCTCCCAGAGTGGCTCATATTTCCTATCATTGTCTGAGAAAAACACAATGTTTACACTAGGTTAAAACAGATTCAGGAATATCTGCTTTTCCCGAGCTGATGCAACTTTGAGAAGACAGAATGGAAAAATAAACAAAATCTTTTACAGCCTAACACAAAGAGCCTCAGCTGAGATGGCCAGAAGTGGGAGCCTACCTTTGCTATCCTTGGAATCCTAGTTCAATTGACCTCATCAAGAAGTGGGCCAAATGGAGGCAAGTGGCTCATACCATTGTTTATTTTCTGAGCTAGGCTTCCCAGGAAATACTCTCCTGTATTTTTTTCTCTGTATAGATAATGCCATGTCCCCTGGAAGCCAACTAAGAGTCGGGGTGGGGTGGGTGCAGAACAAGAAGAAGATATAACCACTAGAGCACCATTTCTGGCTTTCCATACCCCTATTACAAAAGAATGAGGGTCCCATATCTCTTTCTAGCATTTCAATCACTGCCCTATCCTTTTCAATGATGAATGATCTATGTTAAGCATTTTATATAGACAGATTTTTTTAATCCTAGCAATTCTAAGAGGCTATTATCATGCCCATTTTAAAAATAAACAGAGGCTTAGAGAGTTTAATCAACCCGACCAAGGTCATTCAGCTAGTCAATAAGAGTCAAGATTTGAACCCCGAGACGATCTGAGCCAAGAGGCCACTGTGTTCCCCACTTCTTAACTGCATCTTTCTACAAATATCTTTACACTGAGGGTAAAGTGGCATAGAGCTGGACTCTGCATCTTCGACGTTTGAAAACTCTCATTCTCTGTTTCTGCTAAAAGTAAAGGCAACACTCCTAAAAAGCCTTACTTGTACAACAATTTTTACAATCAACCCTGAGGTTTCCTTTCCTAGAATTCATCCTAGTAAAATTACTTGAAAACTAATGATTTGTCATTTCTTGAGAAAGGTATCCTTCTGCCTCAGGATTTCCTAGGATCCTGGCTGGTTGAACAAAAAAGGGGTCATGAATATGATAACTCCTGGCTCACTGCAGTAAGGGGTGCCCTGAACCTGTAATGTGGTGATATGATTCCCCCAATTGCTGGGTACTTTTAGGAAATGAATCATCCTAGTTGGTGTACCCACATATTTCCACAGCATGTACACATACAGTTCAGAAAGAAGGCATTTGCAGAAATAACAGAACTGTATTCACTAACCAAGGTAAGAAGAAATATAACTCAAAGATTAAAAGGAGGGGGCACTTCCCTTTCTCTTTCTTCCTAAGATCATAATTCAGCCTTTCAGCCATGTAGTTCCATGCTTGATCTTTTCCCTTTTAATGTATTATTTGTGTTGCTGCTGCTGCTGGGAAACTTTGATGTAAGAGACCAGAGGGAGGCAAGGATGTCATCCTGGGGAAGCAGGGGTGTCCCTTTGGCACTGTGAGCTCTCTCCCTCACTTACTTCCTTTTAAGCTTACCCATGTTGTATCCTGCAAGACCTTGGAGAATAAATCTTATCTCAAGGGTTTGCAAGGCCCTAAGGCAAAAAGTCAAGAACTAGTAAAAACAATTCCCTGAGCTTCAAACTACCAAAGCTTAGGGCTGTCTTGCAAAGGTGCTAATTCACCATATAACTGCATATGTCATTCACCATACCTTCAACCAATATTTAATAACTGCTAGGTACTGTGGGAGATACAGAGAAACAGTATGTGACAGATACTACTGGTTGCTTACCCAACAGCCATTCCTTTCAACCTCCTTGCTTAGAGCATTCAAATTTTGTTTAAGTGTCTGTACAACCCTCAGGGAAGGTGGCCCTGTCTCCACTTCAGCTGATAAGTCTGAGTCATGCGTCAGCAAATGATGGTTCACACACCAAATCCAGTCCATGTCTATTTTTGTAAATAAAAAAATTCATTTATGTACTATTTATGTATGTTTTTGTGCAACGATCCCAAAATCGAGTATAGGACATCCTCACTAAACGTTGTTGTTGACTTCAAGCAAAACAACATACTGCAAGCCACAGGAACTTACCTCTTGTTTATATCAATTAGCCCAAGGTAAAATTGGCTTCTTTATACTTTGTTTTAAAGTTGCAGTTTCCAAGATCTCATCAATGACATGAAGTGAGGACTTACTGTGGTTACACCAGAGACCATCTGGACCTTCACAGAAAATGTTTGATGACTGCTGCTCTATGCCAGTCATAACAATACAATTCCCATTGCCAGTGTTTGCTTTCTTTACAGGTGGACAAGTAACCCAGTATTAATAAATGATATTTAAAGAAAAGTCTGCTGGGGAACAACTGGGGAAAAAAAAGAGATTCCTTTTCTTCCACTGTAGTTGTGGATGTGATTCCATCTTGTATTCATGAGGGAGGCCAGTTTGAAGACCAGGTTGACATCCTGGCTATGGCAGAGCAGAAATGTGGAAATAACCTGTGTCCCTGATGACATCTTTGAGCTGTTGAGCTAGCTAACCCTGGAGCCAGAGACTTCTGCATTTTCTGTCATGTAAGATAATGTGTCCTCATTGTTTAAACCAGGTAAGTTAGGATAATTATCTCTTCTTGATAAATTGACCTCTTTATCCTTAAAAAAGGACTTTCTTTTACCCTGGTATTAGTCTTTAAATAATATCATATTGAACTTTAAGAAATAACCTTATTTGACCATGGTAATATTCTTTGCTCTAAAATCTACTTTGTCTGATATTAGCATAACCACTCCAGCTTTCTTTTGATTATTGTTAGCATGAAAAGCTTTCTCCATCCTTTACTTTTAACCTGTTGGTTTCTTTTCATTTCAAATGTGTTTCTTACAGGCAAGATATAGTTTGGGTCTTGATTTTTGTCCAGTCTGGCAATAATTGCCTTTTCATTGGGTTATTTAGATCATTTACACTTAATGTGATTATTGATACAGTTTAAATCCATAATTTTGCTATTTGATTTTCATTTGTTCAATTTTTGCTTTGTTTCCTTTTTCCACTTTTCTGTTTATTTTAAATTAATTGAGTAGTTTTATAATCCTATAGTTATTCCTTTCTTGGCTAACTTCAGGGTTGCTTTAGGGTTTATAGAATACAACTACAAGTTATCTTATACTGCTTCCTATTTAGTATAGGAAGTTTACATCAGTATACTTCTATTTTTCCCCTCACATTTTGCTATTTTTATTATAAATTTTACTTTATATATGTTAAAAATTCCATAGTCTACTATCATTTTAAAAGATTTAAGTAGTTAAAAAAAGATCTTATATATTTACCATGTGGTCACCATTTCTGGGCTCTTTATTTCTTTGTGTAGAGTCTTATTTCCAAGCAGCGTTATTTTCCTTCTGTTTAAAGACTGCATTCACTTTACAAGTCTGCTGGATAAATTCTATGAGCTTCTGCATATTTTAAAAACTATTTTGCCTTCAGTTTTGAAAGATATTTTCACTGGATATAGAATTCTTCATCACTGGCTTTCTCTGTGAACTTTAAAAAAAAAAAAAAAAAGCCTTCATGTCTTCTTGCTTGCATTGCTCCCTGTAAGAAATTTGCTGTAATTTTATCTTTGTCCCTCTGTATGTAATGTCTTTTTTCTTCCGGATAGTATTAAGATTTTCTCTTTATCGCTGGTTTTGAGCAATTTGTGTAATAATAGGATAATTATCTCTTCTTGATAAATTGACCTCTTTAAGAATGGTAAAGGTAAAATAAGGTTTTATTTTACTCTGGTATTACTCTTTAGGAAATATAATCTTAAAGTTTGTGCTTTCTCTTGTTTTTTTCTTTATGTTTATTGGCTTGAGTTTTATTGAGCTTCTTAGAACTCAATTGTCATAAAATTTGGGAAAGTGTTGGCCAATATTTCTTCAAATATTTTTTATACAGCCATCCCTTTCTTCTCTCCTTTGGAGACTTTATTTATATTAAGCAGCTTGAAGTTGTCATTATCTCACTATTTATTGACATTCTGTTCAGTTTTGTTTATTCTCTTTTCCCTTTGTGTTCCATTTTAGATCGTTTCTTTTTTCATATCTTCAAGTTCATTAATCTTTTCTTCTGCAATGTCTATTCTGAAATTATTCCCAGGCAAAGTATTTTTTATTCCTCATTGTAGTTTTCACCTTTGGAAGTTCAGTTTGAGTCTTTATTATGCTTTCCATGTCTCTACCTAATGTTTTAAGCAAAAACTATTTTAATGTCCTTGTCTGATATTTCTAACATCTCTATCAGTTTGGGGACAATTTCAAATATGAGTTCATCTTCTCATTATGGGTTGTATTTCCTAATTGTTTGCAATGACTCAACTTTTATTTGATTCAAGATATTGTAAATTTTACCCTATTAGATGCTGGATATTTTTGTATTTTTATAAATGTGCTTGAACTGAACGCAGCTAAGCTACAAGGATACAGTTTGATGCTTTCAGATTTTGCTTTTAGGATTTATTAGGCAGAAACAGAGCAATGCTAACTATAAGGGCTAATTCATTCCTACAGTGTGGCAAGACCTTTCTCTATACTTTATCCAATGGTACTATCCCCATCCCATGTGAACACTGTACACTGATAGATCTAACGGGTAGTATTTCCCCTCAACCTCTGGAAATTTCTTTACATTTATTTAATAATTACTACTGAGCTGAATACTCTTTGTTACCATCACTTCCTCAGATCTTATCAATCTAACAGCCTCAACAACAACAAAACCTCTAAGAAGATTATGCCTAAAGTATTTATTTCTCTGGTTTGGAACTTTCTCCTGAGTTACAGTCCAGTATTTTCCAGTGGTCTGCCGGATATCTCTACCTGGATTGACTACCAACACGCTAAATACAATATATCCAAAACAGAAATTATCATCTTTTTCTTCCTCCAGCAACTTTTTATTCTAATCTTTATAACCCAGTGGCTCCTTCTAATGCATTTAATGTTAGTATAATTTCAATCAGTTTCCAAAACCCATGGTGATCTTTCACACTACCTCCTTTCTCAAACTGCAAATGTCTCACATATCCATCATTTATTTTCTATCTTTAGAAAATGTTCTATTCTCTGCCATTACTGAAGTTTGACCTCCCAAATGGTCTTTCTGACAATATCACTTTACATGTTTAAAGAATAATGTCTTGAAAGATGTATTTTAATCCTGTCACTATTTTCTTCTAAAACTTCAGTGATTATCAATTGCCTGCTGAAAAAAGTTTTAAAAAGTCCAACTTTGTCAGTCTAGCCTTCAGCAAACTTCCCTTTTATGTCCCCTGCCACTGTGCAGAATGTGCTCCAGCCAATCTTCCTGGACTCTTTTTTCAATCCATTTCTCATACCACTCTCTGTGGCTGGAATGTCTTCCCTCCCCACTATCAAAATTATATAAATCCTTAATGAAAATGTAACTGGTACAGTTTTTTAGAAAGCAATAATCAACCAGCACTAAAATTTTACATGCCCTTTTATTCTAATATTTTACATTTAGAATTTTACACTAAGGAAATAATAATGGATGTGAACAAAAAGTTGGCTTAAAGGATGTTTATATTACCACATTCTATAATGGGAAACTGGAAATAGTCTAAATGTTCAGTAATGGGATATTTAATAATAAAATATGCAATTACTAAAAAATGTTATAGAGGGATATTTAGTAATGGAGAAATATGTTCTTTATATTAAAAACTAATAGAATATGTGTTATGTAATCTCTGTTTTATTTTTTAAATGTGATAGATTGATAATATCTAGATAACCAGACATATAGAGATTAAAAGAATATACACTAATCTTTTAACAATGGTTATTTCTGTGTGGTGAAATAATAAATTTTCTTCTATGTATTTACTTGTATTAGTTTAATTTTCTATAGTAAATGTGTATTATCTTCACAACTTGGAAAACTCTTAGCTAGTATTTAAAAAACAGCTCTTAAGCAGTCTCTTCTTTGGCTACTTAAGTGTTCATTTGTCACTTGTATTACCTAGGAGCTTGTATCATAGATATTTATGTGTCTCTATTTCTTCTACAAACCCCTTGATAGCAGAGTATATTTCAAAGGGCTTTGGGCCCTCCAGTATCTCACACAGCTGAATACTCACTATTTTGTCACTAAAAGAGTGACATTTAGGCTGTAGATAGGAGCACAAAGGCTGCAGATTAAAAAGGAGACAATGGCCATTGGTCAATGCAAGAGGTATATTTAGTTTACTCTTGAGTTTTCAATTCCACTTCTTCAGTTTTCCCATTAACTCTAGATAAACTTTTTATATTTATTCCACAAATCTACCATAGGAAAATATAATACCCAACATTTTGGTTTTCTTTTTCCAAAGAAAAAAATCATAGAATATTTAAGGATTGTTTGATATTTTAAAACCTTGGTAACTTACAATATCAACAATATATTCCTTGGTTGATATCACTATAAACTCTCTCACTGGAAGATTGCTTCTATTCCTTCAAAAACACACTTAGAACCCTGCTTCCTGGCAGATAGTAGGGACATAAAAAGCTGAGTCAGCCCGGTAGACTTTCTACCAGGAGAATAATTACTAACTGGCATGCAGCCTGCAGAAAAAAAATCTATGAGGGTGGAAACTATCATTTACAGGGAACCTAATCTCAGGAGTAACAGAGTTAAACATGGTGTTCTACATTTCTATTCTTGAAGCGACCCAGGGCTAACACCTGCCAAGGTTTTAAAACATTATAAAAGGATATTTAGTAATGGAGAAATATGCTCTTTACTTTAAAAAATAATAGAATATGTATAATGTCATCCCCATTTTATTTTTTAAATGTGATAGAGATTGATAATATCTAGATAACTAGACAAACTAATGGCTAAAAGAAGCATACAAACTCAAATGCCAAGAAGCATGCAAACACAAATCAAAATTTGAGGATGAACTCACCCCTTGTGAAGTTTTCTTCCTGAAAGACCTGGGGTCCAGAATTGTTTTTTCCACAACACTTAAAAATGTGGCTAAAGCTTCCCTATTTATTTCCGGGGCAAAGCTGCATCCTGTCCCATGCTATATCTCAAAAATGAGAAGCAGAATCCGTACTTCCCATGTTTGGTGGTCACAGTCCACCTCTAACAAGATTGTTTATAATGATGAGAGGTGTTCCACCAACAAGGCTCTTTTGTACTTCCTTGCCATGCTTGGAACCCTATCTACATAACTAGTAAAATGAGAATTACCTGGAGAGCTATATATTAGTTGTGAAATGCTGTGAAATAAGTCATCTCAAAATTTAGTTACTTCAGGGAAAATAATTTAGAAGAGGCATGTCTGGCAGGTCTGGCTCAGTCTCTCAAAGAGTTGTAGTGAGACATCCACTGGGGCTGTAGTCGTTAGAAGACCAGTTTTGGGGAGAGGACCTACTTCCAATGTGGCTCATTCACATGGCTGGCAAGGTAGTGCTGATTGTCATCAGCAAGCCTCAGTTCCTCTCCATGTGGGCCTCTCCTCAGAGCCATTGTGTATCCTCATGACGTGGTAGCTAGGTTCCCCCAGAGCAAGCAACAAGAGACCTAGCAGAAGCTGCAATGCCTTTTATAGCCTGCCATTAGAAGTCACACACTGTCAGTTCTGCTGTGCTCTTTTGGTCAAATGGGTCAGCCCGGATTTAATGTGGGAGATGACACAAAGGCAAAAACACCAGAAAGTGAAGCTCATTGGGGAAGGCAATCTTGAGTCTGGCTACCACCGCCCACCCTCTAGCCCCCAGTTCTGAGCCTGCTGTTGTGAGACTTGAGGGCCCAGGGGATGGGATTAGTATATTCTACATGTGGAAGGAATGTGAATTGTTGTGGCCATGGAGTGGACTGAGACAGTATTTTCCACAGACAGCCACATCTATGTGTTTATCCCACATACTCTTCTTGCAATGTGACTGACACTCCTCCCACAAATTGGTGGGATTTATGTTTTCTTCGCTTAAATTGGGGAGAGGGTGGGTTACTACCCCAACAAATGGAGTACGGCAGAAGTGATGTTCTGTAAACCCTCTGAGGCTAGAACATAATAAGGACACACTAATTTGAGGTAATGGATAACTAACAGAATAATTTTAAATATACTTGTTACAACTACAAATCTCCAGGCCACACTTCAGACTCATTCAGTGAGATTCCCTAGGCAGGGAAAAGCCTGGGAAACTTAATTTCCCAAGTACCCCAGATGATTCTTATCATCAATGATGTTTGGGAAATTTTGATGGAATAACCTGCTATTTCACAAGTCTCGATGGAATAAATCCACTTGGTTTTTATGTTTGATTGCCTATGCATTTCATCTACTTTGTGAAAACTACAATTGAACTGGAAATTGAACCTAAAAATGGTTCTAAATGAGATGAACTTGTATGTTTAACTCTTAAATTTTATATTAGATCATCAAAAGGCAGTACTTGAAAAATAAATTTTAAAAATGCAATAGCAAAGTTTCATAGGTTTTTTCAAGAAAGACTGTGGAATCTTCTTTTTTATATCTTTACATACAGGTCAGCTTTGAACTATCAGGAGAAGTACAGAACAGAAGGCAAAAAATATCATTTTCTATATAAACTCTAAACATACCGATACAGTATGGGATAACCTCCAAGTAATACTAAGTTTAAAATTAAAGGATCTAACAATGCTAGGTATTATTTAAGTGGTAAATACATAAAACTGCCTCTGTACAGACACACAAAACTGGAATGGTGGTTGTCTCTAGAAATGAGAATTGTATGGCTGGGGTAAAAGTTATTTTTAAATGAGTAAATTTTCTTATTTTAAAATAAGAAAAGATGACTTATTTTTCACTGAGCACCTTTATTAGTCCATTCTTGCACTGTTATAGAAACATATCTAAGACTGGGTAATTTATAAAGGAAAGAGATTTAATGGACTCACAGTTCCACATGGCTAGGGAAGCCTCAGGAAACTTACAATCATGGTGACAGGCGAGAGACAGCATATGTGTTGGTGTAGGAAAAATTACCATTTAGAAAACCATCAGATCTTATGAGAATTCACTCAGTATCACAAGAACAGCATGAGGAAATCTTCCCCCATAATCCAATCACTTCCCACCAGGTATCTCCCTACACACCTGGGGATTACAATTCAAGATGAGATTTGGCCTAACCATATCAGCATCTTTTATATCCTTTGAATTTTGTACTGGGATCACATAATCCTTCAAAAAGGTGATAAATAAAATGTTTTAAAAATATCTTTCACTTTAAAGACCTCTTGGAAATCATTCTAAAACATGAATTATATCATTATTGGTTACAGTTAATTATTTTTTCTTCTTAGGTTTAGCAGTAAAATGAAACTTGATATTCTTCAGGACTAGCGATCTTGATAGATTAAACTTTAGCCAATATAGAGTTGATAGCTCCATCCGCATTTCCTACTGGCTCTCTCAGTTGTCCCTGTCCATCCTCCACCTCTGACAGAGCACAGCCCTTAAACCCTGTACAACTGGGACTCTTGCCAGGGGCCCATGCTTAGAGATTCCTGCTCTGACCCTTCTCTGGCCCTGCCTATCACACTCACTAAAGAACCTACAGCCAAGGAGATGTGTCCACTCCCAGCCCACAGGCCCTTTCTAGATCACACTCAGGATATACCTGGGAGAATTTCCTACCCCATGACTTCAACCCACTTGTGCACAGGCCACTATCTTAGGTCTATCCTCTTGAGAGGTGGCCAAGGGGCAGCTGTTTGATGGAGAAGGAACTGAACAGAGCCTGACAAGTAGTCTGAGCAGTCCACACACATACACATGAAACCCTTCGCAGTGCAGAAAGGAGAGGAGGATGGGAAGAAAAGGGTATGGGTTGCAGCCTCCATTTGTGCTCTTGTCCCCGTGTTTATGGGAGAAGCCCCCAAAATATTAGGAATAGGCCTGCTCAACACCCCTCACTTCTGACATCCATTCTCCATCTTCTGTCTACCCCAAATAGACCAGACAGTCGTCAAGATGAAGGTCTGCCTTGACTTTTTGTCCTTGGCAGAGCAAGGAAGCAGTTGCACATAGCATTTAAGAGCAATTTTAGAAAATCCCTGAATCTTAATATATTATTGCTCTGTCTTTATTGACTTAGAATAAATGCATTTCCAACAATATGGCACATTCAACAATGTGAGAATTTTTAAAAAGCTGGAACCATCATATCTCAGCTCTTAAACAAAGTTAAGACTTTACTTCACAAAATACCACAGACTTTGGATTTAAAAGTTCCATGACCTGTTTTTTTCACTCTAGGCTCTCCATAACCCTGGGGAAGTTCCTCCCTTGCCTGTATCCCAGTCCCCCCTTTACCATGTTCTATTTTTAACACCCTCACCTTTTAAACATAATATAAATATACAATTATCATGTTTATTCTTTGCTGTTCTCTCACTATCCCCCCCATACACATACGCACTAGAACATAAGTCTCATGAGAGTAAGAACTGTAGTGTATTTTGTTCACTGATGTATCCCAAGTACCTAGAATAATGTCTGTCACAAGGTAATTACTCAATGAATATTTATTGCATAAATGAAACCCATAAACCTAACATAACTTATAATAACAATCTAATGACAAAAAGAAACTTATTCTAAACTCTAAGCATCACCTTGTTGACAAAAGATCAGGTGCCAGCATTATCCATTTCCTCATTACAGAAGATAACTAAATCACAATGTAAATATGTATCTACCTTTCAAGTTTAGAAGGGTTTAATTTCTGTTTTTGTATAAAAGTATGCTAGGAGATATATATACTTTTTAAAAGACAGCCACCCTGTCCTCTAAAGACACAACAAAAACAATGACTTTTGTATGGTTCGCCTACATTTCAGCTTAAACCTAGAAAAAAAGTTAATATTGTGTAATTTTAAGATTTTAATAACTTCTCCAAAATTATATGAACATATTATATAAGAAGGAAATTAAAAATAATTTTTACCTTCTATGCCATTTATTGTCACAGTCATTGTAAAAGTCTCTAATATCCTTTGATATTGATGAGACAATAAGTTTTTTATTTACTCTTAAAAAAAAAAGGGATACATGTGCAGAACGTGCCGGTTTGTGCCATGGTGGTTTGCTGCACCTATTGACCCATCCTCTAAGTTCCCTCCCCTCACCCCCACCCCACAACAGGCCCTGATTGTGTGTTGTTCCTCTTTCTGTGACCGTGAGTTCTGATTGTTCAACTCTCATTTATGAGTGAAAACATGTGGTATTTGGTTTTGGTTTCTGTGTTAGTTTGCTGAGGATTATGGCTTCCAGCTTCATCCATGTCCCTGCAAAGGACATGATCTCATTTTTTTTATGGCTGCATAGTAGTCCATGGTGTATATATATACCACATTTTCTTTATCCAGTCTATCATTGATGGGCACTTGGGTTGGTTCCATGTCTTTGCTATTGTAAATAGTGCTGCAGTAAACATACGTGTGCATGTGTATTTATAGTAGAATGATTTATATGCTTTTGGTATATACCCAGTAATGGGATTGCTGGGTCAAATGGCATTTCTAGTTCTAGATCCTTGAGGAATAGCCATACTGTCTTCCACAATGGTTGAACCAATTTACATTCCCACCAACAGTGTAAACCAGGCTGTTTCTCCACAGCCTAGTCAGCATCGTTACCTGACTTTTTAATAATCACGATTCTGACTGCCATGAGATGGTATCTCATTGCGGTTTTGCATTGCGGATTTTCATTTCTTTGATGATCAGTGATGTTGAGCTATTTTTCATATGTTTGTTGGTTGCATACATGTATTTTTTTGAGAGGTGTCTGTTCATATACTTTGCTAAATTTTTGATGGGGTTGTTTTGTTTTTTTCTTGTAAACTTGTTTAAGTTCCTTGCAATTTCTGGATATTAGACCTTTGTCAGATGGGTAGATTGCAAAAATTTTCTTCCATTCTGTAGGTTGCCTGTTCATTCTGATGACAGTTTATTTTTCTGTGCAGAAGCTCTTTAATTAGATTCCATTTGTCAACTTTGGCTTTTGTTGCAATTGCTTTTGGCATTTTGTCATGAAGTCTTTGCCCATGCCTATCCTGAATGGTACTGCCTAGGTTTTCTTCTAGAGTTTATATGGTTTTGGGTTTTACATTTAAGTCTTTAATCCATCTTGAGTTAATTTTCATAGAAGGTGTAAGGAAGGTGTCCAGTTTCTGTTTTCTGTATATGACTAGCCAGTTTTCCCAGCACCATTTACTGAATAGGAGAACATTTCCTCATTGCTTGTTTCTGTCAGGTTTGTTGAAGATCAGATAGTTGCATATGTGTGGTGTTATTTCTGAGGTCTCTGTTCTGCTCCATTGGTCTATATGTCTGTTTTGGTACCAGTACCATGCTGTTTTGGTTACTATAGCCTTACACTATAGTTTGAAGTCAGGTAGCATGATGCCTTCAGCTTTGTTCTTTTTGCTTAGGATTGTCTTGGTTATACGGGGTCTTCTTTGATTCCATATGAAATTTAAAATAGTTTTTTTCTAAGTCAGTGAAGAATGTCAATGGTGGTGTGATGGGAATAGCATTGAATCTATAAATGACTTTGGGCAGTATGGCCATTTTCACGATATTGATTCTTCCTATCCATAAGGATGGAAAGTTTTTCCATATGTTTGTGTCCTCTATTTCCTTGAGCAGTGGTTTGTAGTTCTTCTTGAAGAGGTCCTTCACATCCCTTGTTAGCCACAGTGCTAGGTATTTTATTCTCTTTGTAGCAATTGTGAATGGGAGTTCATTCATGATTTGGATCTCTGCTGGCCTATTGTTGGTGTAAAGGAATGTTTGTGATTTTTCCACGTTGATTTTGTACCCAGAGACTTGGCTGAGGTTATCAGTTTAAGGAGTTTTGGAGCTGAGATGATGGGGTTTTCTAACTATAAAATCATGTTGTCAGCAAACAGAGACAACTTGACTTCCTCTCTTCCTATTTGAATACCCTTTCTTTCTTTCTCTTGCATGATTGCCCTGGCCAGAACTTCCCATACTATGTTGAATAGGAGTAGTGAGAGAGGGCATCCTTTTCTTGTACCAGTTTTCAAAGGGAATGCTCTCAGCGTTTGCCCATTCTATATGATATTGGCTGTGGGTTTGTATAAATAGCTCTCATTATTTTGAGATATGTTTCATCAATACTTAGTTTATTGTGAGTTTTTAACATGAAGGGATGTTGAATTTTATCAAAGGCCTTTTCTGTATTTATTGAGATAGTCATGTGGTTTTTGTCTTTGGTTCTTTTTATGTGATGGATTACATTTATTGATTTGCATATGTTGAACCAGACTTGCATCCCAGGAATGAAGCTGACTTGATCATGGTGGATATGTTTTTTGTTGTGCTGCTGGATTCAGTTTCCCAGTATTTTATTGAGGATGTTTGCATTGATGTTCATCAGAGATATTGGCCTGAAGTTTTCTTTTTTTGCTGTGTCTCTTCCTGGTTTTGGTATCAGGATGTTGCTGGCTTCATAAAATGAGTTAGGGAGGATTCCCTCCTTTTCAATTGTTTGGAATAGTTTCAGAAGGAATGGTATCAGCTCCTCTTTGTATTTCTTGTTGACTTCAGCTGTGAATCCGTCTGGTCCTGTAATTTTTTTGGTTGGTAGGGTACTTATTACTGCCTCAATTTCAGAACTTGTTATTGGTCTATTCAGGGATTTGACTTCTTCCTGGTTTAGTCTTGGGAGGGTGTATGTTTCCAGGAATTTATGCATTTCTTCTAGATTTGCTAGTTTATTTGCGTAGAGGTGTTTATAGTATTCTCTGATGGTGGTTTGTATTTCTGTGGGATCAGTGATGATATCTCCATTATCATTATTTATTGTCTACTTGATTCCTCTCTTTTCTTCTTTATTAGTCTAGCTAGCCATCTATCTATTTTGTTAATTTTTTTCAGAAAACCAGCTCCTGGCTTCATTGATTTTTTGGAGAGTTTTTGGTGTCTCCATCTCCTTCAATTCTGCTCTGATCTTAGTTATTTCTTGCCTTCGGCTAGCTTTTGGATTAGTTCTTTCTTGCCTCTCTAGCTCTTTTAATTGTGATGTTAGGGTTTTGATTTGAGATCTTTCTGATGTGGGCATTTAGTGCTATAAATTTCCCTCTTAACACACTGCTTTAGCTATGTCCCAGAGATTCTGGTATATTGTCTCTTAGTTCTCATTGGTTTTGAAGAACTTCTTGATTTTTTGCCTTAATTTCATTATTTACCCAGGAGTCATTCAGAAGCAGGTTGTTCCATTTCCACGTAATTGTGTTGTTTTGAGTGAGTTTCTTAAACTTGAGTTCTAATTTGATTGCACTGTGGTCTGAGAGACTATTATGATTTCAGTTTTTTGCATTTGCTGCAGAGTGTTTTACTTCCCATTATGTGGTTGATTTTATAATAAGTGCCATGTGGCACTGAGAAGAATGTATATTCTGTTCATTTGGGGTGGAGAGTTCTGTAGACGTCTACTAGGTCCATTTGATCCAGAGCTGAGTTTAAGTCCTAAATATCCTCATTAATTTTCTGTCTCATTGATCTGTCTAATACTGACAGTGGGGTGTTAAAATCTCCCAATATTATTGTGTGGGAGTCTAAGTCTCCTTGTAGGTCTCTAAGAACTTGTTTGATGAATCTGGGTGCTCCTGTATTGGGTACATATACATTTAGAATAGGGAGCTCTTCTGTTGAATTGTTTCCTTTACCAGTATGTAATGCCATTCTTTGTCTCTTTTGATCTTTGTTGGTTTAAACTCTGTTTTGTCTGAGACTAGGATTGCAAACCCTGCTTTTCTCTGCTTTCCCTTTGCTTGGTAAATTTTCCTTCTTCCCTTTGAGTCTGTGTGTGTCTTCACACATGAGGTGGGTCACCTGAATACAGCACACCGATGGGTCTTGACTCTTTATCCAATTTGCCAGTCTGTGTCTTTTAATTGGGGCAGTTAGCCCATTTGTATTTAAAGTTAGTATTGTTTTATGTGAATTCGATCCTGTCATTATGATCCTATTTGGTTATTTTGCATACTAGTTGATGCAGTATCTTCATAATGCCATTGGTCTGTATATTTTGATGTGTTTTTGCAGTGGCTGGTACTGGTTTTTCCTTTCCATATTTAGTGCTTCTTTTAGGAGGTCTGGGAGGGCAGGCCTGGTGGTAATGAAATCCCTTATCATTTGCTTGTCTGGAAAGGATTTTATTTCTCCTTCGCTTATGAAGCTTAGTTTGGCTGGATATGAAATTCGGGTTGAAAATTTTTTTCTTTAAGAATGTTGAATATTAACCCCCAATCTCTTGTGGCTTGTAGAGTTTCTGCTGAGGGGTCCACTCTTCGTCTGATGGGCTTCCCTTTGTAGGTGACCTGACCTTTCTCTCTGGCTGACTTTAACAGTTTTTCCTTCATTTCAACTTTGGAGAATCTGATGCTTGTGTCTTGGGGTTGATCTTCTCATGGAATATCTTAATGGTGTTCTCTGTATTTCCTGAATTTGCATGTTGGCCTGTCTTGCTAGGTTGGGGAAGTTCTCCTGGATAATATTCTGAAGTGTGTTTTCCAGCTTGTTTCCATTCTCCCTGTCTCCTTCTGGCACTCCAATCAATCATAGGCTCAGTCTTTTTATGAAGTCCCATATTTCTTGGAGGCTTTGTTCATTCCTTTTCATTCTTTTTTCTCTATTCTTGTCTGAATGTCTTATTTCAGTGAGGTTGTCTTCAAACTCTGATATCCTTTCTTCTGCTTGGTCAATTTGGCTATTAATACTTGTGTATGATTCAAGAAGTTCTCGCACTGTTTTTCAGTTCCATCAGGTCATCTATGTTCCTCTCTAAACTGGTTATTCTAGTTAGCAATTGCTCTAATCTTTTATCAAGGTTCTTTGCTTCTTTACATTGGGTTAGAATTTGCTCCTTTAGCTCAGCATAGTTTTTTATTACCCATCTTTTGGAGCCTACTTCTATTAATTCATCCATCTCATCCTCTGTCCAGTTCTGTGTCCTCGATGGAGAGACGTTGTGATCATTTGGAAGAGAAAAGGCACCCTGGCCTTTTTGGTTTTCAGCATTTTTTCATTGATTCTTTCTCATCTTCGTGAGTTTGTCTAGTTTTGGTCTTTGAGGCTGCTCACCCTTGGATGGGGTTTTTGTGGGGGGTTTTTGTTGTTGTTGTTGATGCTGTGGTTGTTGCTTTCTGCTTGTCTGCTTTTCTTTAAATGATCAGGTCTCTCTTCTGTAGTGCTGCTGCAGTTTTCTGGGGCTTTACTTCAGGGCTTATTCATCTGATTCACTCCTGCACCTGGAGATGTCACTCATGGAGGCTGGAGAACAGCAAAGATGGGTGCCTGCTCCTTCTTCTGGGACCTCTGACCTCAAAAGACACCAACCTGAAGCCAGTAGGATTGCTTCTATATAGGGTGTCTACAAGCCCTGTTGGAGGGTCTCACCCAGTTGGGTGGCATGGGGAACAGACCCATTTAATGAAGCACTTTGTCCCTTGGTGGAAGGGGTGTGCCCCACTGGGGGGAAACCCATTCATCTGGGCTGCCCATATTCCTCAGAACTATCAGGAGGAAAGGCTAAGTCTGCTGGTCCACAGAGACTGCGGCCACCTCTTTCGCTAGGACCTCAGGCCCAGGGGTATCCGGGTTCTGTCCCTCAGCCTTTGGCTGGAGGTATTGGAGTTCCTGTAGGGAAGCCCTGTCTGGTGAGGAAGGATGGGTCAGGATCAGGCCTGAAGACACACTCTGGCTGCAGACTGCCACAGCTAGTGTGTTGGGCCATGGAGGACAAGTCTTGGGACCAAGCCTTGTTCAACCTTCCTGGCTCCAGCAAGGGAAAACAAAGCCTGTAGCTTTAGAGATGAGTGCTGCCCTCCCCCAACCCAGGGAGCTTAGTGTGTTAGGTAGTCCCAGTGTTGGCTGCTGCCCTTCCTTCAAGGAGCTCAAACAACTTAAACAGCAGGTCACAGCTACTGTAGTGCTGGTCCCCCCTCCCCTTGGGAGTTTGGTGGGCTTAAGCAGATTCCAGCTGAGAGACTGTGAAGAGTCTGCACATTCCGGGGTTGGGAGGATAGGCCCTGGTGGCATGAGTTTGCAAGTGGGATCTTCCAATTCATGGGTTGCATCATTCCGTTGAGAAAGCACGGTTTCCCTGGCTGAGTAGCACACTCACCACTTCCCTTGGCTGGGGATGGGGGCGGGGATCTCCTTCCCCATGTGACTCTCAGGTAGGTCACCACACCACACTGTTCTTCCTTCTCTCCGTGGGTCACATTAGCCTCCTAGCAGTTCTGATGAGCGAACCTGGGTACCTTGGTTGCCAGTGAAGGATTCACATGTGTATTATGCTTTTTTCCAATGGGAGCCTCCAGACATGACTGTTTCTAGTCGGCCATCTTGGCTTTGCCCCAAAAATATTTTTAAGGAAGCAAATTTATTAGTGAGAGTTGCTTTGACTGTCTCTTATATTCAAAGATCATTAATATTAAAAGCTAAATAGTTTGATATCACTGAAAATTGTCAGAATTTTAATGAAAAGAAAATTAGAACAAAGAGATCTAAAGAAAAGGACACCTAATAATTTATGGGCACATTGTTCTTCAAGCATTGTATTTGGAATTTGGTGTTTAAGAAATAAAAATATAAGTAGCCAGTGAAAGAAAAATGTGTTATAGCTACAAATGAAAGAAGATTAAAAAGGAAATTATATACTCAAACTTTATATAGTTTAGATTTTTAAGGTAAATGTATTTGTCTGCTAGCATGAAAAGCTTTTTTAACTGGAAAAATATATATAAGGATGCATGAGCTGATGTGGAAGCTCTCACTATTTTTCATAGCAGCAGTGGTGTAAATATCATTAACAATCTCATTAAAGTGGAAAACAGGAGTGGATCACAAATGGAGTACAAATGAGGAGGAAGGGAAGGCTTTGTTTGACCACACAGAGATTTGGAAAGGCTGGCATGTGAAAGTGGTACCTGGAACTCAAGGAAGGTTAAGACAATATGCACTGGAAGATATAAGGAAATGATTAATGTGGAAAGCCAAGCTTCCCCTACCCCTGCAAAAAAAATAAAATAAAGTAAAAAGATCTGAAACCATTTTACTGATGATTTGGTACCACTTTGTATAACAATCCCTGGGGAATTAAAGATGTAAAATAATTTGCTTCTGGACTATATAAATGATAATAGCATGTGGGTAATTGTGATCTCTGGGCAGAGACTGTTAATGAGCTCTCAGATGCCCAACAGTAGACACAGATGTCAGCCTGTCCCATCTATTGACAGTGATTGCTGAAGGTCTCCCTCAATTGAGTTTCTGTTTTATAATAGGAAACCATAATTAAGTATCTGAGAAAACTGGCCGTTGTAAAAAATTCTGTAAAATAAATTTGTATTGAAAGAAATGTTAAACATTTTTAAAATACTTTTTTTTCCTACCTTAACTTGGTGAACAAATGAAATATCTAAGAGGCAAACCATTCTGAGCTCCTTTTCTCTTCCCCCTACTCATTCTCCAGACAGTACACAAAGCTGGCTGAAAGGGTTTTGTCACCACATAACCCAGCCACATGACTCAGATCATGCCCCCCACGAACTTGCACATACACTCGGTCACATTCACCAAGGCCATTGAGTGATTAGCAAACTTTATTAAAAGTTTAAAGAAAATAATAGATATTACAACACACACAAAAAAATTTAAGGCTGAATATTAGGTACCATACTATGACATTTTCTGGGCCATATTTACCAAGGCAGGCATTAGGCTCCTACAATACGGTGTTTAACCTTATTGCTGTCCTCTCTCCCCAGTACAGCTAGCTCATCATTCATCTTTCCCACCACCCAAAATCTATGTCGGTTGATATAAAATAGCTCGGTTCTTTGTTGTCTCTTTAAAACTAATACATTTGAGGCCTGGTCTTCCGCTCCTCAAGCCATTAGCAAAGCATTTAATACACTACAATTCCTTTTAGGGGGAAAAAACCCAACTCTGGTGCTCTAAGGTAAAGTAATCATATATTTTTTAATCCTCAAAATAAAGCAGCAAAGTTCCAGGCAAATGGAAGACACTGTTGTGGATCACTGTTGCTATTGCTTTTTTTAAAAAAAGTTTTAATTTTGTGTAATTACATAGTAGGTGTATATATTTATGGGGTACATGAGATACTTTGATACAGGCACGCAATGTGTAATAATCACTTCATGGAAAATGGGGTATCTATTCCCTCAAGCATTTATCTTTTGTGTTACAAAAAAATCCAATTATACCACTTTAGTAAATGTTATATGTACAATTAAATTATTATAGATTTTAGTCACCCTGTTGTGCTATGAAATACTAGGTCTTACTCATTTTTCCTATTTTTGTACCCACTAACCACCCCCTTTTCTCCCTACCAACCCCCTCACTACCCTTCCCAGCCTCTGGTAACCATCTTTCTACTCTCCATCTCCATGAGTTCTATTGTTTAATTTTTAGCTCCCACAAGTAAGTGAGAACATGTGGAGTTTGTCTTTCTGTGTCTGGCTTATTTCACTTATCATAATGACCTCCACTTCCATCCATGTTGTATCAAATGACAGGATCTCATTCTTTTTATGGCTGAATAGTACCTCATTGTGCATATGTACCACATTTTCTTTATCCATTCATCTGTTGATGAACACTTAGGTTGCTTCCAAATCTTGTCTATTGTGAATGGTACTGCAATAAACATGGGAGGGCAGATATCTCTTCAATAACCTGATTTCCTTTCTTTTGGGTACATACCTAGCAGTGGGATTGCTGAATCGCATGGTAGCTCAATTTTTTTTTGAGGAATCTCCAAACTGTTCTCCATAGTGGTTGTACTAGTTTATATTCCCTCCAACAGTGTATGAGGATTCACTTTTCTCCATACCCTTGCCAGCATTTTTTATTGCCTGTCTTTTGGATATAAGCCATTTTAGCTGGGGTGAGATGATATCTCCTTGTAGTTTTGATTTGCATTTCTCTGATGATCAGTGATGCTGAGCGCCTTTTCATTATGCCTGTTTGCCATTTGTATTTGTTCTTTTGAGAAATGTCTATTCAGATACTTTGCTAATTTTTAATTAGCAATCTAATCAGATTATTAGATTTTTTGCTATAGATTTGTTTGAGCTCCTTATATATTCTGGTATTAATCCCTTGTCAGACAGGTAGTATGCAAATATTTTCTCCCATTCTGTATGTTGTCTTTTCATTTTGTTGATTTTGTGTGTGTGTGTGTGTGTGCAGAAGCTTTTTAACTTGATGTGATCCTGTTTGTCCATGTTTGATTTGGTTGCCTGTGCTTGTGTGGTATTACTCCAGAAATCTTTGCCCAGGCAAAAGTCCTGGAGATTTTCCTCAATATTCTCTTTTAGAAGTTTCATAGTTTGAGGTCTCAGATGTATGTCTTTAATCCACTTTGATTTTTGTAGATGGCAAGAAATAGGGGTCTAGTTTCTTCCGCATAATATCCATTTTTCCCAGCACACTTTATTGAAGACACTGTCTTTTTCCCAATGTATGTTCTTGTCACCTTTGTTGAAAATGAGTTCACTGTTGATGCATGCATTTGTTTGTGGGTTCTCTTCTCCATTCCATTGGTCTATGTGTCTTTTATTACGCCAGTGCCATGCTGTTTTGGTTACTGTAGCTCTATGGTATAATTTGAAGTCAGGTAATGTGATTCCTCTGGGTTTGTTCTTTTTGCTCAGGATAGCTTTGACCATTCTGGATATTTCTGTGGTTCCATATAAATTTTTGAATTGTTTTTCTATTTCTGTAAAGAATTTCATTGGTATTTTGGTAGGGATCACATTGATTCTGTAGATTGCTTTGGGTGGCATAGACATTTTAACGATAGACATTTTAACAATATTGATTCTTCCAAACCATGAACATGGAATATGCTTCCATTTTTTGTATCCTCTTGAATTTCTTTCATCAGTGTTTTATAGTTTTCTTTGTAGAGATCTTTGACTTCTTTGATTAGGTTAAATCCTAGGCGTTTAATTTTATTTGTGGCTATTGTAAATGGGACTTTTAAATTTCTTTTTCACATTGTTCAGTGTTGGCATATAGAAATGCTACTGATTATTGTATGTTGATTTTGTATCCTGCAACTTTCCTGAATGTGTTGATCAGTCCTAATAGCTTTTTGGTGGAGTCTTTAGGTTTTTCCAAATATAAGATTACATCATCTGAAAGCCAGGATAATTGATTTCTTTATTTCCAATTTGGATGCCCTTTATAACTTTCTCTTGTCTGATTGCTCTAGCTAGGATTTCCAGTACTATTTTGATTAGCAATGGTGAAAGTGCCCTCCTTGTCTTGTTCCAGGTTTTAGAGAAAAGGATTTCAGGTTTTCCCAACTTGGTATGGCACTAGCTGTGAGTCTGTTGTATATACCTTTTGCGTTGTGGAGGTTTGTTCCTTCTATATCCAGTTCTTTGAGGGTTTTTATCATGAAGCAATGTTGAATTTCATTAAATGTTTTTTCAGAACCAATTGAAATGATCGTACGGTTTTTGTCCTTCATTCTGTTGATATGATGTATCACATTGATTGATTTGTATATGTTGAGCCATCCTTGCATCCTTGGGATAAATCTTACTTGGTCATAATGAATGATCTTTTAATGTATTGTTGAATTCAGTTTGCTAGTATTTTGTTGAGGACACTGTTGTTATTCTTAACACGTCCATGGTCAGCAAGAACGCTCTCTGTGTTCAGAATCTCCGAGAACTTTCAGGTCTTCCCCTGTGCTGCATCACCAGTCCCACCAACCAGGCCTGGCAGTTTGGAATAATACCCCAGCCTTTATCCCACAGTGGTCCATGTCTCCAGAAACACTACCCAGACTATATCAGGAATTGGCTTTCAGTGATTTCTTAAAATGTCAGGGCCCTGGCTCCTGGGTTTCCCCAATAAGCAAAGCTTCCTCTTCCTATCCTTTATTGAAGCCCACTATCTTCACTGCCTAAGAACACTTGGCATTGTCCCTTCCTCTTATCTCTGGGCCACTTAAGCTTGACTATTTTCTAAACTTCTCTCTCCCCTAGACATCCAAATACTTTTGTTCCTATTAGTGCCCAGACCCAAAGATCTCGTCCTTGAGATTCCTGGTAATGCAATGTTTGGGACCAGTTAATTCCAGGGTTTAGAGCCTCACAGCGACTCACAGACCCTATTTCTTTGGAACTGGTGCTAAGTTCACCTCTTGCTTTCCTGTTCTTTCTTCCTTCTGAATTCATGGAGACTTGAATCAGTGGGTTTCCTTTAGGCCTGGGGATATTTTTCCTGCTACGTTTTAAGAGCTTCATCTCAGGCTACCTGTGGTCTCATGACATTTTAACCAGGTTGCTGGTCAAAGATGCACAGCACTCCAGGACTGAAAATTTTGAGGGATTCTTCAAATGCAGCCCAGGCCCTTAACTTACCAGAAGTTAGAAAAATAATAACATTTAATTTAGTGAATTCTTAATAAATTCTTCCCAGTGAGTTTATCCAGTGTTAAGCACCTCATATACATGATCACAATTATCCTCAAATCTCAATGAGATAAATATTTTTATTATGTCCATTTTACAGGTGAAGAAATTGAAATTCAAAAGGGCTAAACAATTTGCCCAAGATCACAAAACTAGTAGGGCCAAAGTCAAGTCTGAGTGCACTTACCTACTAGGCATACTGCCACTGAAATTATTTTTTTAACAAGCCCTCTGAAACCAACCCTAATATGTTACTAATCTGTGCATTTATAAGCCAGTTTCAGATGACTTCTCTAGTTAAGAGGCTGGCAAATGACATGATGGTCCAGCCCAGAAAAGCTTGTTGAGAACTGCTAAGCAGAGCTGGAAGCTCCCCGTCAAACATAGCTCACAAAGAAGGTTTTCTATGAGGCCCTAGGAGATTGTATTAGTCTGTTTTCCTACTGCTGATAGACTGCGCAATTTACAAAAGAAAGAGGTTTAATGTACTTACAGTTCCACGTGGCTGAGCAGGGCCTTACAATCATGGCAGAAGGTGAAAAGCACATCTTACATGGTGGCAGACAAGAGAATAATGACAGCCAAGTGAAAGGGGCTTCCCCTTATTAAACCATCAGATCTTGTGAGGCTTATTCACTGCTACAAGAACAGCATGGGGGAAACTGCCCCCATGATGCAATTATCTCCCACTGGGTTCCTCCCACAACACAAGGGAATTATAGGAGCTACAATTCGAGATTAGATTTGCATGGAGACACAGCTGAACCAAATCAGAGATGTTCTGAAACTCAGGGAAACTCAGAATAGGGAAAGATTGTCCAATATAGTCCTAAAGAGTCAAGATCAACCCTTGGAGTCATTGACTATTAATGACAGTCATCATCCCTACTTCTTCTCCCTGAGAGGCCATCAAACTCTCAAAATAGCCAAGCTTGGCTTCTGACCAGCTGACAGAACTAAGGCCCCAGAGACTTCTCTATTATTATGTGAGGGTTCACTGGAAGTTGCCAAGTTAACCAAGCTAATTTCTAAATTTCTAGTCAGGATGACAAAGGCAACTGAAACATCTGGCCCAATCATAAGTATGGCCCATATTAGCCATACTTGGGCTTCCCAGAGGATCACTTTAAAATTTTTAGGTATATTACAACTACATGAAACACCCTCAAGATTAGCCCCAGAACTTGTGCATCCCACCTCTGGCTTGAGCTCCCCAGGAACTCCCACACATCTAACATCCTGCAGTTGCACAATACTGCTGTTGGAACTTTTGGCTAAGTGGTCTTTCCTGAATGTCCTTTCCATTATGTCTCCATAGTTATACACCAGGTTACAAAGGAGAAGTTCCAGAACTCCGCTTCATACTCAAACCTTGGTTCTCCACCCTGTAAGTATAATCCTGAATCCTGACTTCTAGCTCCAGGGGTACCCACAACACTAGTATATCCCTTCTGTTTCATTCATTGTCTATAAGGCATTGACAAGGCAACTTGGTATAAAACACAACCCAAGAGATATAGATAGTAGTTCCAGAAGTGTCACTGACTAGGCAATTCATTGAAATGTATGTGCTCCAGTCTCCTCATCTCTGGGATGAGCAGTCTGAATGATTACGAGGCTTCTTGCCAGCTCCAGCTGTCCAGGTTTTCCGCTCCAATGTTTTGCTGCCATTTAAAGTGAGAAATAGCTTATTCCCTAATTATTCCTTTTCTTTTCTTCCCTATAGTGGCTGGTATTTCCACTTTGTTCCCTAATGTCTTAACCTTGGAGACATCTTTGATTTTGTTTTTGTTTTGTCTGGATAACTAGCCTAACAATGCCAAGTTCTAACATATCCCTCTACCTCCATTGTTTCAGCCTCCATCCATGTCGTTTTTACTTGTATACAAACTTCTCCAATTTTCTTGCTAATTTAGCCCTCTTACCTTTTTTCTTCCCAACACTTTATACAGTTATACAACAACAATCAACTCCTTCATGTGTTATTTGATGTTTTCCTTCTGATGAGAGGCTCCCAAGTACCTCTTGCATTGGTTAAACTTTTAATAAAGGGTTTCAACCAGTATCCTAAGCATATTCATCTCAGGCTACCTGTGGTCTCATGACATTTTAAATTTGTAGAGAGAACACAATAGTAAGGAACTCTTGAAATAATATTTGTGGTTTCTTTCAGACCCCTAAACTTAGAAAAGGTTATAGAAAGTTAGTTGCTGCTTATTAACATCTAATAGCTTGCGTTATTCCCATAGGGAGAAACAAAAAAAATTAGCAATTGCAATTTGACAGTGACACAAACACCTGTCTGGCTAACGAATTCGTTGCCAAGTGCATGTTCCAAAAGAGAAAGCAATGTCACCTTTAACATAAGTGGCTTTTCTTAGAATGCCGGAGTTACACCAAGGGAAAGTAAAATCTGTGAATAACAAAATAAAAATTATTGGAGTTATGTCTCTGTGAACATTAAAATGGGAGTACTATGTCATTTGAGTTCACTATACTGCATTTCCCATCTTTTTCATGAACAATCATGGTGCCAACCCCCATTAAATTTTCACAAGAAACTTCAGATTCATTAATTCATGTAATTTTGTAAAAGCAAAATAAAATGCTCTTTTTTCTAATCCTAGGAGAAAAACTACCCAAATTATACAAAAGTAAATTCTCAAAACTAAAATTGCCAGGCTCTCAAAGTTGCTAAATATAACCACTAAGAAAACAGACTTCCCAAAAGCCGATATATGCCAAGTGTCTTGTAGGTTGAGACTCTTCCGTGCTATAACACATGATGAATCACAGGAAACATTTTAAAATGCAATATTCAACCGAAACCCCACTCTTTATTAATTGGAGTTCTGGAATTAGGACACAATATCCTTGGTTTATTTTTTTCCAGTTGTATTGAAGTATAATTGACAAATAAAAATTGTATACATACATTTTTAAACTGTATATATTTAAGGTATACAATGTGATATTTTGATATATATTATATATGTACTTTATAAAATAATTACCCCTATCGAGCTAATTAAGATATCTAGCACCTCACAGAGTTACCATGTTTTCTGTGGAGAGAATGAGAGCATTTAATGTCTACTCCTTTTGCAAATGTCAAATATACAATGTAGTATCATTAACTATAGTCACCACACTATACATTAGACCTCCAGAACTTATTCATCTTATTCAACTGAAACATGATATCTTTTGGCCAACATTTCCCCATTTCCCCCAGTCCTCAGGCCCTGGTAGCCACCATTCTACTTTCTGCTTCTATGAGTTTAACGTTTCTAGATTCCTCATGTAAGAATTTAATGTTTCTGCTTATTTCACTTAGCATAATGTCCTTTGGTTCATCCACGTTGTAGCATCTGTCAGAATTCCCTTGCTTTTTAAGGAAGAATAATATTCCATAGTATGTCAGTGGGTGTGTGTATCTCACATTTTCTTTACACATTTGTCCATCAATGGAAACTTAACTTGACTCCATATCTTAGCTATTGTGAATAATGCTGCAGTGAACATGGGAATGCAGATACCTCTTAGAGATACCAATTTCCCTTGGGATGTATACCCTTGGGATATATACCCATAAGTGGGATTGATGAATTATATGACAGTTCTATTTTTAACTTTTTTGAAACCTCCATGCTGTTTTCCGTAACAGCTATACCAATTCACATCCCCACCAACAGTGTACAAGGATTCCCTTTTCTTTACATCCTCCCCCAAATATTTATCTTTTGTCTTTTTAATAATGACCATTGTAACAGGTATAAGGTGATATTTCACTGTGGTTTTAATTTGCTGACTAGTGATGTTTAACATTAATTATATAAGATCATGCCATCTGAAAACAGACAGTTTTATTTCTTCTTTTTTAATTTAGATGCATTTTTGCTACTTTTCTTGCCTAATTGCCAAATTTCTGTGGCTAGGATTTCCAGCATTATATCAAATAGTAGTAGCAAGAGGAGGCACCCTCGTTTTGTTTTTGATCTTAGATGAAAAGCTTTCCCACCAATGGTGACATTTAGTGTGATGTTAGCTGTGGGCTTGTCATATATGGCCTTTATTACATTGAGGCCCTATTCTCAGAGTTCCACTAGGCACTGCCCTAGTAGAGGCAATCTGCAATGGCTCCACCCTGCACCAGACCTCTGCCTGGGCACCCAGGCTTTCTGATACATTCTCTAAAATACTAGGTGAAAGCTGCCAAACTTCCATTACTCTTGCATTCTAAGAGCCTGCGGACTTAACAGCATGTGGAAGTTTGTAATACCTATGGCTTGTGCCCTCCAAAGTGGTGGCCAGAAAAGTACCTGTGAACCATTGAGCTGTGTCTGGAGGCAGAGCAGTGAGGATAAAAGAAGCGGCATCTTGAGTTGGCACAGGATAGCAGCACCTCGGCCTGTCCCCTGAAACCATTCTATTTTCTCAGGTCTCTGGGCCTGTGATGGGACAGGCAGCATTAAATATTTCTAAAATGGCTTCAGGGCCTTATCACTGTTGTCTTGACTATTAGCACCTGGCTCCCCTTTGCCATGCTAATCTCCCTAGCAAGTGGTTGCTCCAAGCACCCTTGTATTTCTCTCTCAAAAATGCTCTTCCTTTGTCTACCACATGGTCAGGCTGCAAATTTTCCAAATTTTTATGCTCTGCTTCCTTTTTAATTAAAAAGCCCACCTTTAGGTAATTCCCTTGCTGTCATATCTGATCATAAGCTATTAAAAGCAGTCATGTCAGGTCTTGAAAGCTATGCTGCTGCGAAATATCTTCTGGCAGATACCCTACATCATCACTCTTAAGTTCAGCCTTCCACAAAGCCCTAGGGCATGGGCATAATGCAGACAAGTCTTGTTAGAGCATAACAAGGGTGACTTTTGCTCCAGTTCCCGATAACTTCCTCACTTTTATATGAGACCTTGTCAGCATGGCCTTCACCGTCTACATTTTTATCAGCATTTTAATCATAACCACTTAACCAATATATAATAAATTTTAAACTTTTCCTCATCTTCCTGTCTTCCTCTGAACCCTCTAAATTCTCCCTCTGCTCATTACCCACAGTTCCAAAGCCACTTCCACATTTTCAGGTATTTTTATAACAACAATCAACTCCTTGGTGCCAATTTTTTGTCTTAGTTCACTCAGTGTAGCTTTAAAGGAATACCGGAGACTGGGTAATTTATAAGGAAAACAGTTTATTTGGCTCACAGTTCTGCAGGCTGTACAATGTGCAAAGTGCCAGCATCTGCTTCTGGTCAGGGCCTCAGTTTGCTTCCACTCATAGCAGAAGGTGAAATGGAGTTGGCATGTGCAGAGATCACATAGCAAGAGAGGAAGCAACTTGGGGGAGGTGGCAGGCTCCTTTTAACAACCAGCTCTCTCATGGGAACTGACAGAGCAAGCACTCACTCATTACCACAAGGACAGCACCAAGACATTCATGATGGGTCCACCACCATGACCCGTACACCTCCCACTCGGCTCCACCTCCAACATGGAAATCAAATTTCAACATGAGGTTTGAGGGGACAAACATCCAAACTATAGCAGTCAAAAACTACTAGGTTAGAATAAAGAGCAACTCCAGTGCTTCCACCCTCTTCAATTACCAAAACCTAATGTGTGAACGAAACTTAATTGGTTCTATATTTGTCTTAGAGAAGGACCTAGGAATTAGGGCAGAGAGTTTATGTGTGCAGTATCCTTCTGCTTTCTACTTTCCCTTACCATAATCTTTCCCAAATACACATAGATGAATAGTCATGTACAGGCACACACAAAGTATGATTTAAGAAAATAATGATTGTCTGCCCTTCTCCCTCTTCCAAACTTTCTATGTGGAAAAATCTGCAGATATAGGTAGCTGCTGGAGGTTTCAATCAGAACCTTGACTCTTACCAAATAACTGAATTCTGAATGACCTTTGGCCATGTAAAAACAGCCTTCATGTTAGATTCAACTCTGAAAGGAATGCTATGTAACAGTAGAGACTATATATAGACTCTCTGTCTCTCTCTCTATCAATCTATCTATCTATCTATATATATATATATAGATAGATATCTATATATATATATAAAAAACAGTAGGGTCTATGTATAGGCTCACTCTGTATATAGGGTCTCTACTGTTATATATAATATATAATGTTATATATAACATACATGAATATATGATATAAATATATTGATATGTATTTACATTATATGTATATATTCCTTCTGAAAATAAAACCTCTGTAGGTAAAGCCAAAATGGTACCACTCAAATGCCAGATTCTGCCCTCTAGAAGCCTATTTTAGAGCAAAGCTTCAGAAATTTGAGATGTCTGACCTCCCTCTAGGTTGTTGCATTTTGAAGAGCTGCTATTTTCCCAAACGTGCAGATGGACAAGCCATTATAATGTTGTGGCATATTTATACAGATGGAATTACTGATAATCTCTGGAGAAGATTTCAATTTCTTTTCACTTTGTAAAAATGTTATGACCTAACTCTAAATGTTCCTCTGCTCAGTAAGCAGCACCTCACCTTCATACTCCCTGTGAATGTGTTATTAATGGGAAAGAACAGAACCACTGAAAGATTTCTCTAATCATCCAGCCTAATTACAAGAGGAGTAAATTACTAAATGTTGTGCCTTAAATATAATAGAAAGAATAATTTAGTAACCCAACAGGAAGCTGCTCTCTCAGTCAGATAATAACATATTATGTTAGGTCCAGGAAATGTACCTCAGTGTTTATTATCATCACAATCACATTATTTATTATTTATAAATCATGTTACTTACTGGTGGGGAGTTGCACAGGACACACACACTGTTCAAGTGCATGTATGGTCATTACTTAGGTAGTACTGGCCAAAGAAACATGGGACTTAAGAAAAATGACTATTGAATTCAGTCAGTCCAGGTATGTTTGTCATTTTCAAAATTAGGATGCTGTTCAGAACCCAAAAATCCTTTTCAAACAAGACTGACTTCTCCCCTTCAGAAATTCAAAAGTAAAGTTTTGTGGCTTCACATTCCCTATTACTTCCAAACAAAGCCCTGCTATTTACACAATGCTGATCAATGGCCCCTTCCATACCCTGTGCTCAATTCCCTTCCTAAGCAATCCCCTTCCCCAATTATGATAGTACTCTCGTGCACACTGTTTCTGTCTCCTCAAAGCATCAGCAGCTATCAAAACTACCTCCCACCAAGGGGAGAGAGTTAGGCTCAACTGACTGGTGGCTGAAGTTAATGAGGTTAAGGCCAAAAGTCCCATTTGAACCCATTAGCTTTTCTATATGCCGTGTTAAGTGACTACTCTTGAGTCCAGCCACCTACTTAGCAAACCCATGAAAATGATCATAGGTGGGTTGGGTGAAAAGGTAAAGTTCTCTCAGAGCCAATCCATATCCCCTCTTCATCTAAGGCAGTGTTAAAAGTATTAGAGATGATTCCAAAGAGGAAACTTCCTCTGCTTTATAACTCCGTCCTTGAATAACAGCAAATAATATTTAAGGGAGTCATATTATCCGCAAAGCTCAGCCTCTGTCTTCTCCAAGTCCCGGTACGGGCATCTCTCTCTCTCTCCTTTTTTTTTTTTTCTTTTTCTTTTTCTTTTTTCTGAGATGGAGTTTTGCTCTTATTGCCCAGGCTGGAGTGTAATGGTGTGATCTCGGCTCACCACAACTTCCACCTCCAGGGTTCAAGCCATTCTCCCGCCTCAGCCTCCCAAGTAGCTGGGAATACAGGTGCCTGCCACCACTCCCAGCTAATTTTTGTATTTTTAGTAGAGACGAGGTTTTGCCGTGTTGGCCAGGCTGGTCTCGAACTCCCGCCCTCAGGTGATCCACCGGCCTCGGCCTCCCAAAGTGCTGGGATTACAGGGGTGAGCCACCACACCCAGCCAAGGAAGCATCTCCTCAAGTCACCATCCTTCAGATTCAGGTGGCCCCAATTCCTAATCCAATCAGTAAATAGCGCCAGCCAATAGGGGTTTGAACTATTACTAGTAGCCCCAGCAAGATAGCTGGTATTTGTTTTGTCTGCCAAGTGGACCCCACTCCCCCAATGCCAGCCTAATCTCAGTAGGGCCAAGCCAAAGCTTGTATGTGGCCCCTAAGCCAAGTGCTGCTTTAGTGTCTGGATTCCAGAAGGCCACGGGCATCAGCTGTCTTTTTTGTGCAGCCTGCTGCCCTAATACCCAAGTCCAACCCAGGACCCAGTACTTTTGATTGGGTTTAGATACTCTGCCTCTGTATTGTCTTCCAGAATCCTCTTCTAGGATAAAATCCCACCTTCCAAACTGAAGACAGGGTGATCCCCCTGCGAGGGACAGCAATCACAGCCAGCCTAGTCAGCAGATTTTCAAGGATTTCCCTATATTCCTCACTGCTATGCCCATTCCCCATTGAGGATCTGGTATTGATGGTTTCCAGATTCTGTAACTGGCTTCTCCTTCCCCTCTTTCTCCTGTACACCCTCTCAAGTCTTGAGTTGTCAAAGATCCAGTATGCCTTGCACCTGAACTAGGACATAGGGGCTAATACTTTATTATCAACTTTATTTTCCAAGTTGCAGAAACAGAGAGCAGTTGAATAAGCACATGTTTTAAAATGGTAATGAGGGGATGTTTGAAAGAAAAGTATATGGGAACAGTTGGCAGAGTATTTCTTTCCATGAGGGTAAACCGTTTTCATCCTGATGCATGATTTTAATTTCTAATCCACCCCACTTTTCTGTACTGTGTGTTCTAGGGCCTAATTATTTCTTTTCAAGTTACCTTAAAGCAAATGGCACTGTGAACCACTTAACTTAGAGCTGATGAAACACATATGCATGAGAAACCTTCCTTGGGGGATATAGGGTGAAAAGCAGTCCTGACAACTCCTGATTGGTTAAACGGAAATCAAGATCTATGAAATGATGTTCTGCCACCCTGAGCCTGGGTCATGCCATGACCCTACAGCTGATTGGAACTCACCTCTTGCCACAGATTCTCTGTGCATCTTCTTTACATTTCTTCAGCCTGGACCTTTCCCTCTGTTCTCATTGGGACCACTGGGTAAGTCAGCAAATGTTTCATTTCCCACTTTCCATTCCGGATGCAGGCAAGATAACCAAACACTTGTTATATAGCACTCCTTCAGTAAGCCCTGAATTTGCGTACTTCTTGT
Organism: Homo sapiens; assembly: GCF_000001405.40. Classification (NCBI taxonomy): domain Eukaryota; kingdom Metazoa; phylum Chordata; class Mammalia; order Primates; family Hominidae; genus Homo; species Homo sapiens. The sequence continues at coordinate 114,781,313 of NC_000005.10, forward strand.
GCCTTGGAGATGGTTATAAGGGGCTTTTTGTCCCAAAGAATAACTTTTGGTCTCAGCATGCTTTGCCTACGGTATGCCAGAGCTAATCCAGATTTCTTTCAGGAAAAAAATTTAATAGATAATCAATAAAGATAATTTTTCACAGGCAAGAAAAAATGGCTCTATTCATGACCAAATAATAACCACTCCACTTTTGCATGACACTTTAACACCATAAAAACACTTTGGCAGATATTGTTTTCTCATTTTGCTTTTACCAAACCTCAACAACTGGATCAATATGGCGCCATCTACTCAACAGATAAGGAAACTGAGTCACAGGAATGGTAAACAGTTTGATCATGTTCACACAGCTGATGAATGGTAGAGCCATGTATAGAAACCAGGTCTCCACTCAAGGAGAGAAAGAGAGAAGTCTCAGAAGCAAAACATAAGACATCAAAGAAGCAAAGTTGACGCTTACATGGACATTTGAAGGTAGCCCCAGGCAGGGATGCTGGGAGGTCTAGTGAGGCCTCAGCATATAGATATACATACTTGTATTTTAATGGTCTGGTTGCTTTACACACACACACACACACACACACACACACACTTTTTAATACACTTACAAAATACAAATGAACCTAAAACCTCATTGGATCAGAAATTCGAAGGGTACATGAAAGTTGAAAGTGACATAGGCAAGTTGCCCACCTCCCCACTCTATCACCATGCCTCTCCTCCTGCTTCTTGACCAGCCCTGACCTTGGGAATTTCCTTAAGCCATCTTCATTAAGGGTAATACAATAGGTTCTATCCACTCTCTCTTTTAAAAGGTGGTCAATTTTAGTCTTTCCCATTAGTGAAAGAAGGAGAGCTACTTTACCTTAATCATTAGCTTCACTGCCAAAGGAGAGCAGGCACATGGGGTCTACAGGGCCTTGTGCAGACTCTGAGCTCAGGCAGGATCATCAATCATGGAGCTGCCTGGCCTGGGATGCTCCCTCACTGGGACATGTGACTTGGGCACAGCTGGACCCTTCGAAACTGGCTGGGCACTGCTGGGCCCGAGCCCGGAGATGCCCGCCCACCCACAGGCTCCTGGCCGGCCCTTGCAACTGTTTCATTTACTGCTTGGGACAATTCTCCACAGGGCTCAGGAAAGCGCATGCTGCTGCCACACTCGGCTCCGCTTCCCCTTCCAAACCCTAATGAGGTGAGATAATGGATGCAGGAAAGTGTGCAAATGCAAATCAATATGGAACATATGCTCCAGGTTCCTCTGTTACCTCAGAGCCAGGCAGAGAGAGAAGAGGAAAGACTTTGAAAATATTTTGAGACCAGGACTTTTTACTCTGCCCTAAAGAATACCAAAAACTGTGAAACTGTAGCTTCCTTGCTCTTTTGCAGCCCTGGACCAGGAGACAAATTGCTAATTTTGATGGTGTCTCAGGAATGGCTTTACTGCTCACCTGTCTTTATACTACAACACAAAATTAAATCATCCAGGAAGAATGAGGAACAAATATTTGGCACCAATTCTCCTATTTCACTTCTGCGAAAGTCTCAGTATCCCTTTGAGCATGGAGACGGAGGCCTTGAACTGAAGAGGAGAGCCGGCCATAGGCCTCTGGATCTCCCCAGCCAGGCCTCCTGCCCCCTGCATTTTGACTCAAGTAGCCCAGGCAAAAGGCCAGGCAGAGCTGGGCCTTCTGCCCGAGCCATTGCGTCAGTGGGCTCAGCAGGCCACACTGCTGGCCAAGGAGGTCTCCGCTTTCCGGAGTCCAGGGGATGGAGAAGCTGGCATGGCCCTCTCCGCACTAGCCAAATATCCTGCAGGGGGAGCTTTTGACCGGACCTTTCAGGGCTTACATCAGATGCTGAACAAGCAAGGGAAAGGAAGCTAGCATTTGTCTGGGCTGCCTGCTCTGTGCCCCATCCTCTGCATCCCAGTATGGTCAGTGTTCTCATCTCTGTTGACAACATGAGGAAACAGCAAGACTCCAGGTATTCAAGTAAACAGTGGAGACGGAAAGAAAACCCAGGTCTGCCAGTCTCCAAACATGTACTCTTTCTGCTTTACAAGAAGGCATTTCCTTTGTTTCCTATACCCTGCTTATGGTCATGACATACGTCAACTGAGCACTCAAGAACCAGAAGTCCCCAAAATCATTAGTCAACAAGGATGAATCAGTTCCCTGCAAAGGCCCATCTTTTCTCCTCACAGACCTCATATGTTTTGATAACGGATCACAGGCCCTCTGTCATTCCATCTATAGGCCCTTACCTTAACCCAAATCACTCTTTAGCAAGAACAGAAATGACAACAGTGACAAGACTGACCTCACAAGTATCAAAGCCTTTCAACATGTAGCAAACTCCTATTTATCCAGAACTCTCAGAAAAGGAGTAGAGGGTGCTGTGCAGACCAGCTGATTTCGTAGACAGCCTTCAAGCCCTAATACCTCTTACTGGCTGTCTGACCTTAACCAAGTTACTTTCCTAGAGGAGCTGGAGAACCTAGAGGACTTGGCTTCACATCCTTCATGACAATGGGATAATAGTGACTGTCCTAAAGGGTTGTCAGGAGGATTAACAAAATATGAGCCGGACCCTGAAGATAGACCATCTCAGCTCCTGCCCCTTATCCACTGCCTGGTAGTCATACAACCTTGGGCACAACACTTAACCACTCTGTGCCTCAGTTTCCTCAACTATAAGATGGCTTAGAACAGTGCTGGTTCAGGGTAGTGCTGTGAATTGAAATTAAAATAAGTAAATGATGGACATGAAGTGCTTAGTGGTACATAGGAAGTACTCTACAATGGCAACCATATTCATGAGTCACTTGCAAAGATTTCAAATATCTTATCTTTAACTCTCCACATAGCCACTCTTCTCATTTTTAATCAAGACATCTGCCTTTAGGATGGTGAGTCAACAGGCATTTCTCCATCATGCCATGTGCCTAGACACTACGATGATGGAGGATCTCTGGTTCCCTGTGCCGCACCTTTGGGTCTGATACTGAATTAGCAGGTCTTGCTTTCCCACAAGCTGCAGATTAAGTCAGGGACCCTGTCCTGGGGCAACCATCTCTCTGGACTGATATATGGGGAAGATTCCAGCAATAAAAGCAGGCAAACACTCTAGATACCCAAGAGGGTGTCCACTGTGTGCCCACTGGCTCTGAACACAGTCCATTGGCTGTGCTTAAAGCAAAGTTGATGCCCCCTCAAGGAGAAGCTAACTGAACCCCTAACAACTTTAATGACTTGTAAAATTCTCGGAGATAATGCCTCCACACAAACATGTTTATTTTGCTAAGAATTCACAATGCATGAATAGGTCATGATCTTGCAGTTTGAGTTTCTGGATAAGAAATGATTAGGGATAGAGGCCATGGCTCACCCAAAACATTCCAGTGCTAAAGGTCAGCCAGCGTGTCTGCAAACAAGGTTTAGAAGAGATTTGCCCCTAACATTTCTGGGACCCCAGACAAGAGTACAGATGGAATCCCACTGTGAAATAAAAACGTTCTGTCCTCCTACCCTGACAAAATGAGGTCGTAAACTAGAGAAGGGCAGATTCATGTGTAGAATTTGTAGACTCCTCAGAGTTTTGTGCGAGCATAAGGTGGCACGAGGAGAGCTACTCTGTGACCCTTGGTTCATCTGTAGCACCAGGGACCTCATGGGTCTGAGCATGGACACCACAGACCATGTGTCCGGCTCCATCCACACTCCCTTCAGATAGCCACCCCTCAGACTTAGAGGCCACACTTTAGTGCCTGGACCATCCTCAAAGGATGGACCCCGCCTTGATACAGGATGGGGGTTGTTTATGTAGAGAATTCCAGGAACCCTGAACCCAGAGTATGGTCTAGAAGTGGGCAGTGTGAGCTGGAGTGAGGGAGAATACTCTCAGCCCTGCAGACCCTTTGCTGTGATGAGGATATGCGGCTGCCAGAAGCTAGATTGGGTGTTTCTCAGGTGCAAGACCCCTTTTGCCCAGGACTGTGCCTAAGACTTCAATCATTGTCACTTTAAATGTTCAGTGGATCTGGGTGAAGAGTAGACTGCACAATCATACTGTCTACCAGAAACCTACCTCGCTGTCTTCTATACCACTTCCTCAGACCCTGAGCTTTTCTGCAATAACCGCAATACTTCATTACTTGAAATTCAGCATCACGGGTCCTTAACAGATTTTTGTTGGCTGAGTCTTCTTCTGTCTCTGACACTGATATCACCTGAAGGGAAGACATTTCAAGGAATGCTATGTCCCCCACCGTCACATCTCTCCCAGCAGGATATTGTTGCAGAAGGTCATATCTCTATCCTGTTTCCTGTGGTCACTTGGGCTGATAAACAGGACCCTGGACTTCTGTCCCCAGGTTAGAAACTCACCCGCTCTAATTAGCATAAGTTGCCCATTTTTTATTACTATTGCTCCTTTCTTTGTTTTTTCTATTGTACTTTTCCAAAAAGATAAGTTATTGGAATCCATACTGAAGGTTTTAAAATTTAGAATAATAAAGTAAATCACTTTTTTTGGTAAGTTACACCATGCAATATATCATTCAAGCTTAGAATCTCCATTGATGGCAAGTGCATTTACAGGTCATAAAAACACTCAACAGAGACACTTCTAGGAAGGAGTTGTTTGTTTTCTGTCTGAAAATACTTTCTTCTGCACAAGAAACAATATCACTTCGATTTTGACAACTTATTCCACTGGTGTTTAATACCTCACCTCTTTAGTATATACCTCAGTTTCCCCATCAGAACAATGAGGTAATGAACTAGAGCAACTGTTCTCAGGGTTTTTTGATCTCAGGACCCCTTTACACTCTTCAGAATCATCGAGAAACGTAAAAAGCTTTTGTTTATGTGGGCTGCATCTATCTTAACATGGATGCATGTTTTCTAAAATTCTAATTTCTGCTTGAAAGCTCAAATTTTATCATTACCAGCAAATACTTTCAGATGTTTTTCAGTTAGCAGGCTTACTTCTTTTATTCTCAAAAAAATGTATGCCTGCTTCCCAAGTCTGAATAACTCTAGTTTTTCAATTATTTGGTCAAGTAAGAATACTATACTCTGAAAAAAGTAGGTAGTTCAGTTAGCAACTCAAATAACCACAGAAGTGCTTTTCAGAGAGGCTACCGTTGTACTTCAGTATGCAGCAGATACAGAATAGCAAATGCCATGTACTCAATGGTCAATATTTAATAAAATTAACAATTTGCGCCATTTTATGAAGAATATTCTTAAGTAAACTGGCTTTTTTTCGCCTGTGAATGTGTGGCCGTTAAGAGTATGATCAATGGCTACTGGTACAGTTTAGTGCCACTGCCTTGACACGTGCTAAAGTGCCAGCAGTTTTACCCATCATTGCTTTCCTGCCATTGATGCCAATGTCAACCCAACTAAAATGGTAAATAATATGTGGTATTATTATGAAAACAGTTTTGATCTCAGAGACTCCCTGAAAGAGTCTTAAGGATTCCCAGGGGTCCACAGACAACACTTTGGGAATCACTGGACTAGATCACTATTTGAGTCCCTTTCAATTCTAATGTAAGATTTGGATATTTGTTTACTATTATATCATTCATGATTCTAATGATGTTGTGGGTTTTACTTTTCTCTCCTGTACATTCTTTTCCTTCAAGACAAATTTACCAGAAGCTGCCTTGCTTTACTTCCTTTGAATTAGCTGTTTTTTCATTTCTCCTTGCACCTAGTTCTCCTCTCTGGAAAAAATGCTCTGCATCATAATTTCCATATAATCTCTGCAATGATGAGTTCATTCACTGGTTCATTCACCAGTAGTATGAATTATACACTTCAATTAATACAAGCTTACTACATGTCTAACCCTGTTGCAGTCAGCGGGTCACCAGGACAGGACGTAGAGCTCTTCTTCTCAGGAGGGATCTTCGTCTCCTGGCAGAAACATACATGTAAATAGAGAATTGCTATAGAGTTTGAAGATTGTGTGCCAGTGTGGCCTAGAAAGAAATAAATCTCATTAAAAGGTGTTCCGTAATGGCAGCTGGAGGGTGAGAGGCTGTATACTAGATTTTACCACATGCCAGAATCTTAACTGATAACCAGCTAGCCTTTTCCTGCCCAGTATCTGTACAGTACAAACGAAACAATATCTAAAGAGGTTTTTCAGCTCAGCACTTTAGGAAAATGAAAAAGGGAGTCCCTAAGAAGAGCTGAACTCACAGTTGATTACAGTAGTTCTCAACCCTGCCAACATGTTAGAATTACATGTTGTGCTCTCTGTAAATATCACCACATTGAAATGCTCTGATTTAATTGGTCCAGGGAAAAGCCCAGGCATCAGTCTTTTTAAAAACATCTCATGATATTTGTAAGTGTAGTCAGGGTTGAGAGCCAGTGCTCTATAATGAAACTTACAGAAAATTGTATTTAAGGAAATGCTAGCAGATGCTACAAATAAACCAAAAATTTCAGTAACAAAGCAGAAGGTGCTCTGGAGTGGCTAGGAGCCACCTCCTAAGTGCTGATTCAGGAATGCAGGATCCTTGCATCTTGTGGCTCCACCATGTTTAATAAGTAGTTTCCAAGTTTAACTAGGAAAGAGGAACAATAATGAGAACGGCACATGGGAGGTGTTTATGGGCCAGGCATGAGTGACACCCATCTCTTCTGCCCATATTCCATTGGCCAAAACTCAGTCACTTGGCCATACCTAACGAGAAAGAAGGTTGGGAAATTTGGTTTAGCTGTGTGTCTAGGAGGAAAAGGAAATAGGTTTGGTGAATGTCTAAACAGTTTCTGCCGCAGAGATGCTTACATTCAGATAATTTAGAGAATATAATTGTCTTCTCCAAGTTCACTGCAAGGAATAAACAAAAAAAAGATAGTGTAGGGATCTATAGACTTTAAGACATGTAAACCAATAATAATGGATGTATCTTATTTAGATCCTGGTTTAAACAAAATAAGATTTTTAAAAATGTGACATTTATGACACATTTAGAAGATTGAATGCTAACTTGATGTTTCATAGATATGTATTAAAATATTTACAGATAAAATAATATGATATCTGGGATATGCTTTAGAAATACTTTGGGAACAAAGGAGGATGGATGAAATAAATTGGCCACAAGGTGATAGCTGTTGAATTGTGGGTATACTATACTAGTCTGTCTACTTTTATAGATGATTGGAATTTTCCTTACTATGTCTTTCTAAAAAATCAGATAATTGTGAGTTCCAGTTATAGTGTTCAGCCCCCTTTTCCTGTGGAATTGCTGCCAGGCCTACCTTTGACCCAAGGGAATAGTCCTTCTGCCAGTCTGTCTGGATCTTTTCTGCAAAGAAACATAATATCTCCGGGGAAATCCCTTAATGTTTCAAAGCCTTTTAACTAAGTCTTGGACTTTACTTGTATTTGCCCAACATACAGTCACTAAGTCACTGATTTCTCCTGTGGGTGTTTTTGATTCCACACTGTCTGCAAAATACCAGCTGTGGCCAGGGGTTGCTGCAGCCCTCTGCCTCTCCTGTGAGCACCCACGGGCAAGCATTCCTCAAGGAAGGACATTTACCAAAAGCTCCCTTTGGTAAAAAGAATAATTTCCTGCTTGAAAATAGAAACAAAAACTGAACACACCAGCATTTTCTTTGCGCTGTACGTAAACGCACCTCAAGAGGCAGAGCTTGAAGGAAATTCTGTGCATTACCTATAGGATAATGTTGGAGGGAAGAGTATAAGGCTTTATGTGTGCGGTGATAAAATCTAAGAACTGGTTTTCCTTATTCATGTTTCTCTTTCCCTTCTTACCAAAAATCACTCAATAGTCAATACGTTCTTCAGCCCCAGATTCCCTCAGTTCTCCGGATTCCCGGGATGCTCCTTTAACAACGTTTTTAGGGGGCTCTTTCCCCAAAAAAGTCTTCCTCTGCCTGGGCATATTCACCTCTACCTATCTCCCATCTCCTCCTCTGTATGTACAGTCAGACTCAAAACTAGAAGTCACGCTTAGTGCTTCACATCCATTTATTCTGTGAAACTGGATTCTCATGGAACCCCAGCTTTCTTCTCTATCCCAACATCTTTCCTTTCTTCTACATCTTCACAGCCACATCTTTCTGATCCCAGCCTTTGCTTGTTTCTATTGCAAGAACCTCCCACTCAGTCATCTGCCACCTATCACCTATTGTTGCTCTTTCTTTAATTCTCTGAGGTTTATTATTTTAAATAATGAATTTGCTTTATTGCCTTTTAGTTCCCCACATACCCCACACTCTAAACATGATTCCTTCTGGATGCCTTCAACATACGCATGTCTTCTCTACTTTTATCCAAAGGGATAGATATACTTCACCATCTCTGTTTTTCTAATTTAGCAACTCCCAGGTTCTGGAGCCCCTTGACATGTGGCAACTAGACAAAAACCAGGGTAGATTGGGTCTGTAGGTTGCAGATAACAAGCCAGTGTCATAACTTAGAAAATACATAACTAAATTATACAGGCTATATAATAGATTTTCCTTGTTATTATTCCGCTAGCTTTGAGTGAAGATTTAAGTACAATTTTCACTTACCTCCATTGTACTACGAGGTATTACAATAAAAGTGTGTGTGCTTACTCAGAGCAGTGTTAAGAGAGGAAACAGTGCCACCTAGAGATAGTGGCAGAAATAATTAACTTAAGATCCTTAGAAGAATGCAAATCTTAGGGGGTAGGTTTTCTATGAGTCCCTGTGCTCATTGCTAATTCTGGAGGATCTCTGATTATTTTTAAATGAATGACTGTCTGCAGTCATTACCTCCTTTACAAACTTCTCACACTGAATTATCATGAAGAGAGCACCCTTTGAAGGCAGAGGGAGGTGACAAACAAATTCCAAGAAAGAAAGAAAAATACCGGTGGCCTAGAATGGTGAAATTCAGTTCCAGTGCTACCTCTGTGACTAACGGGTTATGTGGTATCACCTGACCCTTTGAAATTGTTTCCTCTAAAAAGATGGTCTCTGCACTCCTTACAAACATATACACACAAAAATAGAATACCTTCCTAATTTTTTTGCCATCTTTCTCTCTCTGGGGAATATGCATAAGACCATACATTAATATCATAACCCAGAGAAACAGAGATTAACCAACGCTTACATCTGAAGAAATTCAGTGTGGTGTTATTAAAGCAACTTCTAAGCATTCACATGAAAAGACTATCTTAATTCTATCATATTTTCCTTCGTGCTGCTTAACACAACAATTGAAAGCACTCATTCTGAAACCAGTCTGCTAGAGTTCAAGCCTCTTAACTTTTCCACTTACTAGTGCATGATCTTAGAAGAGTAGTTAGCTTCCTAATATCACAGTTTCCTTATTTGTAAAATAGGAGAGTAAAAGAACTTATGTGATGTGGTTGCTGCAAGGACTAAATAGGTAATAGAACAGTGACTGGCACATAGTGAGCACTACATGACTGTTAGCTGTAATTCTTATCATGACAATTATTAAGTAGAAAATTCCATGGGGTATAAGACTTTACAATACACCTCTTTCACTTTTGCATGGCTTTCATGCCTGAATGGAATCACACATTTTTTAGAGATAAAAATCTTCGAGAATCTAACCCACATATTCAACCAGGAGGGCTTTGCAGAAGATAATGCATATTATCTTCTGCAGACAAATTTTTTACATGGTGGTCCCAGAATTTTTTCTTTCCCTATATACATAAATACAAACTTTCCCCCTGCCCAGTACACCTCTATTCCTGTTTCCCTGATTCAATAAGGGCTGAAATGAGAACCCAGAAGCCAGCCTTGATTATTCCCTTTTCCTCATCCTCCCCATCCAGTTATTCAATAACTGCAGTCATTTCAACTTCCAGAGTATATTTGGACCCTGTCCTCCTCTCTCCATCTCCACAGCCTGATCTAAACCACCACCATCAATCACTTTCCAGTGATTGATCCACTCCACAACACCCTCTGCCGGGCCCTCAACTTCTCTTGTTCTTCTACAATTCATTCAACATAGTAGTCATAGACCCTCAAGAAATGTAAATCAGATCATCAGCTGCTTTATATTTGTCATCTTCTATAATTCTCACAACGGTATAAAGAGTCTGGTATTTGGCCAATATTAATTTTTTGCCCTGCCCTGTTCTGATTCTATTTCTGATGAGGCCTCATTTTCTCCACGTTCAGATCTTGAAGTCACATATCCTTCTCCAACTCCTTTCTTTGCTCCAGAATTTACCGGCTTGTGTGGGCTGGGGGAGTGAGGTGAAGTGAGTGTTGGATCAGCTAAAGTTGGTTCGCTAGAAAAAGTTTGCTACTCTTTGAAGGACTACTTGACAGATATCAGAGAATAATTAATAGCAGCAGGAGATCCAGGTAGAGGATGGCTGTGTTTCCTTCCCTTAACAATTCTGAACCAGAGTTCCTAGCAGGGTACCTGGCAAAGCATTTTTTTTAATAAAAATGAGCTAGATTCATGCATGAACTAATGAATGATTGAACAAATGATTGAACGAACCTACCTGCTGGCTGTCCTACTTAGAGGTAGAGACAGAAAAATAGACTGCTTATAGCTTATGAGTCTATGGATCCTTGTTAGTTTTAGCCACACATACACACACACACACAAATGTGTTGGAGATATTGAATGTCTCCAGGTACAGACAAAGTCATGTAGCAGGTTTACATCTTCCAGGAGTGTCACCAGTGACAAATGTCTTCCCCAAATTCCCTAGACCCCAGAGAACTGAGTTATCGCAGTAGTTCACCATAGCTACGTGAACTACCCCTGCATGTAAGTCTCAAAATAAGAAGCAGCCTATTTAAAAACTAACAAAACTATAACTCAGTTCTTTGGAGAACTGGATTCATCTGAGAAGAGAATTACAATATAATAATTTATTTCATACAGAGTAATTAATAGTCTCAAAGTATTATACACGTGGCAAAATGCCCATCTCAAAGGGAGAAGAGCATATGGTAACACTAAACACATTCATAACAAAGAAGCAAAGAATAGTTAAACAGAAGGCTTTGGTTCCTAAAGCTTGTATATTTGGACTGTCCCCTATGGTAGTGTAATTATAAATTAGAACAGGTTTTGTAAGGTGGGCCCATATTTGAGCAAGGTCAACCACGGCCAATGACTATTGTTAGCCATAAGCTCTCCCTTCTTCCGTCTGTTCCTTCCTTCCTTCCGTCTGTTCCTTCCTTCCTTCCTTTCTTCGTTCCTCTAACCCTCCCTTCTATCCTGCCCTTGCCCAGAATGTGACCAATAAACTCAGTATTCCCTGAATTAATATTCACTCATATAAAGAAACATTTTAAAATGATACAAATAGCAAATAAATGTATTTTAAATATATTACCTTCACAGTTGTGAAAGAAATGCAAATTTAAAATAATAGGCATCACTTTATATCTATTAAAGTTGTAAATAAATTAAATAGTAACATCAAATTCTGGCAACATCACAGGTGAAACTGGACTCACTCACTGGAATATGTTTGACAAACTATCTCAAGAGCTATAAAAGTACACATGCCCTTTGACCCAATAATCTCACTCCTGGGAATGTCTCCTGATAAAATAATGCAGAAATAGGAAAAAACATCACCTACATAAAAAAAGAATTTTAAATATTTAGCTCTGAGAAATGGTTAAAAGGAGTGGATACATCAGTTAGATGGACTTTGGCATAGCTGTTAAAACTTGGAAAGTATTTTTACACGGAAAAGATTACAAAATAGTAAAGTGTCAAAGAAAAACCTAATCATTTAATGGTCACTTATGTTCAGGCATTATAACTCCAGGACACTTAACCATAACTAGATAGCTTGGGGTCACTACATTAAAAGAATAATCTGTTAGAAGCAGGGGAAAAAAACTCTTTCTCAACAGCCTTAGCAATAAATATATCTACAGTTAACTATGTCTACAGTTCTCAGATATAAAAGAGAATTCGATTCAAGACTACTAGGGCATTTGGGAAGCCAGGGTTCTTCTGAGTGATACTAGGATCTACTTTGGTTTTCATTCTGTGAAAGGGCACTGCAAAGAAGTGACCAAAATGAGGTAGAGAGAAAACATTAGCATGAAAAAACAATTTAAATAAAATAAGTTTCAAAGGCAGCCACACACACCTCCCAAAATAGCAGACTATAAAAGAAGATGCATTAATTAACCCTTTTTTCTCCTTTTGGAGAGAGAAAAGTACCACCAGAAACAGAATGGAACAACTCAAGAGAAAGGAAGGAGGAGGGGCTAAAGTGGGGTGGGAGACAGGGAGACGGAAAGCCAGGGTAGAGCACGGCCCCCCTCACAACTTTCTCAAGTATCTTCTCCCACTCCCAAGCAACATGGGATGGGCTGCTTGAAAAATCAGATCTTTTCTGTGCTCCAAATGTGCTTTTTTAAATAATAAATTTTGCAAATAAACTTCATAAAATTCACCAAAGTGTTCATCAAGTTTAACCATGAAAGCTGTCAAGAGGCCTTTTTATGCGGCTTATTTCATTTCAACAATTAAAAATACACATTTTGGGTTCTCCTTTTTCTGTTTCACTGAATGCATTCCTTCCCTTTAAGTTTTCAGTGAAAGAAATAAATCACGAATCAGCATGGACAATTATCTCTGGAGGTGTAGGGAAAACAACATACTGCTTCCTTCCCCTCAATGGTTTTTATGCTGTAAATATTTGGCAGTGCTCCTGCCAATTAAATCAAGGAGAGGTTGCAGATTAAAAGGTGATTCCTCACTTCAGTGTTTGGTTCCTTCAACCAATTAGTCATTCTTTTTTCTTAGTTATGCTGCCAGGATTATACACCTTCTAGTCAGTGAACAGTCACTGAAAAGGGGAATGAATCCATTTAAAAATAATTCTGCTTGTGACTTTTAGTCCTCCTAGAACTAAGGGAGAGAAAGAGATCAAGGAGACTGAGATCACTAGTGAGGATTCATGCTTATAACTGAACCTACTGTGAAGGACACAGCAGTCCACAAAAAACAATGGAAATGTCGTAGATGCTCATGTTTGGGTAAAAACAGTAACATCCACTGCATAAAATAATTTGTTATTGTTAAGTATTACTCTTCTGTGCAGGTGTCATATTTCAGAAGACTTGATTTCACCATCATATATCTAAATTGTGCTTAATAACAAATTGTAGAATCTACATTTGTCGTTTACAATGAAAAATAAATTGTCAAGAGATGCGCTAACTGGTAGAAATCCTTAATATTTTCTTGATAATTACGTTCTGCTAATCCTCAGATTGCTTTCGGTGAGTGCATTAATGCATGCTCACTCCTTGAGTTCTGATTTGCCAACAGGCATCATCAGCAACTCCCAAGGGCTTATGAAAAATGGATTCTCAGCCCAGATCTTCTGAATCAGAATCTTTGGAGGTGGGGTCCAGGAATCTCAGTATTGACAGGCCCTCCAGGTTGAAAAGCACCAGCAAACAAAGCATCATTCACAAACAAAACCCCACTCTCACAAAAGTGGAATTCTATCCAGTTGTGCAAAACATCTCAATCTCTGCAAATGCAGCCTAAGCTTCTTCCTTAGGGTGTATGTATCCACAGCTTTGAAAGTCATCTTAGCTCTGCACCTGAGGCTAGGGAAGAGCCACATTTTGCCTAGATTTTGGAGGCACACTCCTAAGCCCCAGAATGATACAGGAGTTCCTAGAGACTTTAACTCTCCATCACTTATTCCCTTACCATTTTTAGAGAAAACGGAAGCTCCAGGCATCAGCCTGTTCAGCACAAGTGATCATCCAGAATTGGGTTCTCAAAGGTGAGATGTGGAAGAGCAGGAGAAGGAAAGTTGTCTGAGCTCTGGCACCAGAGCCCAAGGCCTGGGGGCCAGTAGTTGCTTCACCACTTCTCAGCCAGAGGGCCTCAAGCCGAGCCCAGCTTCTCTGAACCTCTATGTCTTCACTCATAAAATAAGCAAGGTTAGCTTCATGCCCTCAAATGTCTTTTTCAGATCTCAAATTCCGTAACTGAGCCTTGAGTAAGTGACTTTCTGGGTCTCAGGTTCTTCCCACATGAGACAAGAAGGGTAATTGATATGCTACGATGGTGAGTGTGGTTATCAAGCCAAGTAGATCTGGGTTCAACTCATTTCTACATCATCTATGAGGTCTGAAAATTTGAGAAAAATTATTTCATTTCTCTGAGAATCATTAATTCATCTATAATACAAATCAAAATAAAATACCTCTTAAGTAGGGCTGCTGGACAGATTAAATGAAGTCATATCTATCATCTTTCTAGACTGGGTCTAGTGGGTAAAAAATAAATGTTAGGCCCAACCCATCACAAGAGATGTACACAAAGCATTACATAAACATGATGTGAAGTCCTCTCAACAGGAAAATGAGCCGGATGGCCTCTGAGGCTTCACCCATCCTCTAATTCTATGATCAGGACACCTCAGCAGCTTTTTGACTTGATGCTTTAATTGCAACCTGTGTTAGTGCTTGCTTTTACATCTGCACACATTGTAATTAAATAGATTGCAATTAACAGCGGGCAAAATTACCTTCACACTGTTTAAAAGAAGAAAACAAAACTGAGAAACTGATTGATCTCTGTAAGCTACCAATTTGGTTATTTCCAGGTGACATTCCTTAAAATAATATTGTTAAATTTTGATGTAGTGAGGAAATAACTGAAAATCCCCAGGATGAGTGAGGGGACAGTCTTTCAAGGAAAATATATGGAAATGGTGAAGAATCTTCCTGCTCTGTTAGGAAGAAGATAGTTCAGGTGTGTCCTGAGGAGTCCCAGATCTGCACAGGGTTCTGATAGACATTTAATAAATATTTGTTGATGTTGCTTAGTTCTTTTTTTTTTTAATTATACTTTAACTTTTAGGGTACATGTGCACAACGTGCAGGTTTGTTACATATGTATACATGTGCCATGTTGGTGTGCTGCACCCATTAACTCGTCATTTAACATTAGGTATATCTCCTAATGCTATCCCTTCCCCCAACCCTTACCGCACAACAGGCCCCGGTGTGTGATGTTCCCCTTCCTGCGTCCATATGTTCTCATTGTTCAATTCCCACCTATGAGTGAGAACATGCAGTGTTTGGTTTTTTGTCCTTGCAATAGTTTGCTGAGAATGATGGTTTCCAGCTTCATCCATGTCCCTACAAAGGACATGAACTCATCCTTTTTTATGGCTGCTTAGTATTCCATGGTGTATATGTGCCACATTTGCTTAATCCAGTCTATCATTGTTGGACATTTGGCTTGGTTCCAAGTCTTTGCTATTGTGAATAGTGCCGCAATAAATATACATGTGCATGTGTCTTTATAGCAGCATGATTTATAATCCTTTGGGTATATACCCAGTAATGGGATGGCTGGGTCAAATGGTATTTCTAGTTCTAGAGCCTTGAGGAATAGCCACACTGACTTCCACAGTGGTTGAACCACTGTGCAAAAGTATTCCTATTTCTCCACATCCTCTCCAGCACCTGTTGTTTCCTGACTTTTTAATGATCACCATTCTAACTGGTGTGAGATGGTATCTCATTGTGGTTTTGATTTGCATTTCTCTGATGGCCAGTGATGATGGGCATTTTTTCATGTGTCTTTTGGCTGCATAAATGTCTTCTTTTGAGAAGTGTCTGTTTATAACCTTTGCCCACTTGTTGATGGGGTTGTTTGGTTTTTTCTTGTAAATTTGTTTGAGTTCATTGTAGAGTCTGGATATTAGCCCTTTGTCAGATGAGTAGATTGCAAAAATTTTCTCCCATTCTGTGGGTTGCGTGTTCACTCTGATGGTAGTTTCTTTTGCTGTGCAGAAGCTGTTTAGTTTAATTAGATCCCATTTGTCAATTTTGGCTTTTGTTGCCATTGCTTTTGGTGTTTTAGACATGAAGTCCTTGCCCATGCCTATGTCCTAAATGGTATTGCCTAGGTTTTCTTCTAGGGTTTTTATGGTTTTAGGTCTAACATGTAAGTCTTTAATCCATCTTGAATTAATTTTTGTATATAAGGTAGTTCTTACTACTTTGCCATGACCTCTGACTGATGTACCCAGAATAGGCTGCTTCTTTTTGGTAGTACTACCAGGTAGAGTGGTTCTCCTTTGATATGGAAAAATCAAGAAATTCAGATTTTATTTCTTTTACTCTAGAATCAATGTACATGGAAAGCAGCAGTCCTAATCTGAGTCTATGCTGCATGTACTGCTGGTGCTCAGAAACTGCTCAAACTGCTCAATTTGCTCTTACTAAGCACCCACATCTATAGGAAACCCGTCGGGAGGGAACTCAGTCTAAGAGAGCTGTTAGGATTATCAACTGTCCTGATTTGCCTGGGACTGCCCAGATTTTAGCACTAAGTTTCTCATTCTTGGGATCTTCTCAGTCCAGGAGACTGGAGAAAGTTGATCATCACTTTGGGTACAACCTGCATGATGCAGAACAAAGCCTCAATGTGGTCTGAGTATATCGAGGTGTTTCTCACTCAGCTTTACCATCTCCTGGCCCAGCCACCTCACTTTCTCCCCAACCCATAGAGTCAGAATCTATATGGGAACAAGAAAAACAATGAAGAAAAATTAAGTGCACTGTTTCATTATCAAGGTACAAGCAGCACCATTTAGGGGTTCTCTGGAAGTGTAACATTAGAAGGAGCGAAAGAATTCTGCCGTATATTGTCGGAGGGCAGGGAATCGGGACCAGAGACTGCAGAACCACAGCAGCAATGCCCACAAGGGCTGCGGCACCTCTCAACAGAGCAACATCCATCTAAGAGGGAGTGGTGCCCAGCAGACAGTGCCTGCCCAGTGAAGGTGGCAGTGCCCAGCAGCAGGCAGATGGCGTAAGAGGAGACACAAACCCTGACTCACAAGAAACTGCCTACTGAGGCTTTGCAGGCACTTGGAACTCTGCATTAATATGTTTCAAGCAAGAACCAATAAGTTTATTTAAAAAAAACTATTTTAGTTCACTTCTAGTTATAAATACCATGCAATGAAATATAGAGCAAGAAAAGGAGGAGGAGAAATTGCCTCTTAAGTACAAAGGTATGTTATCATTTTTCACCTCAGAGTGATGAAATCCTGGTTTCAGCCAGTTGTTTTGTTTAATCCTTGGGTGGGTTATGTAATGCCTCAGGCTTTTTCACAGTTTTGACCATGTCTGCCCAAGGTTACTTTTCAGTAATAATATCAAATATTATAGCATAAAGCCCAGAGGAGCCTCAAAGTTTCAGTCTCCTTGCCCTAAGGCAGATTCTATATTATTACTATTATTGTTGTTATTATTGATATTTAACAGATCATTATTTTATAAGCAACTTGGGCCAAAAAAAGCTTGGTGAGGTCATTTGCTCAAAGTCACCCAGCTAGGGTTTGGAGGAGAGATTGAAATGTAGGATTGAGTGATAGAGGTGGTTGCTGTTTCTCAGTAAAGATGGTTGCCTTTACTCATTAAATCCTGGCTATTAAAACACTTCACTCACACTCCTGTATCTTATGGGAGCAGATGTTTCTAGCATGCTCTTAAGTTGCTCAAGCCTGATCCTTCTCTGTTTCCCAGGGTGAAAAGCCTGCAGCCCAATTCTCACTGTCAATCCCTCCCTTGCTCCCTTCCTATGTCCAGAATAAAAGTAGTCTGATGTACTTAATTTGTACTTAACTTTTGTTTTGGAGGGCTTCAACCATTTAGAAAAAGAATCCCAGGACAAAGCAATGGAGAATTTATTAACACATGCTGTGACAGAGCACAATCCTAAACACACATTTGCTCTTACTAAGCCACTAACTTTGCAAACTTAGGAAAATCACTTAACGCTCTGATCCTCTCTCTCCCTACTGTAAAATAATGGCCCCTAAGAAGTAGAGAAATATAATAAAGGTAAAGATGGATGCCTGGAGAAAAGGAAGAAAAGGAGGAATAGAGGGAAGGAGGAGGGACAGAAGGAAGAGACAGAAGAAAGAAAGAAAAGTGGTTGAAATTAGGAAATCCAAGAAGATCCATTTCAACCAATACAAAGAATGACAGTTTCTTGGTGGTGTGGCAAGCCAGGTTTCACTAACGCAGGCCTCCATCACAACTGTTTCAGTACTGAGTAGTTAAGTTAAATATTAAAAGCTAAAAAAGCCAGTGCCCTTATACAAAGCATGGAATGTAACAAAAGCCATGAAGAGTTTTGCCTAGGCTTTCCCTGGGCCTTAAAGCATGACAAAATAATGAAGGAATTCTTAACAGGACCAATTTAGAATTAAACAAGTTTATTGGGGGTCTGAAGAAACTCACCAGGCCTCCACAAACAAGTTTATTGGAGGTTTGAAGGAACTCCTCAAACCTCTGTGATTTAGCAGGAGGCAAGATAAGGGTATTCACCCCAGAACCTAGACCCATTGAGATTAAGTCAACTTACTGAGGCTCCACAAGAAGGTCTTCAGGACTCAGACCTTACTTATAGATTAAAAGAAGTTAATCCCTTCTGTCTTTAAATGAATGCACACTTACACCTAGATATATAGCTTAGAAACTATATAAGCTCTGAAAAACTTTGCAATTTTGAGTTGGTCTGGTGATAATTTCCAGGCCTCCCTGTAAGTGGTTACAAAAATAAAAACTCTCTTCCTCCCCAGTTCATCTGCATCTCCTTATTGGGTGGTGAGAAATAGCAGCCCAATCCTCAGTTTGGTCAGGGAACATCAGGAATGGGAGAGAAAACACAGCTTCTTTAAATCCAGGGTTCTTATGCCCTAGGTCAGAAAGCTCAGGCCCAGAGGGGCCATGTAAATTGTCCCAGGCTCACATAGTGGCTGTCCACAGAAGGACAGCTGAGAACCAGCCCCTTCTCCAGGCTCCCAGCCCAGCATGATTTCTACTGCACAGCTCCTCCTTCTCCCACTGAAGACTTGGTGTTAGAACTAATTTTGAGCAATATCCAATACAAATAATATTTCCTCAAAAAGTAGTCCTTTCTGCTAGGCTAGGAATTTGTACTTAGGGAATGTATCGCCATAAAAAATTTTGACCTATAATACACAAACTTTAAATAGCCAGTTGGTGTTTTTTCCTATTTGAAAAAAGAAACAACAGAAAGGAAGGGAAGGAGGGAGAAAGGGAGAGAAGGAGGGAGGGAGGAAAGAAGAAAAGAAAGAAAAAAAGGAAGGAAGGAAGGAAGTCAGGTAGGGAGGGAAAAAGGGAAGATGAAAGCCCTAACACTTAATGATTAATGATTATATTCACCACCTTTTCAGCTGCAAAAATGGGCCAGGGGGCAAGCCCTGCAGGATCCAATGACTTACAGAAAATAGATGTTGACTATTGTAGTGACTGAAGAGTCTCACTTCAGCTCAGAGTATGAGGAGCAGAGGAGAAACATAAAGGAGCAGAGCCATAGACCAGAGTTGCAAAATTCATTAAGCAATGAGAAAACACTGTTCTTCATGGTTAAAAAAGACAGAGTTGGAACTTCATGCCTGGGACTGACTTGACTCAAAGGTAATCTTTCAGTTGTCTAGGAATGCAATGAAGGTGGCCTGTACTGGTTAAAAATAAAGTAACAGTGAACAATATCTGTATTAGTCCATTCTCACACTGCTGTAAAGAACTATCTGAGACTGGGTAATTTATGAAGAAAAGAGGTTGAATTGACTCACAGTTCTGAGGACTGTTCAGGAGGCATGGGTGAGGAGGCCTCAGGAAACTCACAATCTGGTGGAAGCGTGAAGGGAAAGCAAGCACCTTCTTCACATGGCACAGTGGACTGGGTGGTGGGGGAGGGAGAGAGACAGAGAGACAGAGAGAGAGAGAAAGCATTAAGGTGGAAGTGCTACATACTTTTGTGTTTTTTTGTTTTGTTTTGTTTTGTTTTGTTTTTGAGACGGAGTCTCGCTCTGTCGCCCAGGCTGGAGTGCAGTTGCGCCATCTCTGCTTACTGCAAGCTCCGCCTCCCGGGTTCACGCCATTCTCCTGCCTCAGCCTCCGGAGTAGCTGGGACTACAGGCGCCCGCCACCATGCCGGGCTAATTTTTTGTATTTTTAGTAGAGACTGGGTTTCACCATGTTAGCCAGGATGGTCTCTATCTCCTGACCTCGTGATGCGCCTGCCTCAGCCTCCCAAAGTGCTGGGATTACAGGCGTGAGCCACCGCGCCCGGCCGGAAGTGCTACATACTTTTAAACAACCAGATCTTGTGAGAACTCACTCACTATCATGAGACCAGCAAGGGGGAAATCTGCCTTCATAATCCAATCACCTCCCACCAGGTCCCTCTCCGAACACTGGGAATTATAATTCGACATGAGATTTGGGTGGGGGACACAGAGCCAAATCATATCAATATCTAAAACCTTATGTAGTGCAGCAAAGTAATTTATGTCCCAGATTTTTAGAATGATCCCTTAGTGTCTTGGTATTTATGTGAAAAATTTGTTTTTGTTTTTTTTTTTTTAATCAGAACTTCTTATAGGACTATTTCCTGCAATACTTACTAATGGGAAGTATTTTCATTGAGCATTCATGAACTTTTTTGCACAAAATAGAAGATCAAGAAATGTTAATTCAATTTAGTTTGACAGAATAAAGGGTACAATCACATAGTTCTCAACCCCCTGAATATGAAGAGATTAGAAATGATAGCCTCTTAAAAGTCAAATAATGTGTCCATAATGAAACCAGAAAAATTACTTGCCTACTAGCATTTAAATAACTCTCAAGAGTTACATAATATTTTTCCACTTAAAAAAATTAGAAAGCATAATGAGTAAAGCATCTGTCAGATTTCTTATGTCCCAGCTGATACCTCAATCTTCCAAGGGGCTAGTTTCTCATTCCTATATAATTCTTTACTCATAATTCTATCTTTTGTCTTTCTTTGAAAGATGTTTTTTTTTTCTGAAACAATCCCACCATGGTTAACAGATGCCACTGTGTACACAAACATCTCAGTCCTCAAAGTTATAGGAAGATCAGTATTCTGTCTTCTTGAGAAATGCTTTCCCCTCAGCCCAACAGTATATTTCTGTTGTCATGCAAAACCCAGTCTAATCAACCTAAGACAAACATATGGAAAAATACATCATAGATTTCCAGATGAATTCTTGCATTTTATCTGGAATCAATCTATGTAACAAATATAAGTGTTGATATTTTTATAAAGACTATGTTCACCATGAACTACAAAGAAAAAGGAGTTCTAAAAGGCATGAATCCATGCATTCATATCCAGGAATTATTTCCACATTTAGCAACTACTTCTCCCATGCAAAGATTTTACCAAATCATTGTCTAAAATTGTCTCTTTTTGTTCTACAAAGAAAAGTGGATTCCCACCTTAAAGTTGCTTGGTGGGAATTTGCCTCAATTCAGTTCCTATTCTCCATTTCCTTTAATATTCTCCTCACCTCTCTAACAGGACACTGGAAAAGGAAAACAATACTGTTTGGGCCAATAGCATTGAAAAAAAGAGTTGTAAAATGATTACTTAATATGGACAGTTCAAGTGAAAGAAGTGGAGACTCTTGCATTTTTGAACTGCTTTTCATTTCTCATTATACATGACCTACTTCAATCAGCTTCGACCTTTGAAATTTTGTTCCCTAACACAGCTAAAATAAGGTCTCTTCCTTTTTCTCTCTCCTTCTCTGCAGCCCTGTTAGATAAAGTCTCACTTTGGGTTGCTGTCCAAGAAGTTCTTAGTTAATTGCATGTAATTATGCTGCATCCTACTTTCAAATGCTAGAGCAATTTCTTGTATCCTTGTAATACAATATGACTGAAAGCTCCAATAGTTGTAGCGTCCCAGTGAGTGGCTCCCTTCCCTTCTGAGGGTTTTATAATGCCAGAGGACTTTGCTGAGTGGCAGTGATCTTTAAGTATAAGGCAAGACATTGAGATAAATTAGTAATAGCAGCTACTGACAGTGTTCCCTTGGGCCCTGCTCAGGTCTTTGCCAAGGGGCCACATCACTAAGCCAGTGACACTCCTCCTTCAGACGTTAAAGATAAATAAATGATCAGGTCAGTCAGCTGGCAGCTGGCATGTTCATCCTATCTGGTAGGAAGATTTTTATTGTAATGCAAACTTCAAAATTAAAAAAACAAAATGTCATCTGGGGCCAGAGTCGATTTTTTGGAATTTCTTGCGTTCATTGTGTTGTATTGTCTTTAGAGTAAGTCTACTTTTATTTTAAGAGGTATAGTGCCTTCTAGCGGACTGGAAATTCTCTTCAGCTAGTTCAAACCTTACATAGCTGGAGACTCAAGCATATCCTGATACTCATCACACTAAGCAAAGCAATCTCAGGTCATTTAGAAGAATTTTGATTTGTATCTGTATTTTGGCTGAGAGGCAAAGGGAAATCTATTGATGTTTGGGCACTTTAATTTTTTTAAAAACCTAAGCAAGAACTTAATAATCAAAAATCATTCTGTCTCGCTTGTAGAATCCTGAGTTCAGGAAAGAGACATTATATCATACTCATCCCAAAAACTCAGTAGTTTGTTGCTGAGACATTGTTATCCCTTTGGAAGTCAGGATTGCCAGTTCAGCGCTTGGGAAGTCATTTAATTTCTCCAGGTAAGTTCCTCTAGCCTGCAATTAGAGGACACTGACAGTAGGTGGAGATTTTTTTTTTTTTTTTTTTTGTGGAGACAAGAGTCTCGCTCTGTCACCCAGGCTGGAGTGCAGTGGCGCAATCTTGGCTCACTGCAACCTCCTCCTTCCGGGTTCAAGCAATTCTCTTGCCTCAGCCTCCTGGGTAGCTGGGATTACAGGTGCCCACCACCACACTCGGCTAATTTTTATATTTTTAGTAGAGACAGGATTTCACCATCTTGGCCAGGCTGGTCTGGAACTCCTGACCTCGTGATCCACCCGCCTCAGGCTCCCTAAGTGCTGGGATTACAGGCGTGAGCCACTGCACCCGGCCAAAATCCTCCCTTTCAATTGGAGTCCCTCCTCCAAATTCCTCCTATGTAGACATTCTGGAGCCTCTTACAAAATATCTGCATTTTCTGTTGATTGGTATTTTATTAATAGAGATGCTCCCTAGCATTAGATAAAATATTTTTCCTCACAGAGTCTTATTTTGCTAATTTGTAAAACAGGAATAATTCATTCATGTGTTCAACAAATTAATGGAGTAGCACCACATGCCAGGTACCAGGCAAGTCACTGAGGAATGAAAGCCAAGTCACCTGCAGTAAGAGCTTTCCTAGGAACTCACAATTGGGGATGACAATACCAGCCTTATAGAAGTGTCTTTAAAACTAAATAGAGAAAACTGTGTGAAAAATGTTACACACTCAGCCCACAGTAGCAGCTTTTAAACAACAAAAATGTATTTTGTTTTACTTTTCGAAAACCAAATCTCTTTCAGAAGAACCTGTTGCACTGGTATATACACCACAAACTCAGTGTTTCTTCAAACAGATATTTGAAATGGTTTTAACCAGAACTGTAACATAAATTTCAAATCTCCAAACCCTGGCCACACATTTCTAAAACGTCTGCCTCAGTATTTTAAGATTCAAACACCCCTACAAAAGGCCAGTGACTCTTACAAAACCTAGAAAACAAAATTCTGAAATGAAGAAAGTGAAAAAATGTATATATTCTAGAGGTATTTATTTCTAAAGGCAAGTCAGCATCTACACAGATCAGTACTGACAACTGGCTTTCAAAGACTCTGTGAATGTTCTAAGTTATTATTGTTTCCCTTCTGCCCCATTGTCATAGGGCCATTAGACAAATCAGGCTTCTGCCCCATTGTCATGGGCCATTGGAGAAATCAGGCCATTGGAGAAATCAGACTCATTGGCTCCAAGTTATCTGGAACAATCACAGGCCTAGTATGGGGCTGAAGGACAGGTGAAGAAAGGAAGAACAAGGTTCCCTCTCCTCTTTGCAGACTTGCTGGGGCTTGGCAGTCAGTTGTGTGACATTGAGTCAACTATTTAACTTTCTAATCATCACTTTCCCCATCTCTGATGTGAGAGCAGTCATTGTATGTTCCTCATGGCATTGACAGGAGGACAGAGTGGGACTCAACACCTATCTGCCATACACCTGCTTATTTAGGGCTCTCATAAAGACCTCACAGGCATATTTGTCTTCTTTGCAGGGATGTTCTCTATAATAGTCCCCTAGCAACAACAACAACATCACCATCACCATCACTGTCATTTACATGCTGCATAATGGAGATTCACTGAGCATCTTCTGAGCAGAGAGGAGACCCAAGCAAAAAAAGAAAGAGAACTAAGCCTGAGACTTTCTGAAGCTTGTTAAAAAGTACAATAAAAAAAAACAAAAGTGATCATTAGTAGGGCATTTATTATGTGATAGTCAAGGAACTAAACACTTTTTATCCACTGTGTCTTCTTCAGTTCTCCCACCAGCCATCCTATGAGGAAGATGCTATTACTACCTCACATTTTAGAAATCAGATAACTAAGGATTAGAAAATAAAATTACTTGTTTAATGTCACGCTGCTAGAAGTGGCAGAGCTCTCAGTGCCAAGCCTGCAACCTCCACAAAGAGGAGAAGAAATAGTGTACCTCTTTCATTCACCCAAATCCCAGCCCTCAGGTGTAAGAGAGGCCAGAAAACTTGCCAAGTCTGATAACTCAAGGAAGTCTCATTTTCTGATTTTTTGTAATGTAGAGTCTACGCTTCTTTCCTTTCCCTCACAAAGCATCCTCACCATCTACTCAGAAGGTAAAGACAGTTAACTACTAAGCAAAACAGAAGTCAGGTAAATAAATTTTTAAAGATGATATAGCCTTATTTTTAGTAAGTATTTTTCTTGGGGTTAATGGGCACAATCTTGGTCTGGGAATAAAGCCACGTAATTAAAAGATTCCCTTGCCTCTTTAATTTTTTTTCTTTTTTCATTGTATCAAAGACAGTAGATACAAAAGAAAGACACTTAGAAGGAGCCAGCGGTGTGTCTGTCATCAGCCTGAAAGCTGGGATTGTAGACCCCAAGTTGCAGACAGAGTACGGCGTGTGATTAAGGGAATGTCCTGCCTCTTTGATGTGAGTCCAAGGCAGAGGAGTTCCACCAGAGAAAAAGGTGGGAGCTCAGGGGCTTGCCTTGAATAGGCAACAAAATCAGATGAATAGCTGAAAGTAGCTAACTTTGGCAGAAGACATGGTACAAAAAGGCCTTCATCACAGCACGGCAAAATGCACCACATAGAAGGCCTACCTCTTTATAAAGACACAAGCTCAGCTGATGTGCATGATTCTGGCAACTGACACAGAAAGAATGTTTGTCCTTAAGCTGAAATTTGAAACAAATGTTCACTCTTTTCTCCAAGGCACACTCAGGAAAGATATTGTGATCTTTCTTTCCATGTATAAGGAAAAGGAAGCATACAAACAGAATGATGTTTGTCCCAAGCCCACATAACAGTCAGTATCAGGAAGACAATAAAAATATATGTGCCTCTGGCTCCCAGAATACTGGAATATTTGGAAAATAACAAGGTGAAGCTTGCCACCTATTTCCTTTCTGTGAGTCAAAAATAGAAAATGCAAAATTATGACATAGACTCCATTCTAATAATACAAACACCAACTCTATATTTTATGCTTATATAAAAATTAAACATTAAATTTAAATATTTAAATTCCCTCTATGGATTGCCATGTGAATAATATATTTAAAGGTGCTAATGCATGATATAAGCATAATAATTACCTAATAATTAATATCACAAATTCTTGTTTATTTTATGATCAGATCCTTCTAGTGGCCATTTTGGCTATTGTGTGAATATCTTTAATATAACAAATAGTTTTAATAAGCCATTTATTGTCATATAATTATTCATAATAAAGAATCACTGAGTATTTAACTATGTATCAGAAAATGTAATGAATACAAATCTACCCTCACTTGGCCCTGAAATTTCTTGAAATCGAAATGTCTTCAAAGTTACTCTTAAATTGTACAATAGAAGAATCTAAAAATTTTACAATTTCTATGGAGCTCAAAATGGCTAGTCACTGATTTTCAAAGGTGATGTGGCTTGGCTTTGAGATGAGAAAGAATCCCACAGTCATGGCCATTAGAGAGAGTGAAGAACCTAAAACACTCTTCAAAGGTTTAGAATTTTGACTGCAGCAACTGGTAGCCTCAAGCATTACAAAGGGAGATCAAGTGGCAGTGTCTTCAACTAACAAAACACAGAAGAGGAGAAGTCCAGCATTTTAAGAATTATCTAAGAGCTGATTTAATCCTAAAGGAAAACACATGTCCTCTCTTTGGCTCGAAATCAATGTACTTGTCATATCTTTGTGATCCCTGATGACAACCAAGAAGTTCCAAAGGATGATTCCACACAATCATGAAGTCAATGCATCGAAAAGGCACTTTACTTCTTAGGCACTGAGTCTACTCAAAGACATCGTGAAGTTTTTTTAAAAAAAAGGCTGAAAGATCATAAAAATAGAAAATAGAATGGTTATCTCCAGAGGTTGGGGAGAGGGAGAAATGGGGAGTTTAAGGGATATAGATTTTTCATTTTGCAAGATGAAAAAGTTCTGGAGTTTGTTAATTGCATGACAATGTGAATATATTTAACATTATTGAACTGTACACTTAAAAATGTTACAATGGTAAATTTTATGTTCTATGTATTATGAATCTTTTTAATTGGCTAAATGAGAAAGTCTTAATTCAGTGTGAAGTTCAGGAACTACATTCAAAAGTTTGTTTATATCTTTTTCAGAAAAGCTTTAGAGATGCTCAATTGGGCAAAAGTTTTCAGTATTTTTCTAGAAACAAATTCTATAAGCTTGCGGGCAAATGATATATTTGTTATAATACCTTGAACCTTCATGCTATTGAGTATATTATGCTAGAATAACACAAGATCTGTCTTTCATTTGGTGGACCAGAACATTCGTAAACATTTTCCTGCTAACCAGTTTCTCCTCTAGCATTCTTATATCCTCCAGACAAAGTCACCTGGCCTAGAGAATTACCCATAAATCTTTTTTAAGATTGCATCTCCTTTTACAATGCAACTCTGTGTAAAATTTCTCATCTTTACCTTCATAACTCCTCTGTGACAGGAAGACAGAGGATGAATTGTTTTAAGCTCTCTATACATATTAATTTATTCTCATAAGAAGCCTATGAAATAGATACTAGTAAAGGTGATTAAAACTGAGGCACATTGGGGTTAAAAAAAACTTACTAAAGTCTTTCAGTTAGAAAGATGTGGCACCAGAATTCAAACCCGCAAGTCTGACCCACATATACTCTATGCCTGTTACACTACACCTCTGCTGATGAAAGTAAATGGGAAACCTACACAGAAAATAATTTCAGAGACGTCACAATTGTACTAGTCCATACTTTTCAGAAAATAAAACAGAAAATGAAAAGCAACCTTAACTTCTGGAAGTGATTAAAAATGGAACTGATGAAGCTCTCATCCTAAAAGCAGGAACGTCATCTCTTACATTCTCTTGCTGCTTTCATGTGCTTACATATTGTCTCACACCATAGTTTAATTTCAGGAATCTTTTAAATCTATATATCCATTTTGTGGGGGTTAACTTAGACCAGATAATATGAACCATAAGTATATATAACTGTATGCACATAAACCTCCATGCTCCACAATACACCAAAAGCAACAAAATAAATGGTAACACCATTGTCAAATCCCCCCACACCCATGTAGTTAAACTCCCACTTATCCCTTGCAATACTTTATGATTATATGACATCCGGCCATCTGATATATAATCAGGGTAAGCATTCCAGTGTCAATTTGGATACTAAATAGGAAAAAAACTAATTTCTTTTTAATTTGTTCAATATATAACATATGCTGAATGCCATAAAAAGTGATACAAAACAACACAAAATCAAAATGCACAGTAATGCTGAATAAAATATAATTGGCAGCAATTCAAATGCAGAGTGAGCTTGAAAGAAAATAAGAAAATTTCAGGAGCAAAAGGGAAGGGAATGCTGGAAACCAGGAATGGCAGCTACAGCTGACTTGGGCGTATTTGCCAGTCTTGGTAAAACAAGAGCCTTGCCTTCTGACAGCCACACAGGAGCTAGGAGACATGGTAGGAGGTGAAACCAAGGCTCCTGTAAAAAGCCCAAGTGGTATAAAGCCTGCAAACTCAGTGGTAGAATACAATCCAACAAATAATTAAAAATCTGCCTGTTGAAAATGAAGGTGTCTGTCCTAGTCTGGGTTCAGGAAGGAAAAGAAGATTCCCCTAGGCATTCTTAATCCCATGCCTAACCTTGCATGGGTTTAGAATTTAAATTGCTACAGCCAAAGTGGTTGAAGCAAAAACCAAAAACAAACACAAAACAGACATGGTATTAACTTAAAATACTCTCAGACTAGTAGTCCCCCAGAGTGCCACTTACAAGTAAACCCAAGTCAACTATGGAGAGAAATGTCATTAATCCAGGCTCAAAAGATTCCCAAAGATAAAGCACCACAAAACATGGGTTCAAAATCCAAAAGCATAAAATTACTCAAGCTATTAAGAGTGACAACCAACAGAAACAACCACCAACAGAATTAGATCCCCAGGAATTATCATATATGTAATACAAAAAAATAGTAAAAATATTTAAATAAATTTAAGTGGAATAAACAATATGAGCAAGGAAAAGTAACCATCAAAAGTTTCTAGGAAAAAACTAAAGAAGCACTAAGAAGAAATTCAGTGAGTGGGTTAAACCACAGAATACACACAGCTAAGATGAGCATTATTGAGCTAAAAGTTACACCTGAAGAAATTACCTATCATGCAGCATAGCAAGACAAGCTGAGAAAATATATGAGAGAGATTAAGAAACTCAGAATTGAACGAGGCAACACCACACACAGCATATTTTTGGGAATGGATAAGACTGATTATTTAGCCTTGTTTCAAGGTTACCTTAATATCAGTTTTCTCCTGAAGTGGTAAATAAAGAAATAAAACTAAGGTGGTAAAAGTGAAATGAAGATTATTCCCATTGCTGCCCCTTTTGCAACATTCAGAAGCACATCCAGGATGTTTTGCTCCTGAAAGTAATGCGGCATGAGACATCCTGGTTACAGAGCCTAGACTTGATCTTTAAAGATCAAACTATCGGCCAGGAACAGTGGCTCACACCTGTAATCCCAGCACTTTGAGAGGCTGAGGCAGGTAGATTGCTTGAGCCCAGGAGTTCAAGACCATCCTGGGAAACATGGCAAAACAATGTCTCTACAAAAAAATACAGATTAGCAGGGCATGGTGGTGTATGCCTATAGTCCCACCTACTCAGGAGGCTGAGGTCAGAGGATCACTTGAGTCCAGGAGGCAGAGGTTGCAGTGAGCTGAGATCACACTACTACACTCCAGCCTGGGCAATAGAGTAAGACTTTATCTCAAAAAACAAACAAAAAAAACTATTATCAAGTAACTTAACTGTTCCAGAACAAACCTCAAGAGTAGTTGATGAGGATATAAATATGCAGGACTCAACAAGGTAATATTCAAAATGCCCAGCATCATATTAAAAATTTACCAGACATACAAAAAAGCAGAAAAATATGATCCATAATAAGAAAAACATCACTCCATCAAAACCAACACAGGAGAGAAACAGATAGAATTATGAGTACATTAGAAGTTATATTCACATGTTCAACAAGTTAGGAGAAAAAATAAACATATTAAATACATGAAACAAACAAAAAATACCTAAATCAAACTTTTAGAGAAGAAAACTACAATGGTGGAGATTTAAATATACAATGGATGATATTAACATCAAATTAGACATTGCAGAAGGAAAGATTAGTGAATTAGAAAATATAGCAATTGAAACTATCCAAAATAAAACATAAAGAGAAAAAAAGACTGAGAAAAAATAAAGCATTTGTGAGTTTTGAAACATCTTTAAGCAGTATGTGCATATACATATAGTCTCTCAAGTATATATACGTATGTGTGTGTGTATATATATGTGTATATATATATGAATAAATATATATGTATATATATTTCTCTCAGGAGAAAGAGAGACATCTTAAAGAAGGCAAGTTGCATGGGAAAACAACAGAAAAAATCATGGCTGCATATTTCCAAAATTTGATAAAAATCATAAATACAAAAACTCAATAAACTCAAAGAATGTCAAGAACAAGAAACATCAATAAAACTCAGCAAAACACACTATAATGAAATTGCTTTGAACCAATAATAAAAAACTTAAAAGCATCCAGGAACTAAAACACATTACATACAGAGGAAAAAATGATAAAGATGATGGCAGACATCAACAACAGTGCAAGTGAGAAGACAGTAGGGTAATCTTTTTAAAGTATTGAATGATTTTTTTAAAAACTGTCAACTTACAATTCTTAACTCAGTGAAAATATACTTTGACAAAGTGGCAAAATAATAGCTTTTTCAGAAGTACCAAAGCTGAAAAAAAATCATCACACATCTGCACTAGGAGAAATGTTAAAGGAAGTTTTCAAAGCAGAAGGGAAATTTTTTTTGAGTGGAAAATCTATTTTTATGTGTTTATAACAGAAGGGAAATGGTTATCAAGTGGAAATCTTGATCTATACAAAGAAATGAAAAGCACCATAAGTGGTAACTACATTGTTAAATATAAAAGCTTTTAAGAAAATTATTTAAATCTCTTTAAAAGAAAATCAGCTGTTTCAAGCAAAAATAAAAACACTATATTTTCAGGGTTTATTACATGTAGAGATGTAAAAATGGATAATGACAATAGCATAAAGTCTGGGAGGGGACAAATGAAATGATTCTGTTGTAAGATTCATATACTATACATAAAGTACAGGAATAACATTTGAAGATCAACTATGATAAGTTACAGATAAATACAACTCACTGAGAAAAATGGAAAATGAAAATCACACACAAAAATAAAAATACAATAAATATTCAATAAATATATTTTTATTTTTATTTATTTATTTTTGAGACAGAGTCTCACTATGTTGTCCAGGCTGGAGTGCAGTGGCATGATCCCAGCTCACTGTAACCTCTGCCTCCTGGGTTCAAGTGATTCTCCTGCCTCAGCCTCCCAAGTAGCTGGGATTACAGGCATGCACCATCACACCCAGATAATTTTTGTATTTTTAGTAGAGATGGGATTTCCCTGTATTGGCCAGACTGGTCTTGAACTCCTGAACTCAGGTGATCTACCCACCTTGGCCTCCAAAACTGTTGGGATTACAAGTGTGAGCCACCGTGGCTGGCCAGTTCTATAAATTTAAAGCAACTTCTGAAATAACAAAACACAGTTATAGTTATTAAGCCAACAAAATAGATAAAATAGATGGAAAAAATAATATTAAAATAATCCTAGAGAAGGCAGAAAAAGAGGGAAAAGGGAATAACAAACACCTGGGTAAAATAGAAAACAAATATGAAAATAGTAAATATAAAATTAACCATATCAATTATTACATTAAATGTAAATGTCTAATGACCTCAAATAAAAGGTAAAGATTTTCATATTTGATTTTTAAAAAGCAAGGCCCAGTTACATGCTGCCTTCAAGAAACATACTTAAAATATGACAACACAGATAGGTTAAAAGCAGAAGCACAGAAAAAATGCAACTTGCCAACACTCAAAAAGAAAGCTTTATGCATTTACCGTGATGTGATTATTACACATTTGTATACCTGTATAAAAATATCTCATATGCCTTATAAATATATCTACCTACTATGTACCCAAAAAATTTAAAATAAAAAAAAATTTAAACAAAAAAGAAAAGCTGCAATGGCTTTGTATTATTTTATTTTTATTTTATTTTTAAATTATACTTTAAGTTATAGGGTGCATGTGCACAACGTGCAGCTTTGTTACATATGCATACGTGTGCCATGTTGGTGTGCTGCACCCATTGACTCGACATTTACATAAGTTATGTCTCCGAATGCTATGCCTCCCCCAGCCCACCACCAGATGATACGGCCCAGTGTGTGATGTTCCCCACCCTGTGTCCAAGTGTACTCATTGTTCAATTCCCACCTATGAGTGACAACATGTGGTGCTTGGTTTTCTGTCCTTGCAACGGATTGGTCAGAATGATGGTTGGTTTCCAGCTGCATCCATGTCCCTACAAAGGACATGAACTCATCTTTTTATGGCTGCATAGAATTCCATGGTGTATATGTGCCACATTTTCTTCATCCAGTCTATCACTGATGGACATTTGGGTTGCTTCCAAGTCTTTGCTATTGTGAATAGTGCCTCAATAAACATACCTGTGCATGTGTCTTTATAGCAGCATGATTTATATTCCTTTGGGTATATACGCAGTAATGGGATGGCTGGGTCAAATGGTAATTCTAGTTCTAAATCCTTGAGGAATCACCACAGTGTCTTCCACAATGGTTGAACCAGTTTACAGTCCCATCAACAGTGTAAAACCATTCCTATTTCTCCAAATTCTCTCCAGCACCTGTTGTTTCCTGAATGTTTAATCATCACCATGCTAACTAGTATGAGAGAGTATCTCATTGTGGTTTTGATTTGCATTTGTCTGATAGCCAGTGATGATGAGCATTTTTTCATGTGTCTGTTGGCTGCATAAATATCTTCTTTTGAGAAGTGTCTGTTCGTATATTTCACCCACTTTTTGATGGGGTTGTTTGATTTTTTCTTGTAAATTTGTGTAAGTTCTTTGTAGATTCTGGATGGTAGAATCTACATCTTTGTAGATTCTGGGTGGTAGAATCTACCCTTTGTCAGATGAGTAGATTGTAAAAATGTTCTCCCATTCTATAGGTTGCCTGTTCACTCTGATAGTAGTTTCTTTTGCTGTGCAGAAGCTCTTTAGTTTAATTAGATCCCATTTGTCAATTTTGGCTTTTGTTGCCATTGCTTTTGGTGTTTTAGTCATGAAGTCCTTGCCCATGCCTATGTCCTGAATGGTATTGTCTAGGTTTTCTTCTCAGGTTTTTATGGTTTTAGGTCTAACATTTGAGTCTTTAATCCATCTTGAATTAATCTTTGTATAAGGTGTAAGGAAGGGATGTAGTTTCAGCTTTCTACATATGGCTAGCCAGTTTTCCCAACACCATTTGTTAAATAGGGAATCCTTTCCCCATTTCTTGTTTTTGTCACGTTTGTCAAAGATCAGAGGGTTGTAGATGTGTGGTATTATTTCTGAGGGTTCTGTTCTGTTCCATTGGTCTATATGTCTCTTTTGGTACCAGTACCATGCTGTTTTGGTTACTGTAGCCTTGTAGTATAGTTTGAAGTCAGATAGCATGATGCCTTCAGCTTTGTTCTTTTTGCTTAGGATTGTCTTGGCAATGCAGGCTCTTTTTTGGTTGCATATGGACTTGTAAGTAGTTTTTTCCAATTCTGTGAAAAAAATCATTGGTAGCTTGATGGGGATGGCGTTGAATCTATAAATTACCTTGGGCAGTATGGCCATTTTCACGATATTGATTCTTCCTATCCATGAGCATGAAATATTCTTCCATTTGTTTGTGTCCTCTCTTTCATTGAGCAGTGGTTTGTAGTTCTTCTTGAAGAGGTCCTTCACATCCCTTGTAAGTTGGATTCCTAGGTATTTTATTCTCGTTAGAGCAATTGTGAATGGGAGTTCACTCATGATTTGGCTCTCTGTTTGTCTGTTATTGGTGTATACGAATGCTTGTGATTTTTGCACATTGATTTTTATCCTGAGACTTCGCCAAAGTTGCTTATCAGCTTAAGGAGATTTTGGGTTGAGACAACAGGGTTTTCTAAATATACAATCATGTCCTCTGCAAACAGGGACAATTTGACTTCCTTTTTTCCTAATTGAATACCATTTATTTCTTTCTCCTGCCTGATTGCCCTGGCTAGAACTTCCAACACTAGGTTGAATAGGAGTGGTGAGAGAGGGCATCCCTGTCTTGTGCCAGTTTTCAAAGGGAATGCTTCCAGTTTTTTCCCATTCAGTATGATATTGGCTGTGGGTTTGTCATAAATAGCTCTTCTTATTTTAAGATACATCCCATCAATACCTAGTTCATTGAGAGTTTTTAGCATGAAGGGCTGTTGAATTTTGAAAAAGGCCTTTCCTGCATCTATTGAGATAATCATGTGGTTTTTGTCTTTGGTTCTGTTGATATGATGGATTATGTTTATTGATTTGAGTATGTTAATCCAGCCTTGCATCCCAGGGATGAAGTCAACTTGATCATGGTGGATAAGCTTTTGATGTGCTGCTGGATTCGGTTTGCCAGTATTTTATTGAGGATTTTTGCATTGATGTTCATCAGGAATATTGGTCTAAAATTCTCTTTTTTTGTTTTGTCTCTGCCAGACTTTGGTATCAGAAAGACGCTGGCCTCATAAAATGAGTTAGGGAGAATTCCCTCTTTTTCTATTGATCGGAATAGCTTCAGAAGGGATGGTACCAGCTCCTGTTTGTACCTTTGGTAGAATTCAGCTGTGAATCTGTCTGGTTCTGGACTTTTTTTGGTTGGCAGGCTATTAATTATTGCCCCAATTTCAGAGCCTGTTATTGGTCTATTCAGGGATTCAACTTCTTCCTGGTTTAGCCTGGGATGGTGTATGTGTCCAAGAATTTATCCATTTCTTCTAGATTTTCTAGTTTATTCGTGTAAAGGAGTTTATAGTATTCTCTGATGGTAGTGTGTATTTCTGTGGGATTGGTGGTGATATCTTCTGTATCATTTTTTATTGTATCTATTTGATTTTTCTCTCTTTTCTTCTTTATTAGTCTTGCTAGCAGTCTCTCAATTTTGTTGATCTTTTCAACAAACCAGCTCCTGGATTCATTGATTTTTTGAAGGGTTTTTTATGTCTCTATCTCCTTCCGTTCTGCTCTGATCTTAGTTATTTTTTGCCTTCTGCTAGCTTTTGAATGTGTTTACTCTAGCTTCTTTTTTTTAAAAACATATATATATATATGTTATACTTTAAGTTCTAGGGTACATGTGCACAATGTGCAGATTTTTTACATATGTATGCATATACCACGTTGGTGTGATGCACCCATTAACTCATCATTTACATTAGGTATATCTCCTAATGCTTTTCTAGGGTGTCAATTTTAGATCGTTCCTGCTTTCTCTTGTGGGCATTTAGTGCTATAAATTTCCCTCTACACACCACTTTAAATGTGTCCCAGAGATTCTCGTATATTGTGTCTTTGTTCCCATTGGTTTCAAAGAACATCTTTATTTCTGCCTTCATTTCATTATGAACTCAGTAGTCATTCAGAAGCAGATTGTTCAGTTTCCATGTAGTTGAGTGGTTTGAGGGAGTTTCTTAATCCTGAGTTCTAATTTGATTGCAGTGTGGTCTGAGAGACAGCATGTTATCATTTCTGTTCTTTTACATTTGCTGAGGAGTGCTTTACTTCAGACTATTTGGTCAATTTTGGAGTAAGTGTGATGTGTGCTGAGAAGAATGTATACTCTGTTGATTTGGGGTGGAGAGTTCTGTAGATGTCCTTTAGGTCCTCTTGGTGCAGAGCTGAGTTAAATTCCTGGATATTCTTGTTAACTGCCTGTCTCATTGATCTGTCTAATGTTGACTGTGGGGTGTTAAAGTCTCCCATTATTTTTGTGTGGGAGTCTAAGTCTCTTTGTAGGTCTCTAAGGACTTGCTTTATGAATCTGGGTGCTCCTGTATTGGATGCATATATATTTAGGATAGTTAGCTCTTCTTGTTGAATTAATTTCCTTTAGCATTATGTAATGGCCTTGTCTCTTTTGATCTTTGCTGGTTTAAGTCTGTTTTATCAGAGACTAGGATTGCAACCCCTGCCTTTTTTTGTTTTCCATTTGCTTGGTAGATCTTCCTCCATCCCTTTATTTTGAACGTATGTGTGTCCTCCATGTGAGATGGGTCTCCTGAATACAGCACACTGATGGGTCTTGACTCTTTATCAGTTTGCCAGTCTGTGTCTTTTCATTGGTGCATTTAGCCCATTTACATTTAAGGTTAATATCATTATGTGTGAATTTGATCCTGTCATTATGATGTTAGCTGGTTATTTTGCTCATTAATTGATGCAATTTCTTCCTAGCATCGATGGTCTTTACAATTTGTCATGTTTTTGCAGTGGCTGCTACCACTTGTTCCTTTCCATGTTTAGTGCTTCCTTCAGGAGCTCTTGTAAGGCAGGCCTGGTGGTGACAAAACCTCTCAGCATTTGCTTGTCTGTAAAGGATTTTATTTCTCCTTCACTTATGAAGCTTATTTTTGCTGGATGTGAAATTCTGGGTTGAAAATTCTTTTCTTTAAGAATGTTGAATATTGGCCCCCACTCTCTTCTGGCTTGTAGAGTTTCTGCCAAGAGATCCACTGTTAGTCTGATGGATTTCCCTTTGTGGGTAACCTGACCTTTCTCTCTGGCTGCCCTTAACATTTTTTCCTTCATTCCAACTTTGGTGAATCTGACAATTATGTGTCTTGGAGTTGCTTTTCTCAGGGAGTATCTTTGTGGCATTCTCTGTATTTCCTGAATTTGAATGTTGGCCTGCCTTGCTAGGTTGGGGAAGTTCTCCTGGATAATATCCTGGAGAGTGTTTTCCAACTTGGTTCCATTATCCCCATCACTTTCAGGTACACCAATCACGTGTAGATTTGGTCTTTTCACATAGTCCCATATTTCTTGGAGGCTTTGTTCATTTTTTTTTTTTTTACTCTTTTTTCTCTAAACTTCTCTTCTCGCTTCATTTCATTCATTTGATCTTCAAGCACTGATACCCTTTCTTCCACTTGGTCGAATCAGCCACTGAAGCTTGTGTATGCATCACGTAGTTCTCGTGCCATGGTTTTCAGCTCCATCAGGTCATTTAAGGTCTTCTGTACACGTTTATTCTAGTTAGCCATTCATCTAATCTTTTTTCAAGGTTTTTAGCTTCTTTGAGATGGGTTCAAATATCCTCCTTTAGCTTGGAAAAGTTTTTTATTACCGATCATCTGAAGCCTTCTTTTCTCAACTCGTCAAAGTCATTCTCTGTCCAACTTGGTTCTGTTGCTGGCGTGGAGCTGTGTTCCTTTGAAGGAGAAGAGGTGCTCTGATTTTTAGAATTGTCAGCTTTTCTGCTCTGGTTTCTCCCCATCTTTGTGGTTTCATCTAACTTTGGTCTTTGATAATGGGGTTTTGGTGTAGATTTCCTTTCTGTTTCTTACTTTTCCTTCTAACAGTCAGGACCCTCAGCTGCAGGTCTGTTGCAGTTTGCTGGAGGTCCACTCCAGCCTAAGTATCACCAGCAGAGGCTGCAGAACAGCAAATAATGCAGAACGACAGATGTTGCTTCCTGATCCTTCCTCTGGAAGCTTCATCTCAGAGGCGCACCTGGCTGTATGAGTAGTCAGTAGGCCCCTACTGGGAGGTTTCTCCCAGTTAGGCTACTTGGGGTTCAGGGACCCACTTGAGGAGGCAGTCTGTCCATTCTCAGATCTCAAACTCCATGCTGGGAGAACCACTAATCTCTTCAAAGCTGTCAGACAGGGACGTTTATGTCTTCAGAAGTTTCTGCTGCCTTTTGTTCAGCTATGCCCTGCCCCCAGAGGTGGAGTCTACAGAGGCAGGCAGGCCTCCTTGAGCTGCGGTAGGCTCCACCCAGTTCGAGCTTCCCAGCTACTTTATTTACCTACTCAAGCCTCAGCAATGGAGGACGCCCCTCCCCCAGCCTCACTGCCAACTTGCAGTTCGATCTCGGACTGCTGTGCTAGAAGTGAGTGAGGCTCTGTGGGTGTAGGACCCTCCAAGCCAGGCATGGGATATAATCTCCTGGTATGCCATTTGCTAAGACCATTGGAAAAGCACAGTATCAGGGTGGGAGAGTCCCAATTTTCCAGGTACCATCTGTCATGGCTTCCCTTGGCTAGGAAAGGGAATTCCCCGACCCCTTGCACTTCCCGGGTGAGGCAATGCCCTGCCCTGCTCCATGGGCCGCACCCACTGTCTGACAAACCCCAGTGAGAGGAAGCCGGTACCTCAGTTGGTCATGCAGAAATCACCTGTCTTCTGTGTCACTTACACTGGGAGCTGTAGACTGGAGTGAACCTATTCACCATCTTGGAACCTCAAAAACGCAATGACTTTGTTAATATCAGACAAAGCAGATTTAAGAACAAAGAATACTAACAAGCATAAAGAGGATCATTTCATAATGATAAAGAAGTCAATTCATAAAGACAACATAACAATCCTTAATGTTTATGTACTTAATAATATAGCTTCAAAATACATGAAGCAAAACCTGATAGAACTGCAAGGAGAAATAGAGAAATTCACAATTATAATTTAATATTTCAACAACACTCCTTCAATAATTGATAGAACCAATAGACAGAAAATCAGTAAGGATCCAGGGAATTTGAACAACTCTCTAATCACCTTCACCTAAATGACATGTAGAGAACACTCAATCTACAAGTATTATATACATTCTTTCCAAGTGCCTATGAAACATTTTTCCAGACAGATAAGCCAAAAGAAAGTCTCCATAAATTTTAAAGGATTAAGATCATATAAAGTATTTTATCCAATTACAATGAAATTAAATTGGTAATAAATAACAGAAAATAGTTGAAAGATCCCCAAATATTTGGGAACTGAATAACCCACTTCTAAAATAATCCAGGAATCAAAGAAGAAATAAAAAGAAACTGGCTTAAAATTGAAAACACAACATACACAATGAAAAGGAAGAAGTAAATTTGTCTTTATTCACAAAACATGGTTGCTTATGTAGAGAATCTAATGAAATCTATAAAATAATTTAGTAGAACTAGTGAGTTTAGCATGGTTCAAAGATACAAAGTTAATATACAAAAATCAGATGTATTTCAAAATACTATAAATGAACAACTGGAAATTGAAATTTTAGAAAATACCATTTAAAATAACATCAAACATATAAAATTCTTAGGAAACATCTAATAAAATATGTACAAGACCTATACATTGCAAACTACAAAACATTGCCAAGGAAAATTAAAGGAGTCCTAAGTAAATGGAGAAATATAATGTGTTCATGATCCAAAGACTCAATAATGTTAAGATGTCAATTTTACCCCAAATTAATTAATAAATTCAACACAATCCCAATGAAAAACCCAGAAGGCACTTTTTTTTAAATTGAAAAGTGGATTTTAAAATTTATACAGAAATTAAAAGGAATTATAATAGAACGCCTTTAAAAAAGGACCAAAACTGAGGACTTACACTACCTATTTCAAGACTTATTATTAGACAACAGAAACCAAAAAAGTATAGTATTGTTGCCAAGATAAACAATCTATAGAACAGAATAAGAATTTCAGAAATAGAACCATATATAAATGGCCAATTGATTTTAGAAAATGATGCAAAAGTAATTCAATGGGGATATGATACTCTTTTTAGAAAATGGTGCTTGAATAATTTTATATCCATATGCAAAAATATTGAACTTTAATCCATACTCTCTATCATATATAAAAATTAAGTCCAAATAGATGAAAAACCCCAATGTAAACCAGAAAATAACAATACTTATAGGAGAAAACATAGAAGAAAGTCATTGTGACCTTGAATTGGTAAGGACTTCTTAGAAACAATACCGAAAGCACATTCTATTTGAAAAAAAAATGACAAACTGGACTCCATCAAATTAATAACTTTGCTTTTTGAATAACACTATTAAGAGAACAAAAAGATAAGTATAAACTGAGAAAATATTGGGAAATTGTATATCAGATAAAGCATTTACATTCAAAACACAAAAAAAACCCACAAAACTCAATAACAAGAAAACAAATAACTTAATTTTTTAAATAAGCAAAGAATTTGAACAAGCATACCACCAAATAAAATATACAGATGACAAATAATCACCTGAGAATAGGCTTACCATCATTAGTAATTAGAAAAATGTCAATTAAAGCTACAATTTGGTATTACAATATATATATTAGAATTTCTAAAATTAAAAAGACTGACCATACCAAGTGCTGATGAGGACGCAGAGCAACTGAACTCTCATACACTGCTAGTGGGGATATTAGATGATGCAATTACTTTCAACAACAGTTTGACAGTTTCTTAAAAAGTTAAACATACAGCTATCATATGATCTTCTCACTCTACCACTGGGTATTTACCCACGAGAAATGGAAGAAGTGTATGTCCATATGAAGACTTGTACATAAATGTTTATAGTTATAGTTTCATTTGTGATAGCCAAAAATGGCAAATCCACAAAAGTCTGTCAAGAGGTGAATGCCCAAGCAAACTGCAGTATAACCATACAAGAGAATGAATGAACTATTGACATACAAAACATGGATAAGTCTCAGAATAATTATGCTGATGAAAGAAGTCAGACAAAAAGAGTTCATACTGTAGCATTCCATGTATATAAAAATCTAGAACATGAAAATTAATCTATAGTGACAGAAATGGATCAGTGATGGTCTTGTGCAGTGAGAGGTTAGAAGAAAGGATCACAATGTGGAAACTTTTGGAGGTGAATATTATCTTTATAAATGGAATTTTTAACATGATAGCAAGACTCCACATTCTCTTGCCTTAAACCCTTGCTTCTTTTTTTGTTTGTCTCCTTTCCTCCCTCTTTTTTTTTCTACTTCTCTGCCTTCCTTCCAAATGTTGACTAACCAACATACCACAAGGATTTCAAAAGTAGCTTTCATGAGAACTGTGCTGACAATTGCCTGGATAAAACTAAACCAATCATCCTGAGCAAGAAGGATAAAATAGAACAATCTTCAATCATTCCAACTGTGAGATTCACGCAGTTAAAGACTAAAACATTACCCTGAGCCATAGCACAAGGATATGTATTCCTTTTATTCTAATCCTATAAAACTGCAGTCCTGCTTCATCTGGGTTACCTCGTCTTCAGATTAATGGATGTAAAACCTATGTACATAAAACATAAAAGCTACCTCAATTTAAGTCACTTAAACATTTAATATCATGATTGTGGTGATGGTATAAACATATGTCAAAACATACCAAATTATATAGATTACATATGTGTAATTCATTGTATGTCAAATGTACTTTAATAAAGCTTAAAAAAAAAGTAGCCCTACCTAAAAGAGGAAAATTAGACAGAAGCATCCAAATCTGAGAGTGGCAAGCTGACAAATTCTGGAAGCCACCAGAAAATTCCACAAAACTTTTCCTGGGTTCACAGCCTGTTCTTTCCTCCAGATTGTCAGCTCTACAACAGAAACATTTGCATTCCCTCTTGAATAGTTTTTACCAAAGTGAAAACACATCTACATGTGTGACTTAGAGCTGGAGTGTTCGTCATTTTTGGCTTCATTAGCCTTTATTTAGTCAGATTTGTTTAGTCTCCTCAAGGTTTGTAAGAACTGCCATCTTGTCACCAGACTGACAAAACAAGACTTTATTATCAGAATTTCTATATAAAATCATGTTATTTTTTAAAAAAGCAAATTTACCACAGACCTCTAAAAATAAGGTAAGCAAAGGCATGGGCATATACTCTAAGCCTTGTCTTGATGGTTTGAGCTATAGTTTCTCATTTGACAAATACAAACACTAAAGTGCACTGCTTTGCCTTTGGGGAAAAACAAAACAAACAAGTCTCCAGCTGTCTGTAACACATGAGTTCCTGTGTAACATTGAGACCAAGAGAAACAGAAAAAAAGGCAGGGGCAGGATTTGCCTTCCTTCCCCTGATTCAATGCTTTTTTATACTTTTCCCAATGATAAGAAGAGTAATTAACTGGCAACCAGCCAAGTAGTTTATAAATTAGGTTAACACTGTTTTCTATGGGATAGAGGGAGGTCCCAACAGTGTGCTTTCAAGATACCTTATTGAATTACCAGGAAAAAATGATCAGACACAGAGGGGGTCCTAGTCTTTTTTAGACTGGCCACTTGAGGTTGTTCCCAGCTGTGTTAGTCAGTTTTTGCACTGCTATAAAGGAGTATCTGAGGCTGGATAATTTATAAAGAAAAAAGGTTTAACTGGTTCACAGTTCTGTAGGTTGTAAAAGAAGCATGGTCCCAGCATCTGCTTGGCTTCTGGTGGAACCTCAAGGAGCTTTTGCTCATGGCAAAGGGGGAACATACATGTCACATGGCAAGAACAAGCAAGAAAAAGAGAGAGGGGAGATGCCACACATTTTTAAACAACCAAATCTTAAATAAACTCAGAGCAAGAACTCACTCCTTACCATTAGAATAGCACTAAGCAATTCGGGAGGGATCCCCACCTTCATGATCCAATACTTCCCACTAGGCCCCACCTTTAACATTGAAGGTCACATTTCAACATGAGATTTGGAGGGGACAAACATCCAAATCATATCACCAGCCATAACACTGGAAAAGCTTGTGTGGTACATGTTACCTCTGCTGACTTGGAGAAATAAGTGGATGGAACCCAGAGGAAGGATTTGCCATTTAAGATAGGGCTAACACACACAGGAGTCACAAATATATGTTTGTAGAATGACTCAGGCCTTAATATCCACCTAAACAATCTACCTGTTCTTTGATGTGTTTGCCATATCCTTGTCCTATGAGGATGGTATAGTCACAACATTAGCCTGTGGAAATTGCATTTACAATAAGACTAAATAAAGTTCAGTGGCTTCAGTGTTGCAAAAACGAACAACCATCCTATTCTGTACAATGCCTTCTGATGAATTCCATCCTTGGGCAATGAGCTCTAAGTCTTCCCAGGAAAGAAAAAAGATTAAATAGAATATAACCACAAATTGAATTCACTGCTTCTAAACTAAGCCACCTGATTTCATAATATGAAGGGGCAAATGTAAGTTGAAACACAAGTTTTCTGAAAACCTCTGGAGACAACATCAGGCTATAATTATAATTATAATGGGTCCCTGTGTCCTTTTATCCACAGGAGGGGTGAGAATATCGTTTTATTCCATTCTCACACTGCTATAAAGAACGAGACTGGGTAATTTAAAAAGGAAAAAGGTTTAATTGACTCACAGTCCCACATGGCTAGGGAGGCCTCACGAAACTTACAATTATGGCAGAAGGGGAAGCAAACATGTCCTTCTTCAGATGATGGCAGGAAGGAGAAGCACTGAGCAAAGAGGGAAAAGCCCCTAATAAAACCATCAGATCCCATGAGCACTCACTCGGTATCACAAGAACAACACATTGGGGTAACTGCCCCCATGATTCAATTACCTCCCACTGGATCCCTACCACAGCATGTGAGGATTATGGGAAACACAATTTAAGATGAGATTTGGCTGAGGACATAGCCAAATCATATCATTCTGCCCATGGCCCCTCCCAAATCTTATGTCCTCACATTTCAAAACACAATCATG
The DNA here is from genome assembly GCF_000001405.40 of Homo sapiens. Classification (NCBI taxonomy): domain Eukaryota; kingdom Metazoa; phylum Chordata; class Mammalia; order Primates; family Hominidae; genus Homo; species Homo sapiens. The sequence goes on from NC_000005.10 coordinate 114,824,666, forward strand.
CCTTCCCAACAGTCCCCCAAAGTCTTAACTCATTTCAGCATTAACCCAAAAGCCCAAGTCCAAAGTCTCATCTGAGACAAGGCAAGTTTCTTCCACCTATAAGCCTGTAAAATCAAAAGCAAGTTAGTTACTTCCAAAATACAATGAAGGTATAGGCATTGGGTAAATACACCCATTCCAAATGGGATAAATTGGTCAAAACAAAGAGGCTACAGGCCCCAAGCCACTCCCAAATCCAGCAAGGCAGTCAAATTTTAAAGCCCCAAAATGAACTCCTTTGACTCCATGTCTTACATCCAGGACAGACTAATGCAAGAGGTGGGCTCCCATGGCATTGGGCAGCTCCATCCCTGTGGCTTCTCAGGGTATAGCTCCCTCCTGGCTGCTTTCCTGGGCTGCTGTTCCATGTCTGTGGCTTTTCCAGGTGCACAGTACAAGCTGTCAGTGGATCTTCCATTCTGGGATCTGGAGGATGGTGGCCCTCTTCTCACAGTTCCGCTAGGCAGTGCCCCAGTGGAGACTCTGTGTGGGACTCTGACCCCACATTTCCCTTCCACAATGCCCTAACAGAGGTTCTCTGAGGGCTTCACCCCTGCAGCAAACTTCTGTCTGGATACCCAGGCTTTTCCATATATCCTCTGAAATCTAGGTGGAGGTTCCCAACCTCCATTTTTGACTTCTGTGCACCCACAGGACCAATACCATGTGTTAGCCACCAAGGCTTTGGGCTTGCACCCTCTGAAGCAATGGCCCAAGCCCTGCTTTGGCTACAGCTGAAGCATCTGGGACTCAGGGCACCATGACCTGAGGCCACATATATCAGGGTGTACCTGGGTCCAGCTCATAAAACCACTTTCCTCTCCTAGGCCTTTGGGGCTGTGATGGGAGGGGCTGCCATGAAAGTCTCTAACATGCCCTGGAGACATTTTCCCCATTGTCTTGGTGATTAACATTTGGCTTCTCATTACTTATGCAAATTTCTGTAGCAGGCTTGAATTTCTCCCCAGAAAAATGTGTTTTTTTCTTTTCCATCACATCCTCAGGCTGCAAATTTTCTGAATTTTTATGCTCTGCTTACCTTTTAAACATAAGTTCCAATTCCAAACCATATATTTGTGAATACATAAAGCTGAATGCTTTGAACAGCACCCAAGTTAAATCTTGAATACTTTGCTGTTTGGAAATTTCTTCCACCAGTTACCCTAAATCATCTCTCTCAAGTTCAAAGTTTTACAAATCTCTAGGGTAGGGGCAAAATGCTGCCAGTCTCTTTGCTAAAACATAGGATGAGTCACCTTTATTCCAGTTCCCAACAAGTTCCTCATCTCCATCTGAGATCACCTCAGCCAGAAATTCATTGTCCATATCACTATCAGCATTTTGGTCAAAGCCATTCAACAAGTCTCTATGAAGTTCCAAACTTTCCCACATCTTCCTTTCTTCTTCTGAGCCCTCCAAACTATTCCAACCTCTGCCAGTTACTCAGTTTCAAAGTCATTTCTACATTTTCAGGCACCTTTACAGTAGTGCACCCACCCCATTCCTGGTACCAATTTACTGAACTACTCCATTCTCTTGCTTCTATAAAGAACTGCCCAAGACTGGGTAATTTATAAAGGAAAGAGGTTTACTTGACTCACAGTTCTGCATGACTAGGGAGGTCTCAGGAAACTTACAATCATGGCAGAAAGGGAAGAAAACACTTCCTTCTTCACATGATGGCAGGAAGGAGAAGGACCAAGCAAAGAGAGAAAAGCTCTTTATAAAACCAGATCTCATGAGAACTCACTCATTATCATGAGAGCAGCAGCATAAGGGTAACCACTTCTACTATTCAACCTCCTCCCACTGGGTTCTTCCCATGACGTGTGAGGATTATGGGAACTACAATTCAAGATGAAATTTGGGTGGGAACACAGCCAAACCATACCAGATACTACCTGTTAGATGTAAGTTCTGGTCTGGAGGTCCATCACACCTGGACACACTGAAATTAGTTTACTTGTGAGAAATAAAATCTCACAGACACACTACTTCCTGTTCATACCTTTTAATTTGTATACAAGATGTTAAGGTCTGAGTTTGTCTTGGAGATGTTAATAAAATGTTCCTTATAATTGCTAAAAATGATTTTTATGCAGTAAGCCCCTTTTGATTTCAGAAAGAAATCAGAACAAGATAGTAGTAAATTGAGAAGAAATCAGTATTTTCAATACCATTTTATACTCAATTTCAACAAAACTCACAAAACAGTCAAGTGATTGAAAGAAAGTATAACTTAGAAGGATTTTAAAAACATTCCTCAGAGTCCCATATTTAATTATATACTTTAGTCAATGTCTATGGAGACCATACAGAGAATACAAAAAGGGAATATACAAAGGTCAAGGCCTGCCATCCTTAAGGATCCTGCAAGCTCTGATCATTTAAGAAATTTTAGGCCCTCTTTACATTGATAATTACCTAACAAAAAGGAAATCAAGAAAATGATCCCATTTATAATAGCATTTAAAATAATAAGATACCTAAGAATAAATTTAACAAAGGAGGTAAAAGATCTACACATTATAAAAATTGATGAAAGAAAATGAAGACACAAATAAAAGATAGCCCATGTTTATGGATTAAAATACTGTTAAAATGTCCACAATACTCAAAGTGATATGCAGATTCAATGCAATCTTTATTAAAATTAAAGATCTTTTTCACAGAAATAAAAAATATATAAAATTTGTATAGAACTGCAAAAAACTCTAAATAGCTAAGGCATTCCTAAGGGGGAAAAAAGAACAAAGTTGGAGGAATCACACTGCTTGATTTCAGATTATATCACAAAGCTGTAGTAATCAAAACAGTTTGGTACTGGCATTAAAATTAGACACATAGACCAATGGAACAGAATAGAGAGTCCAGAAATAAATCCACACACTTGGAGTAAACTGATATTTGACAAAGTTGTCAAAAACACACAATGAGGAAAAAATAGTCTCTTCAATGAATGATGTCAGAAAAAAACTGTATGTCCACATGCAAAGGACAAAATTGGAGACTTATTTCACACCAAACACAAAAGTCAACTCAGAATGGATAAAATGTTTAACATAAGACCTGAGATCATAAAACTCCTAAAAGAAAACAAAGGAGAAAATCTCCATTCCCTTGTTCTTGGCAATGATTTTTGGTTTAGGACCCCAAAAGCACAGGCAACAGAAACAAAAATAAATGGAATTACATCAAACTAAAATCTTCAGCACATCAAAGGAAACAATCAACAAAATAAAAAGGCAACCTGTAGAATGGGAAAAATATTTGCAAACCATACGTATGATAAAGGGTTAATATCCAAAATATGTCAGGAACTCACAGAGCTCAATGACAAAAAAAAAAAAAAAAGGAATAACCTAATTTAAAAATGGACAAAGGATCTGAATAGATATTTATCCAAAGAAGACACAAAAATGGCTAATGGGCATTTGGAAATGTATTCAACCTTACTAATCATCAGAAAAATCCAAATCAAAACAACAACGTGGTACCACCTCACTCCAGTTAGAATGGCTATATGCCATCAAAAACACAAGAAACAACAAGTGATGAGGGTATGGATAAAGGGGAATCCTTGTACATCTTTGTTGGAAATGTAGATTGGTGTAGCCATTATAGAAAACAGTGTGGAAGTTCCTCAGAAATAGAACTACCATATATAACTCAGCAATCCCTCCTTATATACCCAAAGGAAATGCAATCAGCACCTCATAGAGATATCTGTATATCCATGCTCATTGCAAAATTACTCACAATAGCCAAGATACGAAAACAACCTAAATGGCCATTAAGAGATGAATAGATAAAGAAATTGTGAGATAGATACAGATAGATAGATAGATAGATGGTAGATAGATAGATAGATAGATAGATAGATAGTGTACGTATGTGTGTGTATATATATATATGTATATATATACACACAACTTGTATTTGCCCCTTCTATATCTATCAACATACATACACACACAATGAAATATTATTCAGCCTTTAAAAAGAAGGATGTCTGGTCATTTGTAAAAACAAAGATAAACCTGAAGGACCTTATGCTAATTGAAATAAGCCAAACACAGAAAGAAAAATACTTCATGACCTCACTTATATGTGGCATCTTAAAAAAAAAAAAAAAGTCCAATACATAGAAACAGAAAGTAAGAACGTGGTTACCAGGGGTTTTGTGCCCTTTCATCTATGTCTCCTGTTAACAGAAGAATGGGTGCAAAGTTGCAATTATGTAGGATAAATAAGTATAGAGATCTAATGTATACCATGAGAGCTATAGTTAGTTAATAATATAACATTTTATACTAGGAATGTGCTAAGAAAGGAGATGTTATGTGCTCTCACAATAAAAAAGTAACTATGTGAGATGATGGATATGTTAATTAGCTGGACTGTGACATTTAACTATGTACATGTACATCAAAATATTTTGTACACCTTAATATATATATAAACAAAAATAAAATGCTAAAAGTAATAAAAGGTCTGAGAGGGCAAGATGGCCAAGTAGACAGAGACAAGTAGAATAGCTCTCATGGGGGGACCAGGATGACTGGCAGATCTTCAGAGTGAAGGTGCTGAGAATGGGTGGAGGGAAGACACAGAAGCTAGCCAAAAGGGAGAGAAAGCTAGGAACCCTGCACAGGCTACTACACACTGGGACTCATCTTCGAACCACAACAGCACTGGGGGCATGAGTGAGTTGAACTGGCAAGGAGCAATCCATTCTAGGATGGGCATCTGGAACCCCAGCAGAAGGGAATCCCTTGACCACTATGGAAACCTGAGGTGACAGGAAGAGCTGCTTAGAGAAGCAATGGAGCAGCAAGCCAGCTGATGTGGTGCCCAGAGGGTTTGGTACAGGAGCATCTGTTGTGGAGCATAGCTAGGGACAGCCATCCCCCTAGGCTCGACTTGCTCCCATACAAGAGTTTGTCCCTAGGGAAACTGCTGAACCTGATCTCTGCACGGTGGTCTTGCACATCAGATGGTGTTGGCCTGACATAGAACCCCTTGGTCTGCTGGCCTCTCCCAGGGATACAGTCTGGCCATGCCTGCTTACAGGTCAGTCTTGGGTGTGCTGGGGCCCACACCATAGTCTCTGTGCCAGCAGACAGTGCCTGACAGATGGAGAGCTCCAGCCAGCCCCTATGGTCATGCACTAACTTGCATGCTTCTTCCCCATACTGCAGCCTCCCCCAAGCCCACAGAAACTCCTCACATCACTCTGCTGGTGCATGTCTGCATGGACGCATTTTGCTTTACTTGCCCCACCAGCATGTGGGAGTGCAGTTCACCTCTCTTCCCCCTACCAACCACTATTGCAAATGGAGCATTAGAGGGCACAAAGCCAGCAAGCCCTGGCCCCACCAGTGCCCCACCCTTGCACTAACACTGTCAGAAAATAGTGGATCCTCCCACACCATGAGTGATCACTCCTCCTTGTGGGGCACAGAGAAGGCACCAAGAGTTGCACTGACCAGCAAACTGCCCCAAACCAACACCAGCTCCAGTGCAACTGCTCACACAGTCTCCCCTAATCACCAGCTGTGTTGCCTCTGTTACTGTGGTGAATGCCCACAGGAAGGCAGGCAACCCTGCATCTGCTAGCACTCTGCTGCAGCTGCTGCAGCTGCTGCACTTTGCCCTCCGCCCCATTGTAGTGGAATCCAAACCTCAAAGAGGCAGAGAAAAAAGTCGTGCCCTATACAAGCTCTCCAGAGTTACAGCATGCAGTCCAGGAGTTGGGAGCTAAGCACTGGCCCCCTAAAATCTCCCAGAAACAAATCCAGTCAGCCAAATCCATTTGTACCACAATCAAACCCTCAAGATCATCAAATGGGATTAAAAAAGTCCAAAGGTCAGCAACTTCAAAAATTGAAGGTAAATAAGCCCACAAAGATGAGAAAGAATCAGCACAAGAATGCTGAAAACTCAAAAATCCACAGTGCCTTCTTTCCTCCAATGACTACATCACCTCCAGCAAGGGTTTGGAAAAAGACTTAGATGGCTGAAATGACAGAAATAGAATTCAGAATATGGATAGAAATGAAAATCATTGAGCCACAGGAGTTCATTAAAATCCAATGCAAGGAAGCTAAAAATCATGATACAACAATGCAGGAGCTGACAGACAAAATAACCAGGATGGAGACTACACTGTATCTGACCTGATAGAGCTGAAAAACACACTACAAGAATTTCACAATGCAATCACAAATGTTAATAGCAGAATAAACCAACAAGTAAAAGAATCTCAGAGCTTGAAAACTGGCTTTCTGAAATAAGACAGACAGGCAAGAATAGAGAAAAAAGAATGAAAAAGGAATGAACAAAACCTCCAATAAATATGAGATTATGTAACAAGACCAAATCTACAACTCAGGGGTGTCCCTGAAGGACATGAGGGGAACAAAACCAACATGAAAGACATATTTCAGAATATCATCCATGGGAACTTCTCCAACCTAGCTAGACAGGCAAACATTCCATTTCAGGAAATGCAGAGAGCCCCAGTAAAATAATTCACAAGAAAATCATCCCCAAGACACATATTCATCAGATTCCCCAAGGTCGAAATAAAAGAAAAATGTTAAAGGCAGCTAGAGAGAAAGGTGAGGTCACCTATAAAGGAAAGCTCATCAGACTAACAGATGACCTCTCAGCTGAAAGCCTACAAGCCAGAAGAAACTAGGGGCCAATATTTAACATTCTTAAAGATAGGAAATTCCAACCTAGAATGTAGTATCTGGCAAAACTAAGTTTCATAGGCAAAGGAAAAATAGGATCCTTCTCAGAAAAGCAAATGCTGAGGGAATTTGTTACCACCAGATCTGCCTTACAAGAGCTCCTGAAGGGAGCACTAAATATGGAAAGGAAAAACCATTACCAGCCACTACCAAAACACACTGAAGTACACAGACCAGTGATACTATAAAGCAACCATATAAACAAATCTACAAAATAAGCTAACATCATAATGACAGGAACAAATTCACATATATCAATATTAACCATAAATATAAATAACTAAATGTTTCAATTAGAAGGCACAAAGTGGCAAGTTGAATAAATAACCAAGACCCATTGGTATGCTATCTTCAAGACACCCATCTCACATGCAATGACACAGATAGGCTCAAAATAAAGGGATAGAGAAAAACCTACCAAGCAAATGGAAAACAGAGAAAAAGCATGGGTTGCAATCCTAGTTTCTGACAAAGCAGACTTTAAATTAACACAGATCAAAAAAGACAAAGAAGGATATTACATAATGGTAAAGGGTTCAATTCAACAAGAAGATCTAACTATCTCAAATATATATGTACCCAACACAGGAGCACCCAAATTCATAAAGCAAGTTCTTAGAGACCTTTGAAGACACTTAGACTCCCACGCAATAATAGTGGGACTTTAACATGCCACTGACAATATTAGACAGATCACCAAGATAGAAAATTAACAAAGATATTCAGGACCAGAACTCAGCTCTGGATCATATATCCACAGAACTCTCCACCAAAAAACAACAGAATATACATTCTTCTCATCGTCACATGGCATATACTCTAAAATCAATCACATGATCAGAAGTAAAATAATCATCAGCAAATGCAAAGACTGAAATCATAACAATCTCTCAGACCACAGTGTAATCAAATTAGAAATCGAGACCAAGAAATTCACTCAAAACCGCACAATTACATGGAAATTGAATAACCTGTTCCTGAATGACTCATGGGTAAATCATAAATTAAAGCAGAAATCAAGAAATTCTTTGAAACTAATGAGAACACAAAGACAACATACCAAAATCTCTGCAACACAGCTAAGGCAGCGTTAAGCGGGAAATTTATAGCACTAAATGCCCATATAAAAAGTTAGAAAGTAATATCACAACTAAAAAAATTAAAGAACCAAAAGCAAACAAATCCCAAAGCTAGTGGAAGACAAGAATTAACCAAAACAAGAGCTGAGCTGAAAGAGATAGATACAAAAAAAGACTCAAAAGATCAACAAATCCAGCAGCTGGTTTTTCGAGAAAAAATTAATAAAATAGACTGCTCAACTGATAAAGAAGTAGAGAGAAGTTTCAAATAAACACAATCTGAAAGGAAAATCTAGAAGAAACTGATAAATTTCTGGTCACATACACCCTCTCAAGACTGAACCAGGAATAAATTGGATCCCTGAAGAGACTAATAAAGAGCTCTGAAATTGAGGCAGCAAAAAACAGGTTACCAACCAAAAAAAGCCCAGGATCAGACATATTCACAGCTGAATGCTACGAGAGGTACAAAGAAGAGCTGGTACTATTCTGACTGAAAGTATTCAAAAAAATTGAGGAGGAGGAACTCCTCCCTAAATCATTCTATGAAGCCAGCATCATCGTGATACCAAAACCTGGCAGAGATAATAACAACAACAAAAACTTCAAGTCAATATTCTCGATGAACATCAGTGCAAAAATCCTCAAAATGGTGGCATAAAAGCCAGTGGCACATCAAAAAGCTTATCCACCTTGATAAATTAAGCTTTATCTTTGGGATGCAAGGTTAGTTCAACATTCAGGTATCAGTAAACGTGATTCAACACATAAACAGAACTTAAGACAAAAACTACATGATTATCTCCATAGATGCAGAAAAGGATTTTGATAAATTCAACATCCCTTCAGGTTAAAAACTCTCAACAAACTAGATATTGAAGGAACGTACCTCAAAATAATAAGAGCTATCTATCTATGACAAATTCACAGCTGACATAATACTGAATGGCCAAAAGCTGGAAACATTCCCCTTGAAAACCAGCACAAGACAAGGATGCCCTCTTTCACCTTTCCTATTTAACATAGTACTGGAAGTCCTGACCAGAGCAATCAGGGAAGACAGAAAAATAAAATGCATCCAGAGAGGAAGAGAAGAAGTCAAAATATCCCTGTTTGTAGATGACATAGTCCTATATCTAGCAAACCCCATAATCCTACCCCGAATGCTTCTTAAGCTGATAAACAACTTCAGCAAAGTCTCAGAATATAAAATCGACATGCAAAAATCACTAGTATCCCCATACACCAACAAAAGTCAAGCCGAGAGCCAAATCAGGAATGTACTCACATTCACAAATGCCACAAAAAGAATACAATACCTAGGAATACAGCTAAGTAGGGAGATGAAAGATCTCTGCAAGGAGAACTACAAAACACTTCTCAAAGAATTCAGAGAAGACACACACAAACAGAAAAACACTTCATGCTCATGGATAGGAAGATTCATAACATTAAAATGGACAAACTGCTCAAAGCAGTTTATAGATTCACTGCTATCATTATTAAACCACCGTTGAGATTTTTCACCGAATTGGATAAACTATTTTAAAATTCATATGGAATAAAGGCAGAGCCTGAATAGCAAAGACCATCCCAAGCAAAAGGAAAAAAGCTGGAGGCAACATGTTACCTGACTTCAAAACCTAATTCAGGGCTACAGTAACCAGAAAAACCATGATGCTGATATCAAAACAAATACATAGACCAATAGAACAGAACAGACAACTCAGAAATAAGGCCACAGACTTAGGACCATCAGATCTTTGACAAACCTGACAAAAAACAAACAATGAGGAAAGGGTTCACTATTCAATAAGTGGCATGGAATAACTGGCTAGCCATATGCAGAGGATTGAAACTGGACTGCTTCCTTACACCATATATAAAAATTAACTCAAGATGGATTAAAGACTTAAATGTAAAACCCAAAAGTATAAAAACCCTGGAAGACAACCTAGGCAATACCATTCAGGACACAGAGGCATGGGCAAAGATTTAATGATGAAGACACCAAAAGCAGCTACAACAAAAGCAAAAATCAGCACATGGGATCTAATTAAACTAAAAAGCTTCTGCACAGCAAAATAAACTATCATTAGACTGAACAGACAACCTACAGAATGGGGAAAAATTTTGCAAATTATGTATTTAACCAAGGTCTAATATCCAGCATCTATAAGAAACTTAAACAAATTAACAAGAAAAAATCATAAAAAGTGGGCAAAGGACATGAACAGACACTTTTCAAAAGAAGGCATACATATGGCTAACAATTATATGAAAGAACGCTCAGCATCACTGAATATTAGAGAAATGCAAATCAAAACAACAAGAGATACCATCTCACACAAGTCAGAATGGCTACTATGAAAGAGTCAAAAAATAACAGATGCTGGTGAGGTTGTGGAGAAAAAGGAACGCTTATACACTATTGATGGAAATGTAAATTAGTTCAACCTGTGTGGAAGATAGTGTGACAATTCCTCAAAGGCCTAAAAGCAGAACCACCATTCAACCCAGCAGTCCCATTACTGGATATATACCCAAATGAATATAAATCATTCTGTTATAAACACACATGCAAGCCTATGTTCATGGTACCACTATTCACAATAGCAAAGACATGGAATCAACCTAAATTCCCATCAATGATAGACTGGATAATGAAAATGTGGTACATAGAATGCTATACAGCCATAAAAAAAAATGAGATCATGTCATTTGCAGGGACATGGATGAAGCTGGAGGCCATTATCCTTAGCATGCTAATGCAGGAATAAAAAAAACAAATACCACATATTCTCACTTATAAGTGAGGGCTGAATGATAAGAACACATGGAGGAGAACAACACACACTGGGGCTTATTGGAGGGTGGACGGTAGGAGGGAGGAAATCATGAGGAAAAATAACTATTGAGTACTAGGCTTAATACCTGGATGATAAAATAATGTATACAACAAACCCCATGACACAAGTTTACCCATGTAACAAACCTGCATATGTACCCCTGAACTTAAAATAAAAGTTAGAAAGAATAAACTATTCACAAAACAACAATAACAACAAAATAGTTTAACATATTTCTATCTTCATGATGTCTTCATTGACATTGCATACCTGTATCAAAATATCTCATGTACCCCATAAATATATACACCTATTATGTACCCACAAAAATTTTTTAAAATAATTTTTAAAATTTTTAAAAAACAAGTAAATAAAAAAAATAAAGACACATGTGTACAGAAGATAAAAGTAACAGGCTCACTCCAGTTAGTCTATTCAAATGACCATGATATGTTTGCATTTGACACCTAATAAGAACACAGGTGTGAACTGGACCAACGTGTAATGAATCACTTTTTCTTTTGCTTTCTTGTCCCTGAAATCACTAAAGAATATATACTACATAAGGATGGCCATCAAGAATGGGACTAGTGCATATGTGTTGAGTACAGAATTTTCCATTAAATACCCAAGCTATAGAGGAAGTTCTACTTTTTCCTCTATATTACTTATAGCAGAACTTCTCTCTTTCTCTCTCTCTCTCTTTTTTTTCTTTTTTTTTGGTCTCAAGACTTATATCAAGAAGTGCCCAAAGGGAACCATTTCTTTAAGGCATTTTGTTCTTGAGTGGCCTCACAAATATTTTACTCCATTACTATATTCTACCCCGTCATAATTTATAAATGCTTCAATCTTCTCCTTTCTACTTCAAAACTCCCTTTTGTTAGTTTCATAATGGTTCCGAAGAATGAGAAAACATTATTGGCATCCTTTTTTTCTGGATCTTCTAATCCTTCAGGAAATCTATACAACATGGATGTTGTATTAAAAAAAAAGCTTCAGATTCATCTAAATCATTAAGTCATAAGAAGTTATAAAAGTACAAAACGTCAGTGGGGCTTCAAGATGGATGACTAGAGGCACCCAGTACTTACCTCCTCCACAAAGAAGGACAAAAATAGCAAGTAGATAATCATACATCAAAAAGAGAACACTGATCAACAGAATGAAGGATAAAAACTATGTGATTATTTCAATTGGTGCTGAGAGAGCATTTGATAAAATTTAACATCCCTTCATAATAAAAACCCTCACAAAACTGGGAATGGAAGAAACATACCTCAGCATAAAAAAGCCATAAATGGCAGACAACGCTAGTATCATACTGAATAGGGAAAGAAGAAACACCTTTCTTCTAAGATGACGAGCATGCCCACTGTCACCACTGTTATTCAACATAGTACTGGAAGTCTTACCTAGAGTAATCAGACAGGAGAAAGATATAAAGGGTATCCAAGTTGGAAAGAAAGAAGTCAAATTATCCTTGTTTGCAGATGATATAATCTCGTATTTGGAAAAACCTTAAAGACTCCACAAATAAACTATTAAAACTAATAAACAAATTCAGTAAACTGGCGGGATACAAAATCAACATAAAAAATTAATAGTATTTCTATATGTCAACAGTGAACAATGTGAAAAAGAAATTAAAAGGAAAGTCCCATTTAAAATGGTCACATATATAAAATTAAACACCTAGGAATTAACCAAAGAAGTGGAAGATGAAAGCTGTAAAACACTGATGAAAGAAATTGAAGAGAACAGCAAAAAATAAAACAATACTCTATGTTCATGGATTGGAAGAATCAATAATGTTAAAATGTTCACACTTCCAAAAGCAATCTATAGATTCAATGCAATCTTTATCAAAATACCAATGACAATCTACATAGAAATAGAAAAAAAATACAAAAGTTTATATGGAACCAAAAAAGACCCAGGATAGCTATCCTAAACAAAAAGAACAAAACCAGAGAACTCGCATTACCTGACTTCAAATTTTACTACAGAGCTAACCAAAACAGCATGTTACTGGCATAAAAACAGACACATGGACCAATGGAACAGAATAGATAACCTAGAGACAAATCCACACACCTAAAGTTAATTCATTTTTGACAAAGGTGCATACATTGGGGAAATGTGTGTTCCCCAAGAACACACATTGGGGAAAAGACAGTCTTTTCAATAAATGGTGCTTGGAAATTGGACATTCTTAGGCAGAATGTCTTAGAAGAATGAAACTAGACCCCTCTCTCTCATCAAATACAAAATTTAAATCAAAATGGATTAAAGACTTAAATCTAAGACCTCAAACTATAAAAGTACTACAAGAAATCATTGAGGAAAATCTCCAAGACATTGGTCTGAGCAAAAATTTTGATCAATATTCCACAAGGACAGGCAACCAAAGCAAACATGAGCAAATGATATCACATCAAATTAAAAAGTTCTGCAAAGCAAAGGATAAAATCAACTGTGAAGAGACAACCTACAGAATGGGAGGAAATATCTGCAAACTAACCATCTGACAAGGGATTAATAACCAGAATATATAATAAACTCAAACAACTTTTAGTAAAAACTTTAGTAATCTGATCAAAAATGGGCAAAAGATTTGAATAGATATTTTTCAAAAGAAGACATACAAATGGCAAACAGGCATTTGAAAAGATGCTCAACATCACTGATCATCAGAGAAATGCAAATAAAAACTACAATGCGATATCATCTCACCCCAGTTAAAATGGCTTTTATCCAAAAGACAGGCAATAACAAATGCTGGCAAGGATCTAAAGGAAAGGTAACCCTCGTTCACCGTTGGTGGGAATGTAAATTAGTATAACCACTATGGAGAACAGTTTGGAGGTTCCTCAAAAAGCTGAAAATTAAGCTACCATATGATTCAGCCATCCCATTGTTGGGCATATACCCAACAGAAAGGAAATCAGTATATCGAAGTGATATCTGCACTCCTATGTTTGTTGCAGCATTGTTTACAATAGCTAAGATTTGGAAGTAACCTAAGTGTCCATCAATAGATTAATGGATAAAGAAAATGTGATGTATATACACAATGGAGTACTATTCAGTCATTAAAAGAATGAGATCCAGTCATTTGCCACAACATGAATAAAACTAGAGATCATTATGTTAAGTGAAATAAGCCAGGCACAGAAAGACAAACATCGCATGTTCTCCCCTTATTTGTGGGATCTATAAGTAAAAAGAATTGAACTCATGGAGATAGAGAGTAGAAGGATGGTTACCAGAGGCTGGGAGGGTAGTAGGAGGATTAGGGGGAGGTGGGGATCGTCAATGGGTACAAAAAAAAAAAACATGAAAAAAATGAGTAAGACCTACTATTTGATAGCACAAGAGGGTGGCTATAGTCAATAATAACTATTTTAAAATAAATAGTGTAATTGGATTGTTTGTAACTCAAAGCATAAATGTTTTGAGGGGATGGATATTCCATTCTCCATTTGGTGACTATTTCACATTGCATGCCTGTATAAAAACATCTAACGTACCCCATAAATATATATATCTACTATTTACTCACAACTAATACAACATTTTTTAAAAGAACACTGGAATTCAACAGGGAAGTGACAGAGAACCTCTGAAGCTCAGGAAGAGATAGCAGAGCAACCCAGCCCAGCTGAAATTGGCTCAGAACCAGGAAAAACTCTCCAGTGCAGAGAAAAGGTAAGCAAGATACTCTCAATGGTTTACATTCTCACTAAAGACTCCTGCAGTTCTGGCCATGGGAGAGCCGCCAGGCACTTGCTGTCCCTGAAAGTAGGACAGGGAGTTTCTGGAGTCTTGGCAAAAGCACTGTTCTACAAAGGGAGTTCATCCTGAGTCCCACACACCTTCCAAGACCTAAGCAGTTGCAGCATGACACAATTTGAGAGCTTAACCCCAACCACGGTATATACTGCCCTGGGTTCTAACAGACCTCAAATCTCCATGTTGCTGGGGTTCCACTGACATTCCCTCTACATTCATCTAGCGGGCTTCGACGTTGCAATGTAAGCTTGACCCAGCAGTGACGCCAGATCCCCAGCAACCTAGCCCATGCAGTGGCCTACACCCTGGGGTAACTGCTCTCAGGACAAAGGGAGTTGAAAAGCATGCTCTCCAGAGCCTGAGAGCCACCTGCCTGGGACTGATGCCACTGAAAGCAACCCTGCCCCCTAGCAGCAGACCTGCCATGCACTTGCATGTGTCTTCAGAGGTCTCATGGCCTGAGAACAAGCCTACAATGCCCACTACCAACAACAAAAATCAAATCGAAATGGCAGGAATAAGACCTCACATATCAATAAATAGCCTTGAATGTAAACTAATTAAATCCTTCCCTTAAAAGAGATAGACTGGTTGAATGACTTTAATAAAAACATGACCCAACTGTATGCTGACTAAAAGAAATTCACTTGACCTGTAAAGACACACATTGACTGAAAATGAAGGGATAAAAAAAGATATGCCATGGAAAGAGAAACGAAAAGTGAGCAGGAGTAGCTATACTTAGATAAAACAGGCTTTAAGTCAAACTGTAAAACGAATCAAAAAAGGTCATTATATAATGATAAAGGAGTCAATTCAGAAAAAGAACATAACAATTCTAAATATAGTGCACTTAACACTAGAGCACCCAGATATATAAAGCAAATATTAGATCTAAAAGAAGAGATACACTTAAATAAAATAACAGTTGGGGGCTTCAACACCCTATCCAGCATCAGATATATCATCTAGACAGAACAACAAAAAACAAACATCTGATTTAAATTGTACTTTAGGCTAAATGGACCTAACAGATATTTACAGAACATTTTATCTAACAGCTACAGAATATACATTCTTCTTATCAGCACATAAAACATTCTCCGAGATATACCATATGTCAGACCACAAAACAAGTCTCAACAAATTTTTAAATAGTGAAGTCATATAAAGTATCATCTAAGGTTACAATGGAATAAAACTAGAAATCCAAAACAAAAGGAAAACTGGAATACATGGAAACTAAAAATTATGCCCCTGAACAATCATAGGGCCAATGAGGAAATTAAGAAGAAAATCAAAAAATTTCACCAAACAAATAAAAATAAAAACACTCTGATAAAACCTGAGTGATATAGCAAAAGCAGTGATAAGAGGGAAGTTTGTAGCAGTAAATGCCTATATCAAAAAAGTAGAAAAATTTCTAATAAACAACTAAGTGGGGTACCTCAAGGAAATGGAAAAGCAAGAACAAACCAAACCCAAAATTAGCAGGGGGAAATAAATAAAAAAGAAGAGAGTAAAACTAAAGAAAATAGAGACTAAAAAAAGTAATACAGAGACTCAATGTAAGAAAAAGTTGGTTTTTTGAAAAGATAAACAAAGTCAACAAATTGCTAGCTAAGCTTACTAACATAGGAAGAGAGAAGACCCAAATAAACGAATCAGAAATGAAAAAGGAGAGATTACTAACCGATATCACAGAACTACAAAGACCGTCAGAAACTGATGTGAACAACTATACACTAACAAACTGGAAAACTTAGAAGAAATGGATAAATTCCTGGAAACACATAACCTACCAAGATTAAATCAGAAAAAGAAATAGAAAATCTGAATAAACCAATTACAAATGGCAAGACTTAAGCAGCAATAAAGAATCTCCTAAAGATAAAAACAAAACAAAACAAAAAAACCAGGGCCAGACTGATTCATAGCAGAATTCTACCAAATGTATAATAAAGAACTGGTACCAATTTTCCTGAAACTGTCTGAAAACTTGAGGAGGGAAACCTCCCTAACTCATTCCACAAGGACAGCATTAACCTGATACAAGATGAGTTCACAACAGTTAAAGAAAACTACAGGCCAATATATTTGATGAACATACATACAAAATCCCTCAACAAAATCTAGCAAGATTGATACAACAGCACATGAAAACAATAATATCCTATAACTATTTGGGATTTATAACAGAGATGCAAGGAAGATGGTTCAATGTGTGCAAGTGAATAAATGTGATATATAACATCAGCAGAATGAAGAATAAAAACCGTATGATCCCTGGCACAGATGTAACAAAACAAGAGAATTTTAGACCAATAACCCTGATGACCATCGATGCAAAAATCCTCAATAAAATACTGGCAAACCAAATCCAGCACCAAATTGATCAAAAAGCTTATCCACCAAGAACAATTTGGCTTCATCCCTGGGATGCAAGGCTGGTTCAACATATGCAAATCAATAAAAGTAATCCATCAGAACTAAAGACAAAAACCACATGATTATCTCAATAGATGCAGGAAAGGCCTTTGACAAAATTCAACAGTCCTTCATGCTAAGAACTCTCAATAAACTAGGTATTGATGGAATGTATCTCAAAATAATAAGAGTTATTTATGACAAGCCCACAGCCAATATCATGCTGAATGGGCAAAAACTGGAAGCATTCCCTTTGAAAACTGGCACAAGACAGGGATGCCCTCTCTCACCATTCCTATTCAACATAGTGTTGGAAGTTCTGGCCAGGGGAATCAGGCAAGAGAAAGAAATAAAGGGCGCTTCAATTAGGAAAAGAGGAAGTCAAATTGTCCCTGTTTGCAGAGGACATGATTGTATATTCAGAAAACCCCATCGTCTCAACCCAAAATCTCCTTAAGCTGACAAGCAACTTCAGCAAACTCGCAGGATACAAAATCAATGTGCAAAAATCACAAGCATTCCTATACACCAATAACAGACAAACAGAGAGCCAAATCATGAGTGAACTCCCATTCACAATTGCTTCAAAGAGAATAAAATACCTAGGAATCCAACTTACAAGGGATGGGAAGGACTTCCTCAAGGAGAACTAGAAACCACTGCTCAATGAAATAAAAGAGGACACAAACAAAAGGAAGAACATTCCATGCTCACGGATAGAAAGAATCAATATTGTGGAAATGGCCATACTGTCCAAGGTAATTTATAGATTCAACGCCATCCCCATCAAGCTACCAGTGACTTTCTTCACAGAATTGGAAAAAACTACTTTCAAGTTCATGTGGAATCAAAAAAGAGCCTGCATTGCCAAGACAATCCTAAGCAAAAAGAACAAAGCTGAAGGCATCATGCTACCTGACTTCAAACTGTACTACAAGGCTACAGTAACCAACACAGCATAGTACTGGTATCAAAACAGATATGTAGACCAATGGAACAGAACAGAGGCCTCAGAAATAACACCACACATCTACAACCATCTGATCTTTGATGAACCTGACAAAAACAAGAAATGGGGAAAGGAATCCCTATTTAATAAATGGTGCTGGGAAAACTGGCTAGCCATATGTAGAAAGCTGAAACTACATTCCTTCCTTACACCTTATACAAAAATTAATTCAAGATGGATTAAAGACTTAAACGTCAGACCCAAAACCATAAAAACCTGAGAAGAAAACTTAGGCAATACCATTCAGGACATAGGCATGGGCAAGGACTTCATGTCTAAAACACCAAAAGCAATGGCAACAAAAGCCAAAATTGACAAATGGGATCTAATTAAACTAAAGAGCTTCTGCACAGCAAAAGAAACTACCATCAGAGTGAACAGGCAACCTACCAATTGGGAGAAAATTTTTGCAATCTACTCATCTGACAAAAGGCTAATATCCAGAATCTACAAAGAACTTACACAAATTTACAAGAAAAAATCAAACAACCCCATCAAAAAGTGGGCAAAGGATATGAATAGACAATTCTGAAAAGAAGACATTTATGCAGCCAAAAGACATATGAAAAAATGCTCATCATCACTGGCTATCAGAGAAATGCAAATCAAAACCACAGTGAGATACCATCTCACACCTGTTAGAATGGTGATCATTAAAAAGTCAGGAAACAACAGGTGCTGGAGAGGATTTGGAGAAACAGGAATGCTTTTACACTGTTGGTGGGACTGTAAACTAGGTCAACCATTGTGGAAGACAGTGTGGAAATTCCTCAAGAATCCAGAACTAGAAGTAACATTTGACCCAGCCATCCCATTACTGGATATATACCTAAAGGATTATAAATCATGCTACTATAAAGACACATGCACACGTATGTTTATTGCAGCACTATTCACAATAGCAAAGACTTGGAACCAAGCCAAATGTCCATCAATGATAGACTGGATTAAGAAAATGTGGCACATGTACACCAAGGAATACTATTCGGCCATAAAAATAGATGAGTTCATGTCCTTTGTAGGGACATGGATGAAGCTGGAAACCATCATTCTGAGCAAACTATCTAAAGGACAGAAAACTAAACACTGCATCTTCTCACTCATAGGTGGGAATTGAACAATGAGAACACAGGGCGGGGAACATCACTCACCAGGGCCTGTCATGAGGTGGGGGCTGGGGGAGGGATAGCATTAGGAGACATGCCTAATGTAAATGATGAGTTAATTGGTGCAGCAAACCAATGTGGCACATGTATACATATGTAACAAGCCTCCACGTTGTGCACATTTAACCTAGAACTTAAAGTATAATAATACAAAAGTATGATCATCTCAATAGATGCAGAAAAAGCATTTAATAAAATTAAAATTCAACATCCCTTCATGATTAAAAACTCTCAACAAACTAGATATGGGAGGAACATACCTCAAAATAAAAAAGGCCATATATGACAAACCCACCACTAACATCATGCAGAAAGCCCTTCCTCTAAGATCTGGAATAAGACAAGGATGCCTGTTTCCACCACTCCTATTCAACAGAGTACTGGAAGTCCTAGCTAGAGCAATAAGGCAAAAGAAAGAAAGAAAATCATCCAAACTGGAAGAGGAAGTCAAACTGTCCCTTTTTACTGATAATTTGATCTTATGTCTAGAAAAACCTAATGACTCCAGCAAAAAACTCTTAGATTTAATAAATTCAGTAAAGCTGCAGGATAAAATACCAATGTACAAAAATCACTGGTGTTTCTATACATCAACAATGATCTAGCTGAGAAATAAATTTGTAAAACCCCATTTGTGAAGACGGCCGAATAGGAACAGCTCCAGTCTACAGCATCCAGCATGAGCGATGCAGAAGACAGGTGAATTCTGCATTTCCAACTGAGGTACCAGGTTCATCTCACTGGGGAGTGTCAGAAAGTGGGTGCAGGACAGTGGGTGCAGTGCACTGAGCCTGAGCCGAAGCAGGGTGAGGCATTGCCTCACCCAGGAAGCAGAAGGGGTCAGGGAATTCCATTTCCTAGTCAAAGAAAGGGGTGACAGACAGCACCTGGAAAATCAGGTCACTCCTACGCTAACACTGCACCTTTCCAACTGTCTTAGCAAACGGCACACCAGGAGATTATATCCAGTGCCTGGCTTGGAGTGTCCTATGCCCACCCATGGAGCCTCGCTCATTGCTAGCACAGCAGTCTGAGATCAAACTGCCAGGCGGCAGCGAGGTTGGGGGAGGGGCACCTGCCATTGCTGAATCTTAAGTAGGTAAACAAAGCGGCCAGGAAGCTCGAACTGGGTGGAGTACACCACAGCTCAAGGAGGCCTGCCTGCCTCTGTAGACTCCACCTCTGGGGGCAGGGCACAGCCAAACAAAAGACAGCAGAATCCTCTGCAGACTTAAATGTCCCTGTCTGACGGCCTTGAAGAGAGTAGTGGTTCTCCCAGCACGCAGCTCGACATCTGAGCACAGACAGACTGCCTCCTCAAGTGGGTCCCTGACTCCTGAGTAGCCTAACTGGGAGGCACCCCCCAGTCGGGGCAGATTTACACCTCACACAGCCGGGTACTCCTCTGAGACAAAATTTCCAGAGGAAAGATCAGGCAGCAACATTTGCTGTTCACCAATATCTGCTGTTCTACAGCCTCCGCTGCTGATACCCAGGCAAAGAGGGTCTGGAGTGGACCTCCAGCAAACTCCAACAGACCTGCAGCTGAGGGTCCTGACTGTTAGAAGGAAAACTAACAAACAGAAAGGATATCTACACCAAAACCCCATCTGTATGTCACCACCATCAAAGACCAAAGGTAGATAAAACCACAAAGATGGAGAAAAAACAGAGCAGAAAAACTGGAAACTCTAAAAATCAAAGCACCTCTCCTCCTCCAAAGGAATGCAGCTCCTCACCAACAATGGAACAAAGCTGGATGGAGAATGACTTTGATGAGTTGAGAGAAGAAGGCTTCAGATGATCAAACTACGCCAAGCTAAAGGAAGCAGTTCAAACCCATGGCCAAGAAGTTAAAAACCTTGAAAAAAAATTAGATGAATAGCTAACTAGAGTAACCATGCAGAGAAGTCCTTAAAGGACCTGATGGAGCTGAAAACCAAGGAACGAGAACTACGTGATGAATGCACAAGCCTCAGTAGTCGATTCAATCAAATGGAAGAAAGGGTATCAGTGATGGAAGATGAAATGAACAAAATGAAGTGAGAAGTTTAGAGAAAAAAGAATAAAAAGAAATGAACAAAGCCTCCAAGAAATATGGGACTATGTGAAAAGACCAAACCTATGTCTGATTGGTGTACCTGAAAGTGATGGGGGGAATGGAACCAAGTTGGAAAACACTCTGCAGTATATTATCCAGGAGAACTTCCCCAACCTAGCAAAGGCAGGCCAATCAAGGACATACAGACAAAGCCACAAAGATATTCCTCAAGAAGACCAACTCCAAGACACATAATTGTCAGATTCATCAAAGTTGAAATGAAGGAAAAAATGTTAAGGGCAGCCAGAGAGAAAGGTGTGGTTACCCACAAAGGGAAGCCCATCAGACTAACAGCGCATCTCCCAGCAGAAACTTTAAAAGCCAGAAGACAGCGGGGGCCAATATTCAATATTCTTAAAGAAAAGAATTTTCAACCCAGAATTTCATATCCAGCAAAAATAAGCTTCATAAGTGAAGGAGAAATAAAATCCTTTACAGACAAGCAAATGCTGAGAGATTTTGTCACCACCAGGCCTGCATTACAAGAGCTCCTGAAGGAAGCACTAGACATGGAAAGGAACAACCAGTACCAGCCACTGCAAAAACATGACAAACTGTAAAGACCATTGAGGCTAGGAAGAATCTGCATCAACTAACGAACAAAATAACCAGCTAACATCATAATGACAGGATCAAATTCACACATAACAATATTAACCTTAATTGTAAATGGGCTAAATGCTCCAATTAAAAGACACAGACTGGCAAGTTGGATAAAGAGTCAAGACCCATCTGTGTGCTGCATTCAGGAAACCCATCTCACGTGCAGAGACACACATAGGCTCAAAATAAAGGGATGGAGGAAGCTCTATCAAGTAAATGGAAAAAAAAAAGGCAGGGGTTGCAATCCTAGTCTCTGATAAAACAGACTTTAAACCAACAAAGATCAAGAGACAAAGAAGGCCATTACATAATGGTAAAGGGATCAATTCAACAAGAAGAGCTAACTATCTTAAATATATATGCACCCAATACAGGAACACCCAGATTCATAAAGCAATTCGTTAGAGACCTACAAAGAGACTTAGACTCCCACACAATAATAATGGGAGACTTTAACAACCCACTGTCAACATTAGACAGATCAACGAGACAGAAAGTTAACAAGGATATCCAGGAATTGAACCCATCTCTGCACCAAGTGGACCTAATAGACATCTACAGAACTCTCCACCCCAAACAACAGAGTATACATTCTTCTCAGCACCACACCACACTTATTCCAAAATTGACCACTTAGTTGGAAGTAAAGCACTCCTCAGCAAATGTAAAAGAACAGAAATCATAAAAAACTGTCTCTCAGACCACAGTGCAATCAAACTAGAATGCAGGATTAAGAGACTCACTCAAAACCACTCAACTACATGGAAACTGAACAACCTGCTCCTGAATGACTACTGGGTACATAATGAAATGAAGGCAGAAATAAAGATGTTTTTTGAAACCAATGAGGACAAAGACACAACATACCGGAATCTCTGGGACACATTCAAAGCAGTGTGTAGAGGGAAATTTATAGCACTAAATGCCCACAAGAGAAAGCAGGAAAGATCCAAAATTGACAGCCTAAAATCACAATTAAAAGAACTAGAGAAGCAAGAGCAAACACATTCAAAAGCTAACAGAATGCAAGAAATAACTAAGATCAGAGCAGAACTGAAGGAAATAGAGACACAAAAAACCCTTCAAAAAATCAATGAATCCAGGAGCTGGTTTTTTGAAAGGATCAACAAAATTGATAGACCACTAGCAAGACTAATAAGAAAGAAAAGAGAGAAGAATCAAATAGACACAATAAAAAATGATAAAGGGGATATCACCACCGATCCCACAGAAATACAAATTACCATCAGAGAACACTATAATCACCTCTATGCAAATAAGCTAGAAAATCTAGAAGAAATGGATAACTTCCTGGACACAAACACCCTCCCAAGACTAAACCAGGAAGAAGTTGAATCTCTGAATAGACCAGTAACAGGTTCTGAAATTGAGGCAATAATTAATAGCTTACCAACGAAAAAAAGTCCAGGACCAGATGGACTCACAGCCGAATTTCACCAGAGGCAACAAGGAGGAGCCAGTACAATTCCTTCTGAAACTACTCCAATCAATAGAAAAGAGGGAATCCTCCCTAACTCATTTTATGAGGCCAGCATCATCCTGATACCAAAGCCTGACAGAGACACAACAAAACAACAGAGTTTTAGACCAATATCCCTGATGAACATTGACGCAAAAATCCTCAGTAAAATACTGGCAAACTGAATCCAGCAGCACATCAAGAAGCTTATCCACCATGATCAAGTGGGCTTCATCCCTGGGATGCAAGGCTGGATCAACATATGCAAATCAATATATGTAATCTAGCATATAAACAGAACCAATGACAAAAACCACATGATTATCTCAATAGATGCAGAAAAGGCCTTTGACAAAATTCAACAACCCTTCATGCTAAAAACTCTCAATAAATTAGGTATTGATTGGACGTATCTCAAAATAATAAGAGCTATGTATTGCAAACCCACAGCCAATATCATACTGAATGGGAAAAAACTGGAAGCATTCCCTTTGAAAACTGGCACAAGACAGGGATGCCCTCTCTCACCACTCCTATTCAACATAGTGTTGGAAGTTCTGGCCAGGGGAATCAGGCAAGAGAAAGAAATAAAGGGCGCTTCAATTAGGAAAAGAGGAAGTCAAATTGTCCCTGTTTGCAGATGACATGATTGCATATCTAGAAAACCCCATCGTCTCAGCCCAAAATCTCCTTAAGCTGATAGGCAACTTCAGCAAAGTCTCAGTATACAAAATCAATGTGCAAAAATCACAAGCATTCTTATACACCAATAACAGACAAACAGAGAGCCAAATCATGAGTGCACTCCCATTCACAATTGCTTCAAAGAGAATAAAATACCTAGGAATCCAACTTACAAGGGATGTGAAGGACCTCTTCAAGGAGAATTACAAACCACTGCTCAATGAAATAAAAGAGGATACAAACAAATGGAAGAACATTCTATGCTCATGGGTAGGAAGAATCAATATCGTGAAATAGGCCATAATGCCCAAGGTAATTTACAGATTCAATGCCATCCCCAACAAGCTGCCAATGAATTTCTTCACAGAATTGGAAAAAAACTACTTTAAAGTTCATATGGAACCAAAAAAAAAAGCCAGAATTGCCAAGTCAATCCTAACCCAAAAGAACAAAGTTGGAGGCATCACACTACCTGATTTCAAACTACACTACAAGGCTACAGTAACCAAAACAACATGGTACTGGTACCAAAACAGAGATATAGATCAATGGAACAGAACAGAGCCCTCAGAAATAATGCCACATATCTACAACTATCTGATCTTTGACAAACCTGACAAAAACAGGAAATGGGGAAAGGATTCCCTATTTAAGAAATGGTGCTGGGAAAACTGGCTAGCCAAATGTAGAAAGCTGAAACTGGATCCCGTCCTTATACCTTATACAAAAATGAATTCAAGATGGATTAAAGACATACATGTTAGACCTAAAACCATAAAAACCCTAGAAGAAAACCTAGGCATTACCATTCAGGACATAGGCATGGGCAAGGACTTCATGTCTAAAACACCAAAAGCAATGGCAACAAAAGCCAAAATTCACAAATGGGATCTAATTAAACTAAACAGCTTCTGCACAGCAAAAGAAACTACCATCAGAGTGAACAGGCAACCTACCAATTGGGAGAAAATTTTTGCAATCTACCCATCTGACAAAGGGCTAATACCCAGAATCTACAATTAACTCAAACAAATTTACAAGAAAAAAACAAACAGCCCCATCAAAAAGTGGGCGAAGGATATGAACAGACACTGCTCAAAAGAAGACATTTATGCAGCCAAAAGACACATGAAAAAATGCTCATCATCACTGGCAATCAGAGAAATGCAAACCAAAACCACAATGAGATACCACCTCACACCAGTTAGAATGGCCATCATTAAAAAGTCAGGAAACAACAGTTGCTGGAGAGGATGTGGAGAAATAGGAACACTTTTACACTGTTGGTGGGACTGTAAACTAGTTCAACCATTGTGGAAGTCAGTGTGGTGATTCCTCAGGGATCTTGAACTAGAAATACCATTTGACCCAGCAATCCCTTTACTGGGTATATACCCAAAGGATTATAAATCATGCTGTTATAAAAACACTTGCACATGTATGTTTATTCCGGTAATATTCACAATAGCAAAGACTTGGAAACAGGGCAAATGTCCAACACTGATAGACTGGATTAAGCAAATGTGGCACATATACACCATGGAATACTATGCAGCCATAAAATAGGATGAGTTCATGTCCTTTGTAGGGACATGGATGAAGCTGGAAACCATCATTCTCAGCAAACTATCACAAGGACAAAAAACCAAACACCGCATGTTCTCACTCATAGGTGGGAATTGAACAATGAGAACACATAGACACGTGAAGGGGAATATCACACACCGGGGCCTGTTGTGGGGTTTGGGGAGTGGGGAGGGATAGCATTAGGAGATATACCTAACGTTACATGTATGCAGCTAATGGGTGCAGCACACCAACATGGCACATGTATAAATATGTAACAAACCTGCACATTGTGCACATGTACCCTAAAACTTAAAGTATAAAAAAAAGGAAAAAATCCCATTTGCAATAGCTAACAAAATAAATAAATAAATAAAATATCTAGGAATAAATTTAACCAAGGAGGTGAAGGAGCTCTACAAGGAAAACTACAAAACATTGATGAAAGAAATTGAAGAGGACACAAACAAGTGGAAAGACATCTCGTCCTCATGAATCAATAGGATTAATATCATTAAAATGACCATACTGCCCAAAGCAATCTACAGATTCAATGCAATCTCTGTCAAAATACCAACATCATTCTTCACAGAATTAGGAAAAAAAAAAATTGCTAAAAAGTATACAGAATCAAAAAAGAGCCAGAATACCAAAAGATTCCTGATCAAAAAGAACAAACTGGAGGCATCACATTGCCTGACTTCAAAATATACTACAAGGCTAGAGTAATCAAAACAATATGGTATCCATATAAAAGCAGACATACAAACCAATTGAACAGAAGAGAATTCAGAAATAAGTCCACACATCTATGCCAACTAATTTTTGGTAAAGGCACCAAGAACATACACTAGGGAAAGGACATCCTCTTTAATAAATGGTACTAGGAAAATTGGATATCCACATGCAGAAGAATAAAACTGGCCCCCATCTGTCCCCATATACAAATATCAACTCAAAATGGAGTTGAGAAAAATGTAAGACTCAAAACTATAAAACTGTCAGAAAAGATAGGAAAATCACTTCAAGACATCAGTCTAGGCAAAGATTACACAGCTAAGATCTCAATAGCACAGACAGCTATACACAAACAGACAAATGGGACTATATTAAACTAAAAAGCTTCTACATGGCAAAGGAAACAATCAACAGAATGAAAAGACAACCTGTTAAATGGGAGAAAATATGTGCAAACTACTTATCCAATAAGGGCTTAATATTCCAAATGTATAAGAAACTCAAATAACTCAAGACTAAAAAAAATCCATTAAAAATTGGACTTACGACATGAATAGATATTTCTCAAAAGGTGACATAAAAAATCGCCAACAGACATATTTTTAAAAGAAGCTCAACATCACTCATCATCATGGAAATGCAGATAAAAAACACAAGGAGATATCACCTTTTTCTTCCATAGGTTATTGGGGTACAGGTGGTATTTAGTTACATGAGTAAGTTCTTTAGTGGTGATTTGTGAGATTTCAGTGTACCTGTCACCTGAGCAGTACACACTGCACACTATTTGTAGTCTTTTATCCCTCGCCTCTCTCCCATCCTTCCCCGCAAGTCCCCAAAGTCCATTGTATCATTCTTATGCCTTTGCGTCCTCATAGCTTAGCTCCCACATGTGAGTGAGAACATATGATGTTTGGTTTTCCATTCCTGAGTTACTTCAGTTAGAATAAGAGTCTCCAGTCTCATCCAAGTTGCTGTAAATGCCATTAATTCATTCTTTTTTATGGCTGAGTAGTATTCCATTGTACATATATACCACAGTTTCTTTATACACTCATTGATTAATGGACATTTGGATTGGTTCCACGATTTTGTAATTCCAAACTGTGCTGCTATAAACATGCCTGTGCAAGAACATTTTTCATATAATGACTACTTTTCCTCTAGGTACATACCCAGTAGTGGGATTGCTGGATCAAATGGTACTTCTATTTTTAGTTCTTTAAGGAATTTCCACACTGTTTTCCATAATGGCTGTGCTAGTTTACATTCCCATCAGCAGTATAGAAGTGTTCCCTGTTCAACGCATCCACACAAACAACTACTGTTTTTGATTTTTTGATTATAGCCATTCTTTCAGGAGTAAGGTGGTATCGCATTGTGGTTTTGACTTGCATTTCCCTGATCATTATAGATGTTGAGGATTTTTTCATGTTTGTTGGCCATTTGTATATCTTCTTTTGAGAATTGTCTGTTCATGTCCTTAGCCCACTTTTTGATGGGATTCTTTGTTTTTTCTTGCTAATTTGTTTGAGTTTGTTGTAGATTCTGGACATTAGTCATTTGTCAGATGTATAGATTGTGAGCACTTTTGCCCATTCTGTGGGTTGTCTGCTTACTCTTCTGACTGCTCCTTTGGCTGTGCAAAAACTCTTTAGTTTAATGAAGTCCCAGCTATTTATCTTCGTTTTTATTGCATTTGCTTTTGGGTTCTTGGTCATGAAATCATAGCCTAAGCCAGTGTCTAGAAGGGTTTTTCAATGTTGTCTTCTAGAATTTTTATAGTGTCAGGTCTTAGATTTAAGTCTTTAATCTATCTTGAGTTGATTTTTATATAAGGTGACAGATGAGGATCCAGTTTCATTCCCCTACAGGTGGCTAGCCAATTATCCCAGCACCATTTATTGAAAAGGGTGTTTTTTTCCCCACTTTATGTTTTTGCTTCTTTTGTCAAAGATGAGTTCCCTGTAAGTATTTGGGTTTATTTGTGGGTTCTCTATTCTGTTCCATTAGTCTATGTGCCTATTTTTATACCAGTACCATGCTGTTTTGGTGACTATGGCCTTATAACATAGTTTGAAATCAGATAGTGGGATGTCTCCTGATTTGTTCTTTTTGCTGAGTTTTGCTTTGGCTATGTGGGCTCCTTTTTGGCTCCAAATGAATTTTAGAATAGTTTTTTCTAATTCTGTGAAGAACAATGGTGGTATTTTGATGGGGATTGCATTGAATTTGTAGATTGCTTGTGGCAGTATGGTCATTTTCACAATATGGATTCTACCTATTCATGAGCATGGGATGTTTCCATTTGTTTGTGTCATCTATGATTTCTTTCAGCAGTGTTTTGTAGTTTTCCTTGTAGAGATCTTTTGTCTCCTTGGTTAGGTATATTTGTATTTTTTTTTATTCTTTTGCTGCTATTGTGAAAGGGATTGAGTTCTTGATTTGGTTCTCTGCTTCATCACCATTGGTGTACAGAAGAGCTACTGATGTGTGTACATTAATCTTGTATCCGGAAACTTTGCTGAATTCTTTTTTCAGTTCTAGGAGCTTATGGAGGAGTGTTTAGGGTTTTTGTGGTAAACAATCATATTGTCAGCACATAGTGACAGTTTAACCTCCTCTTTACAATTTGGATGCCTTTTCTTTCTTTCTCTTGTCTGATTGCTCTGCCTAGGACTTCCAGTAGTATGTTGAAGAGGAGTAGTGAGAGTGGGCATCCCACAGTGGAATAAAACTGGAAATCAACTCCAAAAGGAACCTACAAAACCATGCAAACACATATAAATTAAATAACCTGCTCCTGAATGATCACTGGGTCAAAAATGAAATCAAGATGGAAATTTAAAAATTATTTGAACTGAATGACCACAATGACACAACCTATCAAAACCTCTGAGATACAGCAAAGATGGTGCTAAGAGGAAAGTTCATAGCCCTAAACACCTACCTCAAAAAGTCTGAAAGAGCACAAACTGACATTCTAAGGTCACACCTCAAGGAACTAGAGAAACAAGAACAAACCAAACCCAAACCCAGCAAATAAAAGGAAATAATCAAGATCAGAGTGGAACTAAACGAAACTGAAACAAAGAAAATATAAAAGATAAATGAAACAAATGCTAGTTCTTTGAGAATATAAATAAAATTGATAGACCATTAGCAAGATTAACCAAGAAAAAAAGAGAGAAAATCCAAATAACCTCAATAAGAAATGAAACAGGAGATATTACAACTGACACCACTGAAATACAAATGATTATTCAAGGCTACTAGGAATACCTTTACACACATACGTTAGAAAATCTAGAAGAGATGGGTAAATTCCTGGAAAAATACAACCCTCCTAACTTAAATTAGAAAGCATAAGATATCCTGAACAGATCAATAACAAGCAGAGAGATTGAAATGGTATTTAAAAAATTACCAACAACAAAAAAAAAGTCCAGGACCAGATGGATTCACAGCAGAATTCTACCAGACATTCAAAGAAGATTTGGTACCAATCCTTTTGACATTATTCCACAAGACAGAGAAAGAGGGAACCCTCCCTAATTCATTCTATGAAGCCAGCATCACCCTAATACCAAAATCAATAAAGGACATAACCAAAAAGAAAACTACAGACCGATATTTTTGATGGACATAGACACTAAAATCCTTAACAAAATATTAGGTACTGGAATCCAACAGCATATCAAAATGATAATCTAACATGATAAAGTGGGTTTCATACCAGGGATACAGGGATGGTTTAACATATAAAAGTCAATAAATGTGATACACCATATAAACAGAATTAAAAATAAAAATCACCTGATCATCTCAGTAGGTGCAGAAAAAGTATTCAACGAAATCCAGCATCCCTTTATGATTAAAACTCTCAGCAAAATTGGCATACAAGGGACATACCATAACATAATAAAAGCCATCTATGACAAACCCACAACCAACATAATAATGAATGTGGAAAAGTTGAAAGCATTCCCTCTGAGAACTGGAGATATCATCTTAACCCTGATAAAATAACTATTATCAAAAAGAAAAATAATAGATGCTGGCAAGGATGTGGAGAAAAGAGAACTCTTATACACTTTTTGTAGGAATTTAAATTAGTACAGCCATTATGAAAAACACTATGGAAATTTCTAAATGAACTAAAAATAGAACTACCATATGATCCAGCAATCCTACTACTGACTATTTATCTAAAGGAAAGGAAATCAATATACTAAAGGGATAACTGCACTTGCATGTTTATCACAGTACTATTCACAATAGCAAATATATGGAATCAACCTAAGTGTCCATCAGTAGATGAGTATATTTTTAAAAGGTGATATATAAACATAATGGAATACTATTTAGTCATAAAGAAAGAATGAAATCCTATCAATTGGAAATGGAGGACATTATGTTAAGTGAAATAAGCCAGGTATATCAATAAATATTGCATGTTCTCATTCACATGTGAAAACTAAAAATGTTAAGCTCATGGAGATAGACAGTAGGATGATAGCAGAGGTTAAAACGGGTCGGTGGCGCGGGGAGATGAAGAAAGGTTGGTTAATGGGTAAGAAAATACATTTATAAAAATAAATTCTAGTGTTTAATAGCACAGGGGGTGACTATAGTTAACAATATATTGTATATTTCAAATCTGCTAGAAGAGATCATTGGAAATGTTCCCAACACAAAGAAATGATAAATGTTCAAGATCATGGATATCCTAAATACTCTGATATGATCATTATACATTGTATGCAGCACAACAGAATAGTAGACCATTCACAACCTGATCCCAAGTTATCTCAGTCTCTTGGTCTCTCTATAATTCTTTCTCCTTGACACTTTCCGTTTACCCAAAGCCTGTCCATACAACCTCTGTCTTAGGAATTCTGCAATATCCTCCAAACTCTACCACCATACTATGTACTGTAAGGGATATGTAAATGGGACTTCCTCAAGTTGTGCAGTATACAGCCTACCCAACTATATAATGACCCAGTACATCACCCCACACATTCTATAGGAGAACTCCTCACTTTACATGTCAGTCATCTCCACTAGACTCTAGGTTACCTGATGACAAGGTCTAAGGAAGATTGCAGAACAAAGCAGTTAAAGGCAGATGCTCTATAGACAAATTGCTGGGTTTATATTGTGGTCATAACACATAATGCCTGTGATCTGGAAATGGGGGAAATTGAACTGTCTTCATAAGATAGATTATAAGGTTTAGCAGAGAAATAAGGGAAATGTTCAGTGTTGTGCTGAAATGGAGTACATGCTTGGTAAGTGTTTCCATAATGTTTATCTGTGTATTCCCAGGATTTTAAAGAGTGACTACAACCTAGTAGCTGCTCTGACAATTTCTAATGAGTGAACTCATGTCTATTAGTAAACAAATAAGCTTTGCCTCTAGGATAAAAGAGAAATATTGTTGTAGAAAGTTGATTTATATCCCAATAGTTTGAAAGTCTATAGCTCTAGAAGTCATTTTTCTATATCCTCCTTATATTCAATGATAGCTAGAGAAGGTGGGAGAAAAGATAAAGCCTAGAAAGTGATAATAAACTTAGTAAATAGAAATAACAGAAGAAACAGAGGACTATTGAGAAAGAAAACAGTAACCAAATATGGGAAATAAAAACCAAAGCAGGAAATGTTTAAAAAAAAGGAAAAGGAAAAGATGTGGGGATAAACTGAAGAATAGAAAGAAAAATTTAAATACAGAGAAGTAGTTAAGGAAAAGGGAACACATTTACATGTAAACCATTCTGGGACTTTTTCATAATCCCAAAGAACACTCCATTGCTCTTTCCATTTATCATCTGAACCTGGAGTTGTTTTAGGCCTCATTTTGCTCCTTCTCTTTCTCCTATTTTTCTTCCCTGTTTCTCCTGCTCACTTAGGACACTGTGAATTCAGCTCTGCACCATCCTGAGATGAGGTTTATCCCTCTTTCTTAGCCACTGACCAATGAAGTGAATTGGGGAGCTTTCCTTTTGCTCATGGGCTTACTTTGCAAAGGTCAGTTCTAAGGTTTGCTTTGTTTTCTTTTGCTAGAAAAAATAGGGAGGAAAAAAAATCTCTATTGTGAGAAGCCTGCACAGGAAGGGGTTACCTACACTGGGGAAATTCTCTGTTTCAAAATGAAATTGGGTTAATTGAGAAGGGCATGGAGAAATACCGAGGCCCAATTAACAAAGTCTAAAGTCTCCCAATTAACAAGATAATTGTTAAATGGATTTGGGGCAGCACTAAGAGTTTTAGTAAGGAAACCACTTGTTCCAGGTGTTTAGTCAGAGAGTGGTTTCAGGTCTTTTCCACTCTCAACCACACATAAAAGGAGCCTAGAAGTGCAGAAAGAGATTTCAAGAAGTTTGGATAGAATACACGCGTGGGAGGCCCTGAATGGAAATGGTGTGTCCTGAGAAGCAGAGCAGAAATATTTCCCATATGTTGAACTTTATTTCAATTACGACATGTAGTGTCAAAACCTAAACCTAAAAGTGGGCCTTGCATATGTAGAGGGCATTCTTAGGCACCCCTCCTGGGTGGATTTCTGTCCATTCAATGCGATCCTTAGCTGCTCTCCAATTATTATCCCTTTATTATGAAGCTATTCCCTCTTGGCTCTCTACAGATTTGGTAGCATTTGCTACTGGTACTTCTCTGATGATTTAAAAATCAAGATATAATCTCCATCAAATACCAATAAAAGGAGAGAAGAGAAAAGAGAATGCTTCTCTGAGCTTGATTTCCCAGTACGAGGGAGGCCCTGTCTCCCACTGGACACCTGTGGCTCAGCCCCTGGAACTCCCATCTCTGAGATCTGGAGGCTCTGTGGGGAAAAACTACCAACAGTTGAGAGGAACAGCGCAGTCCCCTCGAGCATAACCCCCGCCATCACGAAGTAGACATTTTTGCTTATAAGGAGGCTCAATCCTTGCCATAACGGAACAAACTGCCTTCTGCATTCTCCCAAATCCCCGCACAGTCTGTACTCTCTCTGCTTCCAGACGGCCAGCCGGGTGGGTGGAGGAGCCCAGCTGTTCTTGCTCTGTGAAGACGGCAGGCAATGGGGACTCCAGTGTGCGAAGCGGAGCGTCGTACTGGCCACAAGGGTGCACCTGGCTCTGTTCTGGGCACGCCTCCCCCGGGCACCCAGGCCTGGCCAGTACGACTCACGCAACATCGCGCTTTTCCTGTAGTGCCTCACGTTCTGCCATGGAATTTTCTTTTGCTTGCATGATGTTATTTGATCCTCACATCAGGTTTGTGGTTTTGTTTTCAATGCTGTTTTGTCAGGAGGGAAGTGAAGAAATAAGCTGTGGGTGCTGAGGCTTCCCGTCAGCAACGTTAGGATCCACCCTTTACAGAAGAGCATTTTCTCTCGCCTGCATTTAAAATACCGCTACCCACATCCGAAATTTGTCCTTCTGGTGCATTCTAAATTTCTTCAACACAGAGTTGAGAGGTGATTGGGCATGAAACCAAGTCTGTCGTCATCCTTTTCCCTTTGAATTATAGGGAAAGTTTTTAGAATGCAGAAGACAATGTCGCCTATTTGGCCTGAAAAGCCCTTAACCAAATGTGAACCCTCCACTGTTAATTGTACTTTGTTTTTTACCCTGCTATGTGAGAAAACTAAGATTTCTTTTCTCAAACAAGTGAGAGAGTTGGTGATCAGCCAAGATCAAAAAAACAAAAAACAAACAAAACAAAAAACAAAAAAAGTCCTAGTACTTTTGAACTTAGGACTATGTCTTTGTTTCCGTTTTATCCTCTTCCCTGATGTTTTACTCCTATGGAACTGGGAATTATAAACAGTTGCTGAGTGTTCATATATTTGCTGTTAAAATCCCAAGGGTAGTACTCTTAAGTTCCCATGCACAATAGGAAAAGCTCAGAGCTGAAATTCATCAAAATGCTGGTAGTTAATTTGCCTTGAAAATCACGGCTCCCTGGAAGATGACAGCTCGGTATTTTCTATAGATGTCTACATGAACACTTTAGTCTGTCTTTTAAGTAGGGAATTTCCTAGAGCTGAAGTTAGCAGAGCCAAAAGTCTGATCATGATCCTTGACTGTATTTGAATTGGTGGCTTTTTCCCATGAAACACAAAAGAAGCTTGAACCAGGGCTTTGGTCCTTGTGTCACCTCTATATCAAAGGCAGCCTGCAGCAAAGCGCAGCTCAGCTGCTCAAGTGCAGGGACTGGCATGGCTGATGGAAAGTAATAGGAGAAGTGTCAGGGAAGACTGTAGGTAGCAGAAGTGATAATGAGATGGAGTGCGACAGAGCCCCCAGCATGATTAAATGTGGAAGTGTCTTTCTTCTCTAATTAGACATTTATATCATTCATTTTCCAACCTTAAACATCCAAGGAGAGTGCTACGCTTGCCAATTTTTCTATTGACCTTTCACAGCTTCGCAAAGCAAAAACTCCTCTGCTGGGGGGAAAGGGGTGCAGATTCAGCATTCCTTCCCCAAATCAAGCACCAGTCAGCCAGTCCTTGAGCAAGGCCCACTGCTTATGTGCAGAGACTGGGAGGGAAAGATAGTCTGTTGAATGTTTGCATATTAAATCCAAAGAATGTGTTCCATATGCTACAGGCAGCTCCAGATCACAGAAGCATTTTTCTGTGGTTTCTGAATGGAACAGCTTGTATCTTCCTGCTGCTTTACAGCCATAAAGAAGAAATAAATGCTCAAGTTTTTGTGCTAGGTTATAGGCAAATGCTTAGTGTTTCCCATCTTGTGACTGTAAACATTCATTCTGCCTTCCCTTTCTCTCTATCTGGCTTTTGTAAAATTTCAAATATTTCTGAAGACACAATGATTTTTAAGAATGTGTATATTTCTATTCAACCTTTTTCTAATCCTTGCTCTTCAAGAAATGCCAGTTGCTGTAATTAGATGTGACATTGGAGACTTAGCGTCATATTGCAGAAGAGACACAGGCCAAAGGAAACAGACGTCTTTGTTCCAGGGCTGCCTCTATACTCACTAGTTGTTTGGCCTCAAACAAACCACCTCAAGTCTCTGGGCTTTGGTTTTCTAGTATCTAAAATGAGGTGGGGAGAAGGGAGAGTGGGCCATCTCAGGTAGCAAACATGTCAAAAGTAGGCTTCTTCTAGCAATTATTGACTTATTCACGTCCTCCAGCCATTTACGTACACTCCATAACACACACACACACACACACACACAAACACTCTTTAAGAAATTTTAAAATTTTGACACAGAGTCTTGCTTTATCACCCAGACTGGAGTGCAGTGGTGCGATCATAGCTTACTTCAGCCTTGAACTCCTGGGCTCAAGTGATCCTCTTCCTTCAGCTTCCCTAATAGCTAGGACTATAGGTATACATCCTAGCTAATGCACAGCTAATTTGTTTTAAATATTTTTATGGAGATGAGGTCTCACTACGTTTCCCATGCTGGTTTAAAACTCCTGGGCTCAAGTGATCCTCCCACCTCAGCTTCACAAAGTGCTGGGATTATAGGCATGAGCCACCATACCCATCCTAAAATTAAGAATTATTATTTTTGTTCACATTTGAAAATAGTTGAATTTTATTAAGAATATTTTAATATTTTTTAGGTACTTTTGATTTTTTCTAATTTTACTTATTTACATTTTATAATATTTATCACTTAAAAACACAAACTTTAAGAAAAAAGAAACAACATAATCTGCTGTTAGATGCTTTAGTACCATGTATGCTGAAATATCTTCCTTCCCCAAAACAGTTTTAAATATTTGAATCAGGTGCTATAATTTAAGAACTAGTCTAATTGAATCCCTAAAAAGTTAGAGTCTTCATAACGCCGGGCGCGGTGGCTCATGCCTGTAATCCCAGCACTTTGGGAGGCCAAGGCGGGCGGATCGCCTGAGGTCGGGAGTTCAAGACCAGCCTGGCCAGCATGGTGAAACACAGTCTCTAATAAAAATACAAAAATTAGCCGGGCGTGGTGGCAGGCGCCTGTAATCCCAGCTACTCAGGAAGCTGAGGCAGGAGAATCGCTTGAAGCCGGGAGGCGGAGATTGCAGTGAGCTGAGATCATGCCATTGTACTTCAGCCTGGGCAACAGAGTGAGACTCTGTCTCAAAAAAAAAAAAAAAAAGAGTCTTCATGAAACAAAGCAGGAACCATAAAACAGCATAAGAAAATGGATACAATAACCGTCAGAGTAGGAGAAAATATGGAGTTTATGTATTTTATGATACAATTAAAAAATAAATTATGCAAAGACAACGAGTCTTTCTGAATAAAACTGTAAGGTAATAAAATATGCCTATGGTTTTCAAACTGTTTTTTTTTTAATTTTTTAATTCCATAGGTTATTGGGGAACAGGTGTTGTTTAGTTACATGTGTAAGTTCTTTGGTGGTGGTTTGTGAGATTTTGGTGCACCCATCACCCGAGCAGTATACACTGCACCCAATTTGTGGTGTTCTTATCCCTCGCCCCCTTTCCCCCTTAGTCCCCAAAGACCACTGTGTCTTTCTTATGCCTTTGCATCCTCATAGCTTAGCTCCCACATGTGAGTGACAACATACAATGTTTGGTTTTCCATTCCTGAGTTACTTCATTTAGCATAATAGCTTCCAATCTCATTCAGGTCGCTGCAAATGCCATTAAGTCATTCCTTTTTATGGCTGAGTAGTATTCCATCATATATATATATCTGTATATCGCAGTTTCCTTATCCACTCATTAATTGATGGGCACTTGGGTTGGTTCCACGTTTTTGCAATTGCAAATTGTGCTGCTATAAACATGCCTGTGCACGTATCTTTTTCATATAGTGACTTCTTTTTGTCTGGGTAGATACCCAGTAGTGGGATTGCTAGATCAAATGGTAGTTCTGCTTTTAGTTTTTTGAGGAATCTCCACACTGTTTTCCATAGTGGTTGTACTAGTTTACGTTCCCAGCAGCAGTGTAGAAGTGTTCCCTCTTCATCGCATCCACACCAACATCTATTGTTTTTGATTTTTTTTATTATGGCCATTCTTGCAGGAGTAAGCTGGTATTGCATTGTGGTTTTGACTTGCATTTCCCTGATCATTATAGATGTTGAGGATTTTTTCATATATTTGTTGGCCATTTGTATATCTTCTTTTGAGAATTGTCTATCCATGTCCTTAGCCCACTTTTTGATGGGATTCTTTGTTTTTTTTTCCTTGCTAATTCATTTGAGCTCGTTGTAGATTCTGGACATTACTCCTTTGTCAGAGGTATAGATTGTGAAGATATTCTCCCACTCTGTGGGTTGTCTGTTTACTCTTCTGACTGCTCCTTTAGCTGTGCAAAAGCTTTTTAGTTTAATGAAGTCTCAGCTATTTATCTTTGTTCTTATTGCATTTGCTTTTGGGTTCTTGGTCATGAAATCCTTGCCCAAGCCAGTGTCTAGAAGGGGTTTTTCAATGTTGTCTTCTAGAATTTTTATAGATTCAGGTCTTAGACTTAAGTCCTTGATACCAATTCTTCTTTGAAAGTCTGGTAGAATTCTACTGTGAATCTATCTTGTCTTGGATTTTTTTTGTTGGTAATTTTTTAATCACCATTTCAATCTCACTGCTTGTTATTGGTCTGTTCAGAATATCTAACTCATCCTGATTTAAGCTAGGAAGCTTGTATCTTTCTAAGAATTTAACTATCTCCTCTAGGTTTTCTAGTTTATGTGCATAAAAGTGTTCATAGTAGCCTTGGATAATCTTTGTATTTCTGTGGTGTCCGCTGTAATGTCTCCCATTTTGTTTCTAATTGAGCTTATTTGGATTTTGTCTCTATTCTTGGTTAATCTTGCTAATGGTCTATCAATTTCATTTACTTTTCAAAGAACTAGCTTTTTGTTTCACTTATCTTTTGTATTGTTTTTGTTTCCATTTCATTTATTTCTGCTCTGATCTTTGTTATTTCCTTTCTTCTGCTGGGTTTGGGTTTGGTTTGTTCTTGTTTCTGTAGTTCCTTGAGGTGTGACCTTAGATTGTTTGTGCTCCTTCAGACTTTTTGATGTAGGCATTTAGGGCCATGAACTTTCCTCTTAAGAATTCCTTATTAAGAATTCCTCTTGGAGAATTTTTAAATTTCCATTTTGATTTTGTTTTTGACCCACTGATCATTCAGGAGCAGGTTATTTAATTTCCATATATTTACATGGTTGTGAATGTTCCGTTTGGAGTTGATTTCCAGCTTTATTCCACTGTTGTCTGACACAGTGCTTGATATAATTTCAATATTCTTGAATTTACTGAGGCTGGTTTTGTGGTCTATCATATGGTTTGTCTTGGAGAAAGTTCCATGTGCTGTTTAATAGAAGGTATATTCTGCAGTTGTTGGATAGAATGTTCTGTAAATATCTGTTAAGTCCATTTGTTCCAGGGTATACTTTAAATCCATTTTCTTTGTTGACTTTCTGTCTTGATGACCTGTCTAGTGCTTTCAGTGGAGTACTGAAGTCCCCCGCTAGTATTGTGTTGCTGTCTATCTCATTTCTTAGGTCTATTAGTAATTGTTTGATAAATTTGAGAGCTCCAGTATTAAGTGCATATATATTTAGGATTGTGATATTTTGCTGTTGGACAAGTCCTTTTATCATTGTATAATGACCTTCTTTGTCCTTTTTAACTGTTGTTGCTTTAAAGTTTGTTTTGTCTGATATAAGAATAACTACTTCTGCTCTCCTGGCTAACATGGTGAAACCCCATCTCTACTAAAAATACAAAAAATTAGCTGGGCGTGGTGGCGGGCACCTGTAGTCCCAGCTACTCAGGAGACTGAGGCAGGAGAATGGC
Organism: Homo sapiens; assembly: GCF_000001405.40. Taxonomy (NCBI): domain Eukaryota; kingdom Metazoa; phylum Chordata; class Mammalia; order Primates; family Hominidae; genus Homo; species Homo sapiens. Next base: position 114,863,770 of record NC_000005.10, read on the forward strand.
GTGGACCCGGGAAGTGGAGCTTGCAGTGAGCCGAGATGGCACCACTGCACTCCAGCCTGAGGGACAGAGCGAGACTACATCTCAAAAAAAAAAAAAAAAAAAAAAAAGAATAACTACCCCTGCTCAATTTTGGTGTTCCTTTGCATGGAATATCTTTTTCCATCCCTTTACCTTAAGTTTATGTGAGTCCTTATGTGTTAGTTGTGTCTCTTGAAGGCAACAGATAAATGGTTGGTGAATTCTTATCCATTTAGTAATTAGGTATCTTTTATGTGGAGCAGTTGACTCATTTACATTCAATGTTAGTATTGATTTGTGAAGTACCATTTCATTCATAATGCTATTTTTGCCTGTATACCTTGTTTTTTTTAAAATTGTATTTGTGTTTTCTAGGTCCTGTGAGATTTATGCTTTAAAGAAGTTCTGTTTTGATGTGTTTCTGGGATTTAGAGTTTCTTTGTTTGTTTTGTTTTGTTTTGTTTTGAGACGGAGTCTCGCTCTGTCACTGAGGCTGGAGTGCAGTGGCGTGATATTGGCTCACTACAAGCTCCGCCTTCCGGGTTCATGCCATTCTCCTGCCTCAGCCTCCCAAGTAGCTGGGACTGCAGGCGCCTGCCACCATGCCCGGCTAGTTTTTTGTCTTTTTAGTAGAGATGGGGTTTCACCATGTTAGCCAGGATGGTCCCAATCTCCTGACCTTGTGATCCGCCCACCTCAGCCTCCGAAAGTGCTGGAATTGCAGGTGTGAGCCATCGTGCCTGGCCTTAGAGTTTCTTTTAGCAGTTCTTGTAGTGCTGGCATGATAGTGGCAAATTCTTTCAGTGTTTGTTTGTCTGAAAAATACTATCTTTCCTTCACTTCTGAAGCTTAGTTTTTTTGGGTACAAAATTCTGGACGGATAATTGTTGTTTTGGAGGAGGCTAAAGATAGGACCCCAATCCCTTCTAGCTTATAGGGATTCATTCAATATTCATTGAATATTTCTCCCTTCACTTCTTGTGTCCTTTTCTGGGTTTCTTTACATTGGGCTTCGCCTTTCCCTGGTGCCTCCCTAATTAGCTTGATAACTAACCTTCTGAATTCTTTTTCAGGTAGATCAGGGATTTATTCTCAGTTTGGGTTGACTGCTGAAAACCTAATGTAATTTTTGGGAGCTGTCAAAGAACCTAGTTTTGTCATATTACCAGAGCTGGTTTTCTGGTTTCTTCTCATTTGGGTAGGCTCTGTCAGAGGAAGGGTCTAGGGCTCAAGGCTGCTGTTCAGTTCCTTCTGTCACACAGGGTGTTTCCTTGATGTAGTATTCTCCCCCTTTTCCTAGGCATGTGGCTTCCTGAAAGCCAAGCTGTAGTAATTGTTCTCTCTCTTCTGGGTCTAGCCAACAAGCAAATCATCCAGGCTCTGAGCTGGTACTGGGGTTGTCTGCACAGAGTCCTTTGATGTAAACCATCTGTGGGTCTCTCAGCCATGGATACTAGCATCTGCTCCAGTGGAGTTGGCAGGGGAGTGAAATGGACTCTGTGAGGGTCCTTAGCTTTGGTTGATTAACACACTATTTTTGTGCTGGTTGGCCTCCTGCTGGGAGATGGCACTTTCAAGAAAGCATCAGCTGTGGTAGTATGGGGAGGAACAGGTGGTGGGTGGGGCCCTAGAACTCCTAAGAGTATATGCCCTTTGAGTTACCAGGGTGAGTAGAGGATGACCATTAGGTGGGGGCAGGGCTAGGCATGTCTGAGCTTACACTCTACTTGGGCGGGCCTTGCTGTGGCTGCTGTGGGGGATGGGGGTGTGGGTCTCAGGTCAATGGAGTTATGTTCCTAGGAGGCTTATGGCTGCCTTTGCTGTGTCATGCAGGTTGTAAGGGAAATGGGGGAAAGCCAGCAGTCACCATCCTCACCCAGCTTTCACACAACCCAAAGGGCCGGTCTCCCTTCCACCTTGCTCCCCTCAACAGCACCCTGTTTCCAGGCAGTGGGTGAACAGGGCTGAGAACCTGCCCCAGGCTACCCACCTCCCAGCTTCAAAAATAAGTAGGGCTTTCCTTCTTCCCCGACGTGTGGAGTCTGCACACCAGATTCATGCCGTTTCCCAAGTTCTGCCCAAGAGACTTCTCAATCAGTTCAAATTGCTACAAATTTCAATTGGAGGTTTTCTTCTCCCTGTGGCATTTTCTCAGTGCCTCCAGCAGCCCTCCTCAAGGATGCCTGTGATGGGAGGCAGAAATGTCTTAGTAGGGAATCCAGTGAGCCCACAGGGATTTTCCTGCTGCTTCCTCTACTGCTGTATTTCACTTGGCTCTCTAAATTGACTCAGCTTCAGGTAAGGTCAGAATCTTCTCCTTTAATTTAGACCTTCAGGTTCCCCAGTGGGGGTGTATGTTTTGGTGAAGATAATCTACTCTTCCCACTTCCACAGTTTGGACACTCACAGTATTTGGGGTGTCTCCTGGGACCTCCAGGAGCAATCTGCTTCCTTCAGAGAATGTGTGGGTTCTCTTGAGGAATAATTTTCAAATAAAGACAGGGAGATGCTCAATAGAAGGTCCTCCTAAAGGTCTAGAATTGATCATCTTGAAAATAATGATCCATTATTAATTAAAGCCTATCAATTAAATAACCTTAAAATGTTGTCATTTAAAAAACAAAAACTACTGTCCATCCATCCAAGGTGGCTGATGAGAAGCAGCTGCATTTCTCAGCACTCACGGAGAGAAATGGAAAGGGGTAAGGGAATTTAACACCCTCAACTGAAATATGCAGGTTTTCACATTGAGACTGACTAGGCAAACAACTCAATGCACGGAGAATGAAGCAAAGTTAGCAGTGGTGATGGCCCACCTGGGAGCAGCACAGAGCCAAAGAAACCCCCACCCCCAAACAAGGGAAGCAGTGAGTGATAGTGCAAACCCTACCTTGGGCAACCACACTTCTCCCATGGATCTTTGCAACCTATGGATCAGGAGATCCCCTTGTGAGTCCATGCCACCAGGGCCTTGGGTCAGATACATAAAGCTGTGTGGAGTCTTGTCAAAGCAGCCACTCAGGCACACACAGAGACCCAGGAGGTTTACATACTCTGGTCCCATGATCTCTGGCAAGGCAAGAAACCCATCCATTCATATCCTGAGGAAGGGACCTGAATCCAGGGAGCAAAACAGCATCCTTCTGCAGCCCCCATTTTCATGGCATCTCACAAGTTAAGATCCACTGGCTTGTAATTCCAGCCAGCAAATGGCAACAGGCTGGAATCTGTCTGAGATGGATCCAAGTTCCCAGGCAGTGGGGCTGCTGCCATCTCTGCAGCTCAGTAGACTCAGCTGTTCCAGTCTGCTGGCTTTAAAGAATACAAACAATTCAGATGAGGAAGGGTCTCCCACTAGACTGCTTCTTTAAGCAGGACCCTGATCCATTCCTCCTCATTGGGCAGGACCTCCTTGTGGGGACTTCAGCCACTCCAGCAAGGGTTCTATAGACAGAGCTCTGAACTATTCCTGGGACAGAGCTCCTGAAGGGAAGGTCAGCCACCATCTCTGTGGCTCAGTAGAGTCAGCTGTTACAGCCTTCTGGCTTTGGAGAATACAAACAGTCTAGATGAAGAAAGGTTGTCCCCCAACATAGCACACCTGCTCTACCAAAAAGCAACCAGACTACTTATTTAAGCAGGTCTCTGATACCATTCCTCCTGACTGGATGAGACCTCTGAACAGCAGTCTCCAGCCACCTTGTACAGGTATGTTTAGGCCAGCAACTTGTCAGTACACCCCTGGGATGGAGCTTCCAGAGGAATAAGCTGGCTGCCATCTTTGCTGTTTCACAGTATTTACTAGTGATACCTCAAGGTATGGGAAAAACTGAGGCAACTACTTTGGGGGTCTGGAGCAGACCCCCAATAATCACAGCAACCCTACAGTAGAATAGGCTGAAAGTTAAAAGAAAAACAAACAAAAAGAAAACAAGAACAACACCAACAAAACAGACACCACAAAGACCTCATTCAAAGGTCAGCAATCTCAAAGATCAAAGGTAGATAAGCCCGCAAATATGAGAAAAAGTCAACCCCAAAATACTGAAAACTGAAAAAGCCAGAGTGCTTCTTCTCCTCCAAATGACCACAACACCTCTCCAGCAAGGGCACAGAACTGGACTGAGGCTGAGATGGCTGAATTGATAGAAGTAGGCTTCAGAAGGTGGCGATAAAGAACTTTGCTGAGCTAAAGGAACATGTTGTAACCCAATGCAAATAAGAGTTATGGTAAAACAATACAGAAGCTGATAGCCAGAACAGCCAGCTTAGAGTGGAACATAACTAATCCAATGGAGCTGAAAAACACAACATGATAACTTCACAATGCAATCACAAGTATCAATAGCAGAACAGACCAAGCAGATGAAAGAATCTCAGAGCTTAAAGACTATCTTTCTGAAATAAGACAGGAAGACAAGAATGGAGAAAAAAGAATGAAAAGAAAATGAACAAAACCTCCAAGAAATATGGTATTATGTAAAAAGACCAAATTTACAACTAATTAGAGTACCTGAAAAAGATGAGGAGAATGGAACCAAGTTGGAAAACATACTTTAGGACATCATTCAGGAGAACTTCCCCAACCTAGCAAGAGAGGCCAACATTCAAATTCAGGGAACGCAGAGAATGCCAGTAAGATACCCCATGAGAAGATGAACCCCAAGACACATAATCATCAGACTGTCCAATGTCAAAATGGAAAAAAAAAAATGGTAAGGGCAGCCAGAGAAAGGCCAGGTTACCTACAAAGGGAAATACATCAGACTAACAGCAGAACTCTCAGTGGAAACCCTACAAGTCAGAAAAGATTGAGGGCCAATATTAAGCATTCTTAATTTCCAACCCAGAATTTCATATCTGGTGAAACTAAGCTACAAGAGTAATATAGAAATAAGATCCTTTTCAGACAAGCAATTGCGAAGGGAATTCATCACCACCAGGCCAGCCTTGCAAGAGCTCCTGAAGGAAGCATTAAATATGGAAAGGAAAAACAATTACCGGCCACAGCAAAAATACACTGAAGTACACAGACTAGTGACACCATGAAACAACCACATAAACAAGTCTGCAAAATAACCAGCTAGCATCATGATGACAGGATCAAACATACACATAACAATACTAACCTTAAGTGCAAATGGGCTAAATGCCCCAATTAAAAGACACAGAATGGCAAACTGGATAAAAAGCCAAGACCTGTCAGTATGCTGTGTTCAAGAGACCCATCTCACATGGAAAGACACAAAAAGGCTCAAAATAAAGGGATGGATAAAAATTTACCAAGCAAATGGAAAAAGAAAGCAGGGGTTACAACCCTAGTTACTAACAAAACAGACTTTAAACCAACAAGGATCAAAAATGAAAAAAGGGCATTACGTAATGGTAAAGAGTTCAGTTCAACATGAAGAGCTAACTATCCTAAATATATATGTATCCAATACAGGAGCACCCAGATTCATAAAGCAAGTACTTAGAGACCAAAAAAGAGACACAGACTTCCACACAATAATAGTGGGAGATTTTAACACCCCACTGACAATATTAGACAGATTATTGGGACAGAAAATTAACAAAGATATTCAGGACTGGAACTCAGCACTGGATCAAGCAGACCTGATAGACATTTACAGAACTCTCCACCCAAAAGCAACAGAATATACATTCTTCCTATTGCTACACAGCATTTACTCCAACATTGGTCACATGATTGAAAGTAAAACACTCAGCAAATGCAAAAAACTGAAATTATAGCAAACAGTCTCTCAGACCACAACATCATCAAATTAGAACTCAAGATTAAGAAATTTGCTCAAAACCACACAACTACATGGAAATTGAACAACCTACTCCTGAATGACTCTTGGGTAAATAATGAAATTAATGCAGAAATCAAGAAGTCATTTGAAACTAATGAGAACAAAGAGACAACGTAGCAGAATCTCTGGGATGCAGCTAAAGCAGTGTTAAGAGGTAAATTTATAGCACTAAATGCCCACATCAAAAAGCTAAGAAGATCTCAAGTTAACAAACCTAACATCCCAACTGAAAGAAGTAAAGAAACAAGAGCAAAAAAATCTCAAACCTAGAGGAAGACAAGAAATAAGTAAAATCAGAGTTGAACTGAAGGAGATTGAGATACAAAATACCACTCAAAAGATCCACGAATCCAGAGTCTGGTTTTTTGAATAAAATAAAATAGACCACTAGCTAAACTTATAAAGAAGAAAAGAGAGAGAAGAATCAATAAACAGAATCAGAAATGATAAGGGTGATATCACCACTGACCCCACAGAAATATAAACAACCATCAGAGAATATTATTAAACATCTCTATGTGCATAAACAAGAAAATCTAGCAGAAATTGATAAATCCCTGAACACATACACCCTTCCAAGACTGAACAAGGAAGAAATTGAATCCCTGAATTGACCAATAACAAGTTCTGAAATTGAGGCAATAATAAATAGCCCATCAACCAAAAAAGCCCAGGACCCAATGGATTCACAGTTGAACTCTAACAGAGCTACAAAGAAGAACTGGTACCATTTCTATTGAAACTATCACAAAAAATCACAAAGGACAGATTCCTCCCTAACTCATTCTATGAGGCTAGCATCATCCTGATACCAAAATCTGGCAGAAATGCAACAACAACAAAAAAACTTCAGGTCAGTATACTTGATGAACATTGATGAAAATAATCCTCAATGAAACACTAGCAAACCAAATGCAGCAGCACATCAAAAGGCTTATCCACTATGATCAAGTTGGCTTCATCCCTGGGTTGCAAGGTTGGTTCAACATATGGAAATCAATAAATGTGGTTAATCACAGTAACAGAACTAGAGATAAAAACTACATGTTTATCTCAATAGATGCAGAAAAGGCCTTCAATAAAATATAATATCCCTTCATGTTCACTCTCAATAAACTAGGTATTGTAGAAACATACCTCAAAATTATAAGAGCCATATATTAAAAACCTACAGCCAATATCATACTGAATGGGCGAAAGCTTCAAGCATTCCCCTTGAAAACCAGCACAAGACAACCATGTCCTCTCTTATCACTCCTATTCAACGTAGTATTAAAACTTCTGGCCAGGGCAATCAGGCAAGAGAAAGAAATAAAGGATATTCAAATAGGAAGAGAGGAAGACAAATTATCTTTGTTTGTAGATGACATGTTGACGTGATCCTATAACTAGAAAACTTCATCATCTCAGCCCAAAAGCTTCTTAAGCTGATAAGTAACTTCAGCGAAGTCTCAGGATACAAAATTAATGGGCAAAAATCACTGGCATTCCTATACACCAACAACAGACAAGCAGAGAGCCAAATCATCAATGAACTCCCATTCACGATTGCTACAAAAAGAATAAAATACTTAGGAATATGGCTAACAAGAAAAGTGAAAGACCTCTTCAAGTAGAACTACAAACCACTGCTCAAAGAAATCAGAGAGGACACAGAGAAACACTTCATGCTCATGGATAGGAAGAATCAATATCATGAAAATGGCCATACTGCCCAAAGTAATTTCAATGCTATTCCCGTTAAACTACCATTGACATTCTCCACAGAATTATCAAAAACTATTTTAAAATTCATATGAAACCAAAAAAAAGAGCCCAAATAGCCAAACAATTCTAAGCAAAAAGAACAATGCTAGAGGCATTACGCTCCCCAACTTCAAACGGTACTACAGGACTACAGTAACGAAAACAGCATGGCACTGGTACAAGAACAGACACATAGACCAATGGAACAGAACAGAGAGTTCAGAAATAAAACTGTACATGTACAACCATCTGATCTTCCACAAACCTTACCAAAAAAAGCAATGGGGAAAGGACTCCTTTTTTAATAAATGGTGCTGGAAGAGCTGGCTAGCCATATACAGAAAATTGAAATGTACCCATTCCTTACACCATATACAAAAATTAACCCAAGATAGATTAAAGACTTAAATGTAAAACCCAAAACTATAAAAACCCTAGAAGAAAATCTAGGCAATACCATTCAGGAAATAGGCATGGGAAAATATTTCATGATGGGAGATGACAAAAACAACTGCAACAAAAGCAAAAATTGACAAATGGGATCTAATTAAACTAAAGAGTTTCTGTACAGTGAAAGAAACTCCATTATAGTGAATGGACAGCCTACAGAATGGAAGAAAACTTTTGCAGTGTATCCATCTGACAAAGTTCTAGCATCCAGAGTACAAGGAACTTAAACAAATTTACAGGAAAAAAAAACAAACAAACAACCCCATAAAAAAGGGTGCAAAAGACATGAACAGACACTTCTTAAAAGAGGATATGCATTTGCCAACAAACACCAAAAAAAGAAGCTCAACATCATTGATCCTTAAAGCAATGCAAATCAAAACCACAATGAGGTATCATCTCACACCAGTCAGAATGCCTGTTACTAAAAAGTCAAAAACAGATGCTGGCATGATGTGGAGAATAAAAAATGCTTTTTGTGGGAGTGAAAATTCATCTAACCATTGAGACAATGAATGTCTCCTCAAAGACTTAGACCCAGCAATTCCATTACTGGGTATATACCCAAAGGAATATACACCATTCTATTATAAAGATACAGCCATGCATATGTTCATTACAGCACTATTCACAACAGCAAAGACATGCAATCAACCTAAATGCTCATCAATGATAGACAGAATAAGAAAATATGGTACATATACACCATGGAATACTATGCAGCCATAAAAGGAATGAGATCATGTCCTTTGCAGGGACATGGCTGGAGTTAGAAGCCATTACCCTCAGCAATCTAACACAGGAACAGAAAACCAAACACCACATGTTCTCACTTATAAATGGGAGCTGAATGATGAGAACACATGGACACATAGAGGGGAACAACACACACTGTGGCCTGTCACTGGGAGGAGAAAGAGCATCAATAGTAATAGCAAATGGATGCTGGACTTAGTATCTAGATGATGGGGTGGTCTGTGCAGCAAAGCACCATGGCACACATTTACCTATGTAACAAACCCCCACATGTACCCCTGAACTAATAATAAAAGTTGAAGGGGAAAAAAGAGAGATAAAAACATACTGTCTGATCTCCCCTGCTCTCTGACTTGCTCTTCCCATAGCCTTTCTCCCTCTCAGTAAATGGCAACTCCATTCTACTAACTGCTCATACCAAAACCTGGGAATCACCTTTGATTCCTGTCTCCCACTTCATGTTTCATTCATCAGCAAGTCCTGTTCACTTTACCTTGAAATATGCGTTGACACAGAACACCTCTACCTTGGTCTCCTAAGTATTTCATTTTCACCACCACCTCCCCAGGTCTGTTATTAATGACCAGAATAACTCTTTTGGGAAGTAAGACAGATTACATTTCACTTATGGTTCAAAGATTTTCTTCTGGCTCCATATTAAACTTTGTTAAACCTAAGCCCTCACATGGCCTAACAGAGCTTGCTTGATCTGAATTGACCCCCACCTCTCTGACTTCTACTACTACTTTCCCCCATTCCTTCTGCTTCAGCTGTACCAGCCTCTTTTCTATTCCTGCAACATACCCGCTGCACACTCAACTAAGGGCCTTTGCCCAGAACACTGTTTCAGGGGTTGCTTTCTTACTCTCTTCAAGTGTCTCATCAAATAGTGAGTGAGAATTTCCTTGACCTTGACACTCCTCCTTCCCTTGACACTCCAAACCTCTTTATTCTGTCTTATCTCACTTCATAGCTTTTAGTGCCACATGACATACATTTACTTGTTTATTTATTTATACTTTCTGATTTCTTCCCTAAATTGACCCCCATAGAATGTAAGATCCATGGTGGCAGGTGCTTTATCTTTGTTTTCTGATGATCCTTATGGCTAGGACAGCACCTACTGCATAGTAAGAGCTCAATAAACATGGTAAAATGAACAAAAGCCTTCAGCACATCATTAATGAACATCTATTCTGGATGACTAGTGGCTGGAATAGATAGAGTAGTGAAGGAGGCCAACATGGGCCATGTCTGATATAGCTTGCATTTTAGGGGAAGAAAAATCTACTGAATGTATTATCATTTATTTATTTTTAAATTTATGTCAGATAATCTCAGATAATGATAAAGGATAATGAAATAAAAAAGGGCTAAAGATACAGATGAAAGACTACTTTTAATAGGGCAGTCAGAAAAGACCTCTCAGGGGAAATAATTTAAGCTGAGACCTGAATGATAAGAATCAGGCAGCCAGGAATGGAAAAGAATTCCAGGCAGAGAAAACAGCAATGCAAAGGCCTTGAGACAGTGACACAGGTTGGTGTGTTGCAAGAACAAACAGAACCTCAGTGTGGATGGCAGGAAAAGCAGGGCAGGACCTGCTCACAGAGGTCCTAACAAACACCACATTTTATTTTAAATCTATGTGAAGCTATTGTAGGGATTTAAGCAGGAGGGTGATGGAGTCCAATTTACATTTTTAAGAGATTACTTGCACTTCTCCATGGAGAATAGACTTCTTGTGAGGCAAGAGTAGAACCAGTTAGAAGGTTGTCTTGCAGTTGTCTAGGGAGAGATGACTGTGCCTTAAAACAGAGAGAGTGATAAACTGTCAAGAAGCTAAAAATAAAAGCTTTTTAAGAAAATATTTATTTTCCTATTTTTGGGAAATAAAGGTGAAGTGAGGCCACATGTCTATAGTCCAATCAGAAACATAGAGTGTAGAGATGAAAAGAAACCTTAGAATAATTTTTTGGATTTTCTCACCTCATATAGAAAGTCCCTCTGCTACATCTTTGAGATATGGCCATTGAACCCTGCTGAAAATCCTCAGTCTTGAACAACTGACCACACTCCACCTCCTCTACCACTATGAGAAAGGAGGCTTATTGACAGGGATATGAGTTTCCATACATGAAAAGAATATGGGCATTATTATCCCAGTTTATAAAATAAGGAAACCCCTGCAGAAGTTAAAATGGTTCTCAAGACAGTATTGTAAATGAGTAGCAGAGGAAGGACTAGAACTAGTTCTTTGAATTCCCAGTCCAATAGTAGGCAAAGGCTAGTGATAATCCATCTCTTGAATTAATTTTTCCTAATAACTAAGGGCATTCCTGCCTAATAAAATGTATTTTATAAAATTACTCTGCACACTCCACTCCTGCTGAGCTTCAAATCTTCTCTTCTCAGGAAAATCCAATGCAGATGAACCTGAAAGTGACAAGCAGGAGGTCACTGGCAGGTGTCCCTTTCTTCTGACCATATATGCCATTTGGGACTCAGCAGTCTGGTATGCCTAGTCCACCAAGAACTACTGGAAGAGGGAAAAACAATCAAAGTTGAACTGATAGAACTTTGTACAGTCCCCTGAAAGAAGGGTGGCAGCCCAAGGTTGGATGTCTGAGGAATCTCTAAAAAGCAAATGAGGCTGAGAGACCTGCATGCAGTAAATTCACTCAACAAGGAAGTACAAACATTTTGGTAGAAATGATGCCTGCTAATAATCAGCACTACAAACTTCACAATGACTTATAAAAGCTAAGAAACTTTTTAAAGAGGAATGTTGTAAAACTGGAAAGAGCCTGCTATTTAAAGTCTGGAGATCCAGATTCTTTTCCAGGCTTGAATTCTACTAGGCTTCTGTTGGAGCAGGGAGGGGTGAATGTGCAGGGGTTGGTATTGTGGGGCGGGGGGCAGTTCAGATTAATGGTTTACTCCCTGGGGTTTCTGGAAGAATTCTCTAAAGATGGCTTTACCACTGACTTCTCTCTTTTAAACAGTTAAGTAAAAACCACATATTTATCTGCAATTTATATGACTAAAAGGGTAAATATACATCAGCAATTCTGATGGAAATTGTATATGTTTTTAGTTAAATGGAAAAAAATAATTATTTCTTAATAAAACAAGAAGAAATCTTTCTAAAAGATATCAGACTGAATTAGGATTGCCTTCGCAAACAAAGCAAAGGGAAAAATAAAAATGTTTATGCTTAACCACATTCAAACATCAATGACTGGAGCAGCCTTTTTGGGGCAATGTAGTAGAGAGTGACATTGGTTTCCATTGTCACCTATTTGTGGTAAATCTGCGATGTGAAAATTTAGGCCCTGGCTGGCAAGATGGCCGAATAGGAACAGCTCCAGTCTGCAAATCCCAGCGAGATCAACATAAAAGGCAGGTGATTTCTGCATTTCCAGCTGAGGTACCCAGTTCATCTCACTGGGACTGGTTGGACAGTGGGTGCAGCCCAGAGAAAGTGAGCCAAAGCAGGGTGGGGCACAATCTCACCCAGGAAGCCCAAGGGGTTGAGGGATTGCCCTCCCCTAGCCAAAGGAAGCCGTGAGAGACTGTGTACCACTGTACTGGGAAGAATAGTGCACTCCAGCCCAGATACTGCACTTTTTCTGTGGTCTTTGCAACCAGCAGACCAGGAGATTCCCTCTGGTGCCTATGCCACCAGGGCCCTGGATTTCAAGCACAAAACTGGGTGGCCATTTGGGCAGACACCAAACTAGCTGCAGGAGTTTTCTTTTTTCTTTTTTTTCCCCTTACCCCAGTGGCACCTGGAATGCCAGCAAGACAGAACCATTCACTGCCATAGAAAGGGGGCTGAAGCCAGGGAGCCAAGTGGTCTGGCTTGGTAGGTCCCACCCCCATGGAACCCAGCAAGCTAAGATCACTGGCTTGAAATTCTCACTGCCAGCACAGTAGTCTGAGCTCAACCTGGGATGCTCAAGCTTGGTGAGGGGAGGGGCATCTGCCATTGCTGAGGATTGACTAGGCAGTTTACCCATCACAGTGTAAACAAAGCCCCCAGGAAGTCTGAACTGGGTGAAGCCCACTGCAGCTCAACAAGGCCACTGCAGCCAGACTGCGTTTCTAGAGTTCTCCTCTCTGGGCAGGGCATCTATGAAAAAAAGGCAGCAACCCCAGTAAGGGACTTATAGATAAAACTCCCATCTCCCTGGGACAGAGCACCTGGGGGAAGGGGTGGCTGTGGGCGCAGCATCAGCAGACTTAAGCATCCCTGCCTGACACTCTGAAAACAGCAGTGGATCTCCCAGCACAGTGTTCAAGCTCTGATAAGGGAGAGACTGCCTCCTCAAGTGGCTCCCTGACCCATATGTGTCCTGACTGGGAGACACCTCCCAGTAGGGGCTGACAGACACTTCAAATGTGCCTGTCAGCTCTGGCTGGGATCTGGCAGGTGCCCCTCTGGGACAAAGCTTCCAGGGGAAGGAACAGACAGCAATCTTGGCTGTTCTGCAGCCTCTGCTGGTGAAACTCAGGCAAACAGCGTCTGGAGTGGACCTCCAGCAAACCCCAGAAGACCTGCAGCAGAGGGGCCTCACTGTTAGAAACAAAACTAACAAACAGAAAGGAATAGTGTCAACATCAACAAAAAGGACATCCACTCAGAGACCCCATCCGAAGGTCATCAACAGCAAAGAACAAAGATAGATAAATCCACAGAGATGGGGAGAAGCCAGCAAAAAAATTTGAAAATTACAAAAACCGGAATGCCTCTTCTCCTCCAAAGGATCGCAACTCCTCACCAGCAAGAGAACAAAACTGGACAGAGAATGAGTTTGACGAATTGACAGAAGTAGGCTTCAGAAGGTGGATAATAACAAACTCCTCCAATCTAAAGGAGCATGTTCTAACCCAATCCAAGGAAGCTAAGAGCCTTGAAAAAAGGTTAGATGAATTGCCAATGGGAATAACCAGTTTCAAGAAGAAAATAAATGACCTGATGGAGCTGACAAACACAGCACGAGAACTTCAAGAAGCATACACAAGTATCAATAGCCATATCAATCCAGTGGAAGAAAGGATATCAGAGACTGAAGATCAACTCAGTGAAATAAAGCAAGAAGACAAGATTAGAGAAAAAAGGTGAAAAGAACAAACAAAGCCTCCAAGAAACATGGGACTACGTGAAAAAAAAAAACAAATTTACATTTGATTGGTGTACCTGAAAGTGATAGGGAGAATGGAACCAAGTTAGAAAACACTCTTCAGGATATTATCCAGGAGAACTTCCCCAACCTAGCAAGGCAGACCAACATTCAAATTCAGAAAATACAGAGAATACCACAAAGATACTCCTCAAGAAGAGCAACCCCAATACACATAATTGTCAGATTCACCAAGGTTGAAATTAAGAAAAAAATATTAAGGGCAGCCAGACAGAAAGGTCAGGTTACCCACCAAGGGAAACCCATCAGACTAACAGCAGATCTCTCAGCAGAAACCCTACAAGCCAGAAGAGAGTGGGGGCCAATATTTGACATACTTCAAGAAAAGAATTTTCAACCCAGAATTTCATATCCAGTGAAACTAAGTTTCATAAGCAAAAGAGAAATAAAATCCTTTACAGACAAGCAAATACTGAGAGATTTTGCCACTACAAGGGCTGCCTTACAAGAGCTCCTAAACAGAGCACAAAACATGGAAAGGAACAACAGGTACCAGGCACTGCAAAAACATACCAAATAGTAAAGACAATCAACACTATGAAGAAATTGCATCAACTAATGAGCAAAATAACCAGCTACCATCAGAATGACAGGATCAATTTCACACATAACAAAATTAACCTTAAATGTAAATGGGCTAAATGCCCCAATTAAAAGACACAGACTGGCAACTTGGATAAAGAGTCAAGACCCATTGGTGTGCTGTATTCAGGACACCCATCTCATGTGCAAAGACACACACAGGCTCAAAATAAAGGGATGGAGGAAGATTTACCAAACAAATGGAAAGCAAAAAAAGGAGGGGTTGCAATCCTAGTCTCTGATAAAACAGAGTTTAAGCCAACAAAGGTCAAAAGAGACAAAGAAGGCCATTAAATAATGGTAAAGGGATCACAGCAACAAGAGAGTTAACTATCCTAAATATATATGCACCCAATAAAGGAGCACCCAGATTCATAAAGCAAGATCTTAGGGACCAACAAAGAGACTTAGACTCCCACACAATAATGGTGGGAGACTTAAACACCCCACTGTACCCACTGTCAATATTAAACAGATCAATGAGACAGAAAATTAACAAAGATATCCAGGACTTGAACTCAGCTCTGGACCAAGTGGACCTATTAGACATATACAGAACTCTCCACCCCCCAAAAAACAGAATATACATTCTTCCCAGCACCACATTGCACTATTCCTAAAATTGACCACATAATTGAAAGTAAAACACTCCTCAGCAAATGCAAAAGAATGGAAATCATAAAAAACAGTCTCTCTGACCACAGTGCAAACAAATTAAAATTCAGGACTAAGAAACTCACTCAAAACCACACAACTACATGGAAACTGAACAACCTGCTCCTGAATGACTACTGGGTAAATAGTGAAATTAAGGCAGAAATAAAAATGTTCTTTGAAATCAATGAGAACAAACAACATACCAGAATCTCCGGGACACATTTAAAGCAGCGTGTAGAGGAAAATTTATAGCACTAAATGCCCACAAGAGAAAGCAGAAAATATCTAAAATCAACACCCTAACATCACAATTAAAAGAACTAGAGAAGCAAGAGCAAACAAACTCAAAAGCAAGCAAAAGGCAAGGAATAACTAAGATCAGAGCAGAACTGAAGGAGATAGAGACCCAAAAAACCCTTCAAAAAATCAATGAATTCAGGAACTCGTTTTTTGAAAAGACCAACAAAATAGATAGATGCTAGCCAGACTAATAAAGAAAAAAAGAGAGAAGAATCAAATAGACACAATAACAAACAATAAAGAGGATATCAACACTGATCCCACAGAAATACAAACTACCGTAAGAATATATAAACATCTCTACACAAATAAACTAGAAAATCTAGAAAAATGGATAAATTCCTGGACATACACAGCCTCCCAACTCTAAACAAGGAAGAAGCTGAATCTCTGAATAGACCAATAAAAAGTTCTCAAATCGAGGCAGCAATTAATAGCCTACCAACCAAAAAAAGTCCAGGAACAGATGGATTCACAGCCAAATTCTACCAGAGGTACTAAGAGGAACTGGTACCATTCCTTCTGAAACTACTCCAAATGACAAAAACAGAGGGAATCCTCCCTAACTCATTTTATGAGGCCAGCATCATCCTGATAGCAAAATCTGGCAGAAACACACACACACACAAATTTCATGCCAATATCCCTGATGAACATCGATGTGAAAATCCTCAATAAAATGCTGGCAAACTGAATCCAGCCGCACATCAAAAAGCTTATCCACCATAATCAAATGGGCTTCATCCCTGGGATGCAAGGATGGTTCAAATATGCAAGTCAATAAACATAATCCATCACATAAACAGAACCATGACAAAAACCATATAATTATCTCAATAGATGCAGAAAAGGCCTTCAACAAAATTCAACAGCCCTTCATTCTAAAAACTCTCAATAAACTAGGTATTGATGGAACATATATCAAAACAATAAAAGCTATCTATGACAAACACACAGCCAATATCATACTGAATGGGCAAAAACTGGAAGCATTCCCTTTGAAAATGGGCAAAAGTCAAGGATGCCCTCTCTTACCACTCCTATTCAACATAGTGTTGGAAGTTCTGGCCAGGGCAATCAGGAAAGAGAAAGAAATAAAGGTATTCAAATAGGAAAAGAGGAAGTCAAATTGTCTCTGTTGACAGATGACACGATTGTATATTTAGAAAACACCACTGTCTCAGTCCAAAATCTCCTTAAGCTGATAAGCAACTTCAGCAAAATCTCAGGATACAAAGTCAATGTGCAAATATCACAAGCATTCCAATACACCAATAACAGACAAACAGAGAGCCAAATCAGGAGTGAACTCCCATTCACAATTGCTACTAACAGAATAAAATAACTAGGAATACAACTTACAAGGGATGCGAAAGACCTCTTCAAGGAGAACTACAAACCACTGCTCAAGGAAATAAGAGAGGACACAAACAAATGGAAGAATATTCCATGCTCATGGATGGGAAGAATCAGTATCGTGAAAATGGCCATACTGACCAAAGGAATTTATAGATTCAATGCTATCCCCATCAAGCTACCACTGACTTTCTTCACAGAATGGGAAAAAACAACTTAAAATTTCATATGGAACCAAAAAAGAGCCCACATAGCCAAGACAATCTCAGCAAAAAGAACAAAGCTGGAGGCATCATGCTACCTGACTTCAAACTATACTACAAGGGTACTGTAACCAAAACAGCATGGTACAGGTACCAAAACACATATATAGACCAAACAGAGGAACAAAACAGAGGCCCAGAAATAACACCACACATCTAGAACCATCTGATCTTTGACAAACCTGACACAAACAAGCAACGGGGAAAGGATTCCCTACTTAATAGTGTTGGGAAAACTGGCTAGCCATATGCATAAAGCTGAAACTGGATCCCTTCCTTACACCTTATACAAAAATTAACTCAAGATGGATTAAAGACTTAAACATAAGACCTAAAACCATAAAAACCCTAGAAGAAAACCTAGGCAATACCATTCAGGACATAGGCGTGGGCAAAGACTTCATGATCAAAACACCAAAAACAACGGGAACAAAAGCCAAAATTGACAAATGGGATCTAATTAAACTAAACAGCTTCTGCACAGCAAAAGAAACTATCATCAGAGTGAAAAGGAAACCTACAGAATGGGAGAAAATTTTTGCAATCTACCCGTCTGATAAAGGGCTAATATCCAGAATCTACAAAGAACTTAAACAGATTTACAAGAAGAAAACAAACAACCCCATCAAAAAGTTGGTGAAGGATACGAACAGACACTTCTCAAAAGAAGACATTTATGTGGCCAACAAGCATATGAAAAAAAAATCACTGGTCATTAGAGAAATTTGCATTAGAGAAATGCAAATCAAAATCACATTGAGATACCATCTCATGCCAGTTAGAACAGCAATCATTAAAAAGTCAGGAAGCAACAGATGCTGAAGAGGATGTGGAGAAATAGGAACACTTTTACACTATTGGTGGGAGTCTAAATTAGTTCAACCATTGTGGAAGACAGTGTGGCAATTCCTCAAGAATCTAAAACTAGAAATATCATTTGACCCAGCAATCCCATTACTGGGTAAATAACCAAAGGATTATAAATCACTCTACTCTAAAGACTCATGCACACGTATGTTTATTGCAGGACTTTTCACAATAGTAAAGACTTGGAACCAACCCAAATGCCCATCAATGATAGACTGGATTAAGAAAATGTGGCACATATATACCATGGAATACTATGCAGCCATAAAAAAGGATGACTTCATGTCCTTTGCAGAAACATGGATGAAGCTGGAAACCACCATTCTCAGCAAACCAACACAAGAACAGAAAACCAAATACCACGTGTTCTCACTCAGAAGTGGGGGCTGAACAATGAGAACATATGGACACAAGGAGGGGAATATCACACACACTGGGGCCTGTATGGGGGTGGGGGGCTAGGGGAGGGATAGCATTAGGAGAAATACCTAATGTAGATGACGGCTTTATGGGTGCATTAAACCACCATGGCATGTGTACACCTATACAATAAACCTGCACGTTCTGCGCATGTACTCCAGAAGTTTAATTTAAAAAAAAATGTGATGTGTAATTTTAAAAGGGTAGCACTCACTCATGTGACTCTTTGTCTGTCAAAACCTACTGTTTGCCTGGCATTGCTCAAGATGAAAGAAATACAGTGGTGGAGAGCTAGGAAACAATTTTCTTTTAAAGTTTGGCAGTAGAGATTAAGAGAAATTACAGAAAGAATCCTTAATGGTAAATAGGCTAGAAACCACAGGGTTGATAATCTTCCTGTTTCCTATCAGCTTTAACAGTCTAGGGGCTCTATACCATTAAAAATTTCAGAGAAGGATTCATATGAGGTGACATAAAAAGATCAAACCCTTTTGCATCCAGGATGTGCCCCAGCTCCTCTATGTTTCAGGTATAACCAACCCCATCACAGAGGCGATCTTCTGGGTTAGAGTCACTTTCAAGTGGTTTACTGTAGATAAGATGTGACCGAGAAGGAAGAGCAGGGGACTGGGAGTCAGGAAGACTATGCTTTGGGTCTGGGCTGCTCATCAAAAACTGAACCATTTTGAGTTGCAGTTTCCTGACCTATAAAAGGGGAAGGATTAGACTAAATGATTTTTAAGTCCCCTTTTAACTCCTAAACCTTGTAATTCTAGAGATCCCAACAAAGTCATTTGGTCTTATCCTGGGTTTTCTAAAAAACAGAGACTATGGAAAAAGCAACTCTATCAGTCAGGGTTCTCTAGAGAAATAGAACCAATGGGAGGGAGGGAGACATATAGATAGATAGATAGATAGATAGATAGATAGATAGATAGATAGATAGATAGATGAATGATAGACATAGAGATATATACTGGCTCACATGATTGTGGGAGCTATAAAGCCTAAAATTCATAGCCTAGGAGGGAGGCCTGGAAATTTAGACTTAAAAAATTCCTTCTTCTCCAGAAAACCTCTTTTTACTCTGTAGGCCTTCAACTGATTAGAAAAGATCTACCTAATTATCCAGAGTAATCTCCTTTACTTAAAGTCAAGTGATTGTAAATGTTAATTACATCTACAAAATATCCTCCTAGGAACATCTAAACTAGTGTTTGACCAAGCAGCTAACCACGATAGCCTAACCAAGTTGGCACATAAAATTATCCATCACAGCTACCATGCTAATACTTTACTGGGAAAATAAATTCTCAGGGAAACAAAAGTGAGGGGGGGGGGGGGGAAGGGAAATGAAATAGAGAAAGAGAGAGATCACACACAAGAGGGTGTGCTACCAAGCACACCACACTTTTGCAACAAATACAGCTCACTGCTCGGTTTCATGAATTGCATCTTAGAGCAATCCATAGATGGCAGGAAAGGAGAGCAACTGGTCCACTTGTGCCCTCCCATCTACCATCATCTCTCAAAATCCTCTCCACAGAGTATTATCTCCCCAGTACCACCCGGACCCACTAGGCAGCCAGGAGGCAGCCAGAACCTGTAGTGGGTGTGCATGCACTGCCCAGGATCCGATCAGTACTCCCAAACCAGCACTCATTGGCCAGCTGCTGGGAGTATGGTCATTTGACAGCTCTCAGCTGAGGCCTCCTGTGGGAACTTCAGACAGAGGGAGAGAGCCACCTCACCTAAGGCTGCACTCACCCTCCCCAATAGCAACCTGTGTCCAGAGACTGGTTGATGAGGGACACAAAGTCCAGTCCCATTGCCTCAATTTGGGACAACTCTGAAGGGCCATCCTAACACATGACCACATTCTGCCATCGGTTGTGGCCTTTGCCACAAAGTCATCATGATTCATCTCCTCCCTCACTCCAACCCTGCTTTGCTATGTAGAAATAGCCTGACCCTAAATCTCAGGGTTACACAAAAGAATTTAAAATAAAGGAAAGGAAAAAATTAAAAGGTCTACTATTCCTCTGTTCCCTACCATTGTTATTTGATGTGATCAAATGCTTTATGTCATTCTGCTTTAAATTCAAATCACTCTAGTAAGGACAAAGAGAACCATTGCTATTTCCTGATTACTCACCCCCAAAAAAATGACTACATATGAGCATGTATATCAAGTGGCTAAGTTAAACTTCTAAGTATTGAAATGAAACAGCAATAGTAGTCATTTAAAAAGAAAAACTATTAATCTTCCAGGGCACCTCCACCTTATCAGACTTACTCTGACTCTCCCAGAATGAGAGGGCCTAACAAGAGTCCATAAGTAAATGTCTTATCCACATTTAAGCAGAATCCCAGGAGAGCCTTTTGTTTTTTCTATTTTTCAAACTTCTAACACTCCCTGTGCATATGATGATAGCTCTAAGTTCTTAGTATTCTGTCATTCCTTCCCCTTTACACAAAGCCAGCTCTGAGCACACGCTGTTCAAAAATATACTTGTTTTCTGCCTTCACCGGTCAATTTCCCTGCTTGCTTATCAGCAGATGTAAGAGATGCCTGATGTACCATTGAAAGTAATGGCAAAAACTGCACTTACTTTTGCACCATCCTAATATCTGGTCTATATAACATAAAAGAGAAACCACATCTAAATAATCATTCAGTAGAAAAGATCCACTTTGAGACCTGGATTGCCAATATTCATTGTTGACACTAATCCAATAGATTTATTATATAATCGTCTATTTTTCCTTTCTCATATTGCTTTTCCCAATCTCTTTCTGCTGTAGGTGGCTGTCTGCCCACAACAAGGTTATTAAACCTCCTTCTTCTCTGCAGTCTGGATCATGCTATATTGAATTGGTGAAGTATTGGATTTCCTTCTGTCCACCACATTTTAACCCGAATGGAGAAAACCAGTACATCACCAAAAGAGGACACAGTAATGGGAAGACTTTTTATAAAGTGCCCTAAAAAAAGAACAATGAAAGAACTAGAAGCACTTGATCCAGAGAAGAAATGAGTCAAAGTTGTCTTTCAATATATAGAAGAGTGTGTTAGGTCAAGAGAGCAGGTATATTCTTTGTGGATATATATCCATTTAGGTTTTTGGTGGCAAAAAGTAGAAACCAACTGGTTAATATAAAAAGACAAGGAATAAAAGGAGGATAAAAAAGAGAAGGAAAAACTGAAGTGGAACAAAAATCATCACTCATTGGAAGTGTATGAAGTAATTCAAAGAATGAAAGGAAAACTGACTATTAGGCTCCAAAACAATGGGAAATATGGCAGGTCCAGGAACCTAGGTCATAGCTGTGGTTAACAAGATTATGTAGCTACTGTTTTTCCTCCCTTTATTTCAAATTCTTGATAACAAGCTTCCATTTGATCTACCTTGTGTCACACGCCTACCACTGGAGTCGTAAACGGTGAAGAGGCTTGGCTGGCAGCTTCAACCAGCCCACCTCCAGTAGAAGACAAGTTAGTCATCCAAGGAAAAATCAGGTATTGTGCCCAAAGGAAGAGGGGAGGAATCTTGAGTAATCCAAGTCAAAACTACTCAAAGGTAATCTGCAGCCCAGCAGCAGCAGCAGCAGCAGCAGAGACATAACCTGGAAGCTTGTTAGAAATGAAAATTATCTGGCAGAACTTCAGACCCATTGATCAGAATGTTTGGGGATGGGCCCCATGAATCTGTACTGTAACAAGTTTTCAAGCATGCTAAAGTTTGAGAAGCTCGAATCCAATCATACCTATTCCAAGTTCCAAAGCATAAGATTAGAACAAACAGGTTAAAACTTAAAAGATGCTCTTCTTGATTTGACTCTCAGCTTGTTATTTGTGTTATTGCTGATAGAAATGTACTGATTTCTGTATAGAAATGTACTGATTTTAGTACATTGCTTTTGTATCCTGAAACTTTAGAATTGCTAAAGTTGTTCAGCAATTCTAGGAGCCTTTTTGTGGAATCTTTAAGGTTTTCTCAGTATAGAATCATACTGTCAGTGAAATGCTATCTGAATAGAGATAGTTTGACTTCTTTATTTCCTGTTTTAATGCTTTTTATCTCTTTCTCTTGTCTGATTGCCCTGGCTAGGATTTCCAGTACTATATTGAATAGCAGTGTTAAGAGTGGTCATCCTTGTCTTGTTCTAGTTCCCAAGGGGAATGGTTCCATCTTTTGCCCATTCAGTCTCATATTAGCTGTGAGTTTGTCATAGATGATTCTTCTTATTTTGAGGTATGTTCCTTCAGTGCTTAGTCTCCTGAGGGTATTTATCATGAAAGGATGTTGAATTTTATTGAAATCTTTTTCTGCATCCATTGAGATGATCATATGGGTTTTAATTTTAATTCTGTTTATGTGGCAAATCACATGTATTGATTTCTGTATGTTAAACCAACCTTGCATCCCAGGAAGAATGCCTATTTTGCTGTTGTGAATTAACTTTTTATATGCTACTGAATGTGGTTTGCTAGTATTTTGACAATGGTTTTTATGTCTACATTGATCAGGAATATTGGCCTGAAGTTTTCCTGTTTTCTTGTGTCTTTGTCAGATTCTGGTATCAGGCTGTTGCTGGCTTCATAGAGTGGGCTAGGGAGGAAGCTCTCCTCATCAATTTTTTGGAATAATTTCAAAAAATAGCTGTTCTTTTTACAGCTGGTAGAATTTGGCTATGAATCCATATGGTCCAGGGCTTTTTTTTTTTTTTGGTTGGTAGATTTTTTTAATTACTGATTCAATTTTAAAATTCAATATTGGACTATTCAATATTTCAATATCTTCCTGATTCAATCTTGGAAGATTCTGTGTTTCCAAGAATTTACACATTTTCTGCAGACTTTCTAATTTGTTTATACAGAGCTGTTCATAGTAGTCTCTGAGGATATTTTGTATTTTTGTGGGATCAGTTGTAATATCATTTTTATTATTTCTGATTTAACAATCCCATTTACAAAAGCCACAAATAAAATGAAATACATAGGAATACAGCTAACCAAAGAGGTGAAAGATCTCTACAAGGAGAACTATAAAACACTGCTGAAAGAAATCAGATATGACACAAATAAATGGAAAAATATTCCATGCTTGTTGATTGGAAGAATCAATGTCATTAAAATGACCATACTGCTCACAACTATTTACAGATTCAATGCTATTTCTGTCAAATTACAAAAGTCATTTTTCATAGAATTAGAAAAATTTATCATAAAATTTATATGGAACCAAAAAAGAGCCTGAATAACTAAATCACTCATAAGAAAAATAAAACAACAGAGATATCACATTATCAAAAGGCTAGAGTAATCAAAACAGCATGATACCAGTATAAAAGCAGACACACAGATCAATGGAACAGAAAAGAAAACTGAAAAATAAAGTTGCACACCTACAACCATCTGATACTCAACAAGGCTGACAAAAATAAGCAATGAAGAAAGGCCTTCCTATTTGATAAATGTGCTGGGATAACTGGCTATCCATATACAGAAGAATGAACCTGATCCCCTGCATTTTACCATATACAAAAATTAATTCAAAATGGATTACAGATTTAAATTTAAGACCTCACATTTTCATATAAGCAAATCAACACAAGAACAGAAAACCAAATACCACATTTTCTTATTTATAAGTTAGAATGTAAGACCTCAAACGATAAAAATCCGAGAAGAGAGCCTAGGAAATACCCTTGTCAACAGGAGCCTTAGTGAAGAATCTTTGAAAAAAATCCTCAAAAGCAATTGCAACAAAAACAAAAATTGACAAGTGGGACATAATTAAACCAAAGAGCTTCTGCATACCAAAAGAAACTATCAAAAGAGTAAACAGACAACCTACATAATGGGAGAAAATAGTCACAAACTATGTACCCAACAAAGGTCTAATATCCAGCATCTATAAGAAACTGAAATCAACAAAGAAAAAACAAGTACCCCACTAAAAATGGGCAAAGGATGTGAACAGTTGCTTCTCGAAAGATGACATAGAAGCAGCCAAGAAACATGAAAAAAAAATGCTCATTATCACTAATGATCAGAAGAATACTAATCAAAACCATAATGGGATACCGCCTCGCATCAGTGAGAATAGCTACTATTAAAAAGGCAAAAAGCAATAGATGCCAGTGAGGCTGTAGAAAAAAAGGAAACACTCATACACTGTTGATAAAAGTGTAAATTAGTTCAGCCACTGTGGAAAGCAGTTTAGAGATTTCTCAAACATAAAACAGAGCTACCATTCAACCCAGCAATCGCAGTACTAGGTATGTACTCAAACAAAAATAAAGCATTCTATCAAAAACACACATACACTCATATATTTATCACCATGCTTATTCATAATAGCAAAGACATGGAATCAACCTAGGTGCCCATCAACAGTAGATGGGATAAAGAAAGTGTGGTACACATACAACATGAAATACTATTCAGCCATAGAAAAAAATAAAATCTTGTCCTTTGCAGCTACATGGAAGGAACTGAAGATTTTCATATTTGTTTGCCATTTGTATGTGTTCTTTTGAGAAATGCTTATTCAGATCTTTTGCCGATTTTAAAATCAGATTATTAGATTTTTTTTCTGTTCAGTTGTTTGAGCTCCTTATATACTATGGTTATGTATTAGTCCATTCTCATACTGCTATGAAGAAATACCTGAGACTGGGTAATTTATAAAGGAAAGAAGTTTAATTGACTCACAGTTCTGCATTGCCCGGGAGGCCTCAGGAAACTTACAATCATGGTGGAAGGCAAAGGAAAAGCAGGCACCTTCTTCACAGGGCAGCAGGATGGAGTGAGTGCAAGCAAAGGAAATGCCAGGTGCTTAGAAAAACATCAGATTTCATGAGACTCACTCATTTTCAAGAGAATAGCATGGAGGAAACCACCCCCATGATTCAATTACCTCCACCTGGTCCCACCCTTGACATGTGCAGATTATGGGGATTACAACTCAAGGTGAGATTTGTGTGGGGACACAGAGCCAAAACCTTATTAATCCCTTGTCAGACAGATAGTTTGAAAATATTATCTTCCATTTTGTGGGTTATTTCTTCACGTTGTTAATTGTTTCCTTTGCTGTGCAGAAGCTCTTTAATTTGATGTGATCCCATTTGTCTATGTTTCCTTTTGTTGCCTATGCTTACAGGGTACTACTCAAGAAATGTTTTCCCCGACCAATGTTCTGGAGAGTTCCTCCTAGTTTTCTTTTAAAAGTTTCATAGTTTGAGATCTTAGATGTAAGTATTTAATCCATTTTGATTTGATGTTTGTATATTGTGAGAAATCTAGTTTCATTCTTCTGCATATGATATCCAGTTTCCCCAGCACCATTTATTAGAGAGACTGAGCTTTCCCTAATGGATATTTTTGGCACCTTTTATCAAAAATGAGTTCACTGTAGATGTGTAGATTTCTTTCTGGGCTCTCTATTCAGTTTTATTGGTCTATGTGTCTGTTTTCATGACAGTACCATGCTGCTTTGGTTACTATAGTTCTGTAGTAACCAATCCAGTTAATGTAATTCCTTCAGTTTTGTTCTTTTTGCTCAGGAGATCTTCAAATATTCTAGGTCTTTTGTGGTTCCATATAAATTTCAGGATTGCTTTTTCTATTTCTGTGCACAATGTCATTAGTATTTTGATAGAGATTTTATTGAATCTGTAGATTGCTGTGGGTAGTGTGGACATTTCAATAATATTGATTCTTCCAATTCAAAAGCATGGACTATCTTTACATTTTTATGTCCTCTTCAATTTCTTTCATCAGTGTTTTACAGTTTTCATTGTGGAGATCTTTTGCTTCTTTGGTTAAATTTATTCCTAAGCATATTATATTATTTATAGCTATTGTAAATGGGGTTATTTTATTAGTTTTTCATATTGTTCAGTATTAACATATAGAAATGCTACAGATATTTGTGTGCTGACCTTCTAGCCTGTCATTTTACAGAATTTTTTTATAACTTCTAATAGCCTTTAGGTTTTCCCGAATACAACGATTGTATAATTTTCAAACAAAGATTATTTGAATTCTTCCTTTCCAATTTGAACGCTGTGTATTTCTTTCCAGTACTACATTGAATAAATGTGATAAAAGAGGGCATCCTTGATCTACATCTTAGAGGAAAGGCTTTCAGTTTTTCCCCATCCAGTGTGACACTAGCTGTGAATTTGTCGTATCTCTTTTATTTTGTTGAGGTATGTTTCTTCTACAGCCAGTTTTTGAAGGATTTTATCATGAAGGGATGTTGAATGTTATCAAATGCATTTCCAGCATCAGTTTAAATGACTGGCCTGTAATTTCCTTCTTTTGATGTGACTTTTTCTGGTTTTGGTATCAGGGTAATACTGGCCTCAGAATTAGTTGGAAGTATTTCCTTCTCTATTTTTTGGAATAGTTTGAAGATGGTTGTTATTAGTTCTTTTTTAAGTGCTCAGTAAAATTCTACAATGAAGACATTGGGTGCTGGACTTCTCTTCACTGGGAGACTTTTTATTACGGCTCCAATCTTTTTGTTAGTATGTTGAGGTTTTATATTTCTTCATGGTTCAATTTTGCTGGGTTATATGTGCCTAGGAATTAATCTATTTATTCTAGGCTTTTCAATTTACTGGCATATAGTTGTTCATAGTAACCTCTAATAATTTTTTTAATTTCTTCGTATCAATAGTAATGTCTTCTTTTCCATCTGTGATTTTATTTTTGTCTTCTCTTTTTTCTTAACTTAGCTAAACATTTCCTAATTTTGTTTGTTTTCAAAACACAAACTTTTTGCTTTGTTAATGTTTGAATTTTGTTTTAAATTTATGTATTTATTCTGTCATCTTTATTGTTCTCTTCTTCTAAATTTGGATTGGGTTTGCTCTTGCATTTCTAGTTTTTAACTCATTTCCCATTTGTCCTGAGACTACTCTTATCTGTAATCCTAATGTAACTTCATTTCTGTTACGTTACAATTAGAGACAAGTTCTGTTGAGAAAAAACTCCAAGAATAAGCTTTTTTTCCCCTGTTTTATTTCTAAATTTTATTACTATTATACTTTTAAGTTTTAGGGTAAATGTGCACAATGTGCAGGTTTGTTACATATATATACATGTGCCATGTTGGTGTGCTGCATGTATTAACTCGTCATTTAGCATTAGGTATATCTCCTAATGCTATCCCTTCAACCTCCCCCACCCCACAACAGTCCCCGGTGTGTGATGTTCCCCTTCCTCTGTTCATGTGTTCTCATTGTTCAATTCCCACCTATAAGTAAGAACATGTGGTGTTTGGTTTTTTGTCCTTGCGATAGTTTACTGAGAATGATGGTTTCCAGCTTCATCCATGTCCCTACAAAGGACATAAACTCATCCTTTTTTATGACTACATAGTACTCCATGGTGTATCTGTGCCACATTTTCTTAATCCAGTCTATCATTGTTGGACATTTGGGTTGGTTCAAAGTCTTTGCTATTGTGAATAGTGCCATAATAAACATACGTGTTCATGTGTCTTTATAGCAGCATGATTTATAATCCTTTGGGTATATATCCAGTAATGGGATGGCTGGGTCAAATGGTATTTCTAGTTCTAGATCCCTGAGGAATCCCCACACTGACTTCCACAATGGTTGAAATAGTTTACAGTCCCACCAACAGTGTAAAAGTGTTCCTATTTCTCCACATCCTCTCCAGCACCTGTTGTTTCCTGACTTTTTAATGATCGCCATTCTAACTGGTGTGAGATGGTATCTCATTGTGGTTTTGATTTGCATTTCTCTGATGGCCAGTGATGATGAGCATTTTTTCATGTGTTTTTTGGCTGCATAAATGTCTTCTTTTGAGAAGTGTCTGTTCATATCCTTCGCCCACTTTGCCACTTTTTTTTTCTTGTAAATTTGTTTGAGTTCATTGTAGATTCTGCATATTAGCCCTTTGTCAGATGAGTAGGTTGTAAACATTTTCTCCCATTTTGTAGGTTGCCTGTTCACTCTGATGGTAGTTTCTTTTGCTGTGCAGAAGCTCTTTAGTTTAATTAGATCCCATTTGTCAATTTTGGCTTTTGTTGCCATTGCTTTTGGTGTTTTAGACATGAAGTCCTTGCCCCATGCCTATGTCCTAAATGTTATTGCCTAGGTTTTCTTCTAGGGTTTTTATGGTTTTAGGTCTAACGTTTAAGTCTTTAATCCATCTTGAATTAATTTTTGTATAAGGTGTAAGGAAGGGATCCAGTTTCAGCTTTCTACATATGGCTAGCCAGTTTTCCCAGCACCATTTCTTAAATAGGGAATCCTTTCCCCATTGCTTGTTTTTGTCAGGTTTGTCAAAGATCAGAAAGTTGTAGATATGTGGCATTATTTCTGAGGGCTCCGTTCTGTTCCATTGGTCTATATCTCTGTTTTGGTACAAGTACCATGCTGTTTTGGTTACTGTAGCCTGGTAGTATAGTTTGAAGTGAGGTAGCATGATGCCTCCAGCTTTGTTCTTTTGGCTTAGGACTGACTTGGCATTGTGGGCTTTTTTTTGGCTCCATATGAAGTTTAAAGTAGTTCTTTCCAATTCTGTGAAGAAAGTCATTGGTAGCTTGATGGGGATGGCATTGAATCTATAAATTACCTTGGGCAGTATGGCCATTTTCACAATATTGATTCTTCCTACCCATGAGCATGGAATGTTCTTCCATTTCTTTGTATCCTCTTTTATTTCATTGAGCAGTGGTTTATAGTTCTCCCTGAAGAGGTCCTTCACATCCCTTGTAAGTTGGATTCCCAGGTATTTGATTCTCTTTGAAGCAATTGTGAATGGGAGTTCACTCATGATTTGGCTCTCTGTATGTCTGTTATTGGTGTATAAGAATGCTTGTGATTTTTGTACATTGATTTTGTATCCTGAGCCTTTGCTGAAGTTGCTTATCAGTTTAAGGAGATTTTGGGCTGAGATGATGGGGTTTTCTAGATATGCAATCATGTCATCTGCAAACAGGGACAATTTGACTTCCTCTTTTCCTAGTTGAATGCCCTTTATTTCCTTCTCCTGCCTGATTGCCCTGCCCAGAACTTCCAACACTATGTTGAATAGGAGTGGTGAGAGAGGGCATCCCTGTCTTGTGCCAGTTTTCAAAGGGAATGCTTTCAGTTTTTGTCCATTGAGCCATATTGGCTGTGGGTTTGTCATAGATAGCTCTTATTATTTTGAGATACGTCCCATCAATACCTAATTTATTGAGAGTTTTTAGCACGAAGGTTGTTGAATTTTGTCAAAGGCCTTTTCTGCATCTATTGAGATAATCATGTGGTTTTTCTCTTTGGTTCTGTTTATATGCTGGATTACTTTTATTGATTTTTGTATGTTGAACCAGCCTTGCATCCCAGGGATGAAGCCCTCTTGATCATGGTGGATAAGCTTCTTGATGTGCTACTGGATTCAGTTTGCCAGTATTTTATTGAGGATTTTTACATCAATGTTCATCAAGGATATTGGTCTAAAATTCTCTTTTTTTGTTGTGTCTCTGCCAGGCTTTGGTATCAGGATGATGCTGGCCTCATAAAATGAGTTAGGGAGGATTCCCTCTTTTTCTATTGATTGGAATAGTTTCAGAAGGAATGGTACTAGATCCTCCTTTTACCTCTGGTAGAATTCGGCTGTGAATCCATCTGGTCCTGGACTTTTTTTGGTCAGTAAGCTATTAATTATTGCCTCAACTTCAGAGCCTGTTATCGGTCTATTCAGAGATTCAACTTCTTCCTGGTTTAGTCTTGGGAGGGTGTATGTGTCGAGGAATTTATC
Source organism: Homo sapiens (assembly GCF_000001405.40). Lineage (NCBI taxonomy): Eukaryota > Metazoa > Chordata > Mammalia > Primates > Hominidae > Homo > Homo sapiens. The sequence continues at coordinate 114,894,002 of NC_000005.10, forward strand.
CATTTCTTCTAGATTTTCTAGTTTATTTGCATAGAGGTGTTTATATTATTCTCTGATGGTAGTTTGTATTTCTGTGGGATCAGTGTTGATATCCCCTTTGTCATTTTTTATTGTGTCTATTTGATTCTTCTCTCTTTTCTTCTTTATTAGTCTTGCTAGCGGCCTATCAATTTTGTTGACCTTTTCAAAAAACAAGCTCCTGAATTCATTGATTTTTTGAAGGTTTTTTTGTGTCTTTATCTCCTTCAGTTCTGCTCTGATTTTAGTTATTTCTTGCCTTCTGTTAGCTTTTGAATGTGTTTGCTCTTGCTTTACTAGTTATTTTTATTGTGATGTTAGGGTGTCAATTTTAGATCTTTCCTGCTTTCTCTTGTGGGCATTTAGTGCTATAAATTTCCCTCTACACACTGCTTTGAATGTGTCCCAGAGATTCTGGTATGTTGTGTCTTTGTCCTCATTGGTTTCAAAAAACATCTTTATTTCTGCCTTCATTTCATTATGTACCCAGTAGTCATTCAGGAGCAGGTTGTTCAGTTTCCATGTAGTTGAGTGGTTTTGAGTGAGTTTCTTAATCCTGAGTCCTAATTTGATTGCACTGTGGTCTGAGAGACAGTTTGTTATGATTTCTGTTCTTTTACATTTGTTGAGGAGTGCTTTACTTCCAACTAGGTGGTCAATTTTGGAATAGGTGTGGTGTGGTGCTGAAAAGAATGTATATTCTGTTGATTTGGGGTGGAGAGTTCTGTTGATGTCTATTAGGTCCACTTGGTGCAGAGTTGAGTTCAATTCCTTGATATCCTTTTTAACTTTCTGTCTTGTTGATCTGTCTAGTGTTGACAGCGGGGTGTTAAAGTCTCCCATTATTATTGTATGGGAGTCTAAGTCTCTTTGTAGGTCACTAAGGACTTGCTTTATGAATTTGGGTGCTCCTGTATTGGGTGAATATATATTTAGGATAGTTAGCTCTTCTTGTTGAATTGATCCCTTTACCATTATGTAATGGCCTTCTTTGTCTCTTTTGATCTTTGTTGGTTTAAAGTCTGTTTTATCAGAGACTAGGATTGCAACCCCTGCCTTTTCTTGTTTTCCATTTGCTTGGTAGATCTTCCTCCATCCCTTTATTTTGAGCGTATGTGTGTCTCTGCACATGAGATGGGTTTCCTGAATGCAGCACACTGATGGGTCTTGACTCTTTATCCATTTTGCCAGTCTGTGTCTTTTAAGTGGAGCATGTAGCCCATTTACAATTAAGGTTAATATTGTTATGTGTGAATTTGATCCTGTCATTATGATGTTAGCTGGTTATTTTGCTCTTTAGTTGATGCCGTTTCTTCCTAGCCTTGATGGTCTTTACAATTTGGCATGTTTTTGCAGTGGCTGGTACCGGTTGTTGCTTTCCATGTTTAGTGTTTCCTTCAGGAGCTCTTTTAGGGCAGGCCTGGTGGTGACAAAATCTCTCAGCATTTGCTTGTCTGTAAAGTATTTTATTTCTCCTTCACTTATGAAGCTTAGTTTGGCTGGATATGAAATTCAGTGTTGAAAATTCTTTTCTTTAAGAATGTTGAATTTTGGCCCCCACTCTTTTCTGGCTTGTAGAGTTTCTGTGGAGAGATCAGATGTTAGTCTGATGGGCTTCCCCTTGTGGGTAACCACACCTTTCTCTCTGGCTGCCCTTAACATTTTTTCCTTCATTTCAACTTTGATGAATCTGACAATTATGTGTCTTGGAGTTGCTGTTCTCAAGGAGTATCTTTGTGGCATTCTCTGTATTTCCTGAATTTGAATGTTGGCCTGCCTATAAGCTTTTATATTTTATTTTCACATTGAAAATCAGTCATATTTGCTTCAGCCCCAAAGACCACGTTTATGTAAAATTAAATGAGCACTGGCAACAAGCTGCACTTTTTTCCCTAAATGGGAAATGGGTTAAGATGCATCACTAGGTTTTTTATTTGAAGTTTTTCTACTTTTTTGATATACATGCTTATTGCTATAAACTTTCTTCTTACTACTGCTTTCACTGTATATCATAGGTTTTGGTAGGTTGCGTTTCCATTTTGTTTCAATAATTTTTAAAATTTTCTTAATTTCTTCACTGACCCACTGGTCATTCAGGAGCATATTAATTTCCATTTGTCTGCACAGTTTTCAAAGTTCCAATGGTTGTTCATTGATAGTTTTATTCCTTTGCAGTCAAAGAAGATACTTGATATAATTTTAATTTTTTTGAATTTTTAATACTTGTTTTGTGCCCTAACACATGGTTTATCCTTGAGAAAGTCCGTGTACTAAGAAGAAGAATATGTATTCTGCAGCCATTAGATGAAATGTTCTTCAAATATATATTAGAAACATTTGGTATATAGTGCAGATTAAGTTCAATGTTTCTTTGCTGATTTTCTGTCTGGAGATCTGTTCAATGCTGAAAGTAGGGTGTTGAAGTCTCCAACTTTTATTGTACTGAGGTCTATGTCTCTTTAGCTTTAAGAATATTTACTTTATATATCTGGGTGCTCCTCTGTTTGGTGCATATATATTTAATATTATGATATCCTCTTGCTAAATTGACTTATCCTTATATAATGTCTTTCTTTTTATAACATAAGGCACTTAAATATGTTTCTCTTTAAATCTATTTTGTCTGATATAAGCATAGCTACTCCTGCTCTTTTTTGGTTTCAATTTACATGCACTGGAATTTTCCGTTCTTTATATTCAGTATATGTGTGTATTTATAAGTGTGTTACTTACAGGCAATAGATCATTTGGTATTATTTTCTTATTCATTCAGCCACTCTACATCTCGAATGGACAATTCAGTCTATTTACATTAATGTTATTATTAATAAGAACTTATTCCTGCCAGTTTATGTTTTCTGGATTTTTCTTTTTGGTCTTCTCTTTCTTCTTCTTTTCCTTCCTGTTTTCATTTTAATAAAGATTATTTTCTCTGGTGGTGTGTTTTAACTTCTTGCTTTTTACTTTTTGTGTATCTGATCTATTTTTTTATTTGAGGTTACCATGAGGCTCACAAATAATATCTTATAACCCATTATTTTACACTAAAAATAACATCAATTGCTTGAACAAACTAACAAGCAAGAGAAAACGAACAAAACTCTGCACATTAACTTCATTCTTCTGCCTTTTAACTTTTTGTTGTTTCTATTTGTATCTTATTATATTGTGTATGTCTTGAAGAGTTGTTGTATTTACCTTTAGTTTTTCTACTCAATATATGAGTAGTTTCCACATCACAATTACAGTGTTATAATATTCTGTGTTTTTGTGTGTACTATTAGCAGTGAGTTTTATGCCTTTTTTTATTACTCATTAACATCCTTTGCTTTCAGACTGAAGAACGCCTTTAGCATTTCTTGTAGGACAGGTCGGGTGTTGATGAAATCCCTCAGCTTTTATTTGTCTGGGAAAGTCTTTAGTTCTCTTTCATATTAGAAGGATATTTTTGCTGGATATACTATTCTAGGATAAAAGTGTCTTTTTTCCTTCAGCACTTAAATATGTCACGCCACTCTCCTAGCCTATAAGATATCTACTGAGAACTCTGCTGCCAGATGCCTTGGAGTTCCTTTTAATGTTGCTACTTTTATCTGGCTGCTTTTAGAATTGATTTTAGGGTTGCTTTTAGGATGCCATCCTTCCTTTCTTCCTTCCTTTCTTCCTTCTTTTCTTTCTTCTTTTCTTCCTTCCTTTTTCCCTCCCTCTTTCTTTCAGGCACAGAATCTTGCTCTGTCACCCCAGCTGTATTGCAGTAATGCAATCATACCTGGTGCCTGGGTTCAAGTGATCCTCCGACTTCATACTTCTGAGAAGATGGGGCCACAGGCATAAACCACTATGCCTGCCTAAATTTTTTACAGACAGGATCTCTCTATGTTGCCCAGGCTTGTCTCAAACTCCTGGGCTCAAGCAATCCTCTCAACTTAGCCTCCCAAGTTGCTGCAATTACAGGCGTGAGCCACCTGGCTCCTTTCTTTATTTTTCACCTTGGAGTGTTTGATTATTAAATATCTTAAGGCAGTCTTATTTGAGTTAAATGTGCTTGGTGTTCTAAAAATTTTTTTGTACTTGAATAGTGATATCTTTTTTCAGGTTTGGGAAGTTCTCCGTTATTATCTATTTGAATAAATTTTCTGCTTCCATCTCTCTCTACCTCCTCCTTAAGGCCAATAACACTTAGATTTGCCCTTTTGAGGCTCTTTTATAGATCTTGATGGCATGCTTAAATTTTTAAAATTGATATTTGTTTTGTCACTCTGACTGTGTATTTTCAAATAGCGTGTCTTCAAGCTCACCAATTCTTTCCTCTGCTTGATCAATTCTGCTTTTAAAAGACTTTGGTGCATGCTTCAGTATGACAATTGCATTTTTCACCTGCAAAATTTTTGCTTGATTCTTTCTAATTATTTCAATATTTTTATTAAATTTCTCTCATAGGATTCTAAATTCCTTCTCTGCATATTCTTTAATTTCATTGAGCTTCCTCAAAACAGTTATTTCAAATTCTCTGTCTGAAAGGTCACCTATCTCTGCCACTCCAGTATTGGTCCCTGGTGCCTTATTTAGTTCATTTGGTAAGGTCATATTTTCCTGGATGGTCCTGATGCTTGTGGATGTTTGTGAGTGTCTGGGCATTGACGTTAAATATATATTGTAGTCTTCATAGTCCAGGCTTCATTGTACCCATCCTTCTTGGGAAGGCTTTCTAAATGTTTCAAGAGACTTGGGCATTATGATTTAAGTCTTTGGTCACTGGAGCCATATATGCATTAGGGGGCACCCTAAGCCCAGTAAAGTCATGGCTCTTGCAGACTCATAGATGTACTGACTTGGTGGTCTTGGGTAAGATCTGGGAAAATTCCCTGGATTATCGGTCAGAGACTCCTATTCTCTTATTTTCCCCCAAACAAACAAGAGTCTATCTCTCTGTGCTGAGCTGCCTGAAGCTGTCAGAGGGGTGACATAAGCACCCCTGTGGCCAACACCACTAGGACTGCTCTGGGTTAGATCTGATGCCAACTTAGCAATGGGTCTCACCCAAGCCCCAAAGTGACAAATGGCTGGCTACTACCTATGTTCACTCACGGCCCAAGGACCCTATAATCAGAAGGTAGTGCATCCCTTCAAGCTTGTCTCCTTCCCTTCAGGGTGGAGTTTCCCCCTGACCCCAGACATGTCAGAAATGCTGTCTATGAGCCAGGCCCTGGGGTAAGCAACATTAAGAATTTACCTGGTGCTGTATTCTACTGCAACTGAGCTGGCACTGAAGTCACATGACAAAATTCCCCACCTTTTCTCAAGCAGAGGAGTTTCTTTCCATGGCCACCACCATCCCAGGCCTGTGGCAAGTACTACCTGGCTGCTGTCAATGTTCACTCAAGGACCAAAGGCCCAAAGGCTCTTCAGTCAGCTGAAGTGAATTCTGCCAGGCCTGAGTCTCTCCCTTAAGGGCAGTGGGCTCCCCTCTGGCCCAGGCAGAGCAAGTCCAGAAATGCCACAGAGGAACCAAGGCCTGAAATCAGAGACCCCAGAAGCCTACTTGGTGCTCTACCCCACTGTGGCTGAGTTGATACCTAAGCTACAGGACAAAGTCCCCTTTAGTCTTCCCTCTCTTTCCTCAAGCAGGAGGAGTCTCTTCCCTTAGCCACAGCTGAGAATGTGCTGGGTGACACCTGAAACCACAATGGCTCTGAGTCTTGCCCATGGCCTACAGCAAGTACTGCCTGGCTACCACTGCAGATTATTCAGAGCCGAAAAGCTCTTTAGTTAGCAGGTAATGGATCCTGCCAGGACTAATTCCTTCCCTTCAAGGCAATGGGTTACCTTCTGGCCCAGGGCATGTTCAGAAATGTCTTCCAAAAAGTAGGGCCTGAAATGGGGGCCTCTAGACTCTGCCTGATGCCCTATTCTACTGTGGCTGAGCTGGTATCTAAATTCCAACAAAAAGTCCTCTTTACTCTCTTCTCTCCTCAAGCAGAGAAAAGAAGTCTCTCCCAGAGCTGTGAGGTGTACTACCTAGGTTTAGGGGAGCAGTGATGCAAACACTCCCTTTGCCTCCCCAGCTGGTGGCTCACTGGGTTGTGTGCACCCCAAGTTCACTGGCTCTGATCCCAGCACAGCACCAGGACTTTTCCAGGAATTGCCCAGGAATTGCAGTCCCTGTGGCTTACAATGTCTTTCAAGTTTATTTAGAACCCCAGAGCTAAAGCCTGTGGTGACAGGACTTTCCAGAGCTCAGGTTTCATTCATTGGATGAACAATTTACCTCTGGCTAGGTCTAATGTCAATGTTCCCTCTGTGGGTTCTGGCTGAGTTCTGTCGTGTGACACTCTTTGCCGTGACAGAACAACAGTGACTCCAATGAGTCCCACAATCACAACACTCTTCCTCCCCCAAGCACACAGATTCTCTCCATGTCACACTGCCAGGGGAAGGGAGAGGGGTGGTGCAAGCAATTTAAGACTTTCTGTCTTACCCTCTTCTGTACCTCTTTCCTTAATATAATATTAACACCAGGTACTGTGATCACACACTTGATTTTTGGTTCTTATAAAGTGTTGGACAGTTGTTCAATTTAGTGTTTCTGCAGGGGGCATGATTGCTGGAGGCTTCTACTTGACTGTTTTGCTCCACTTCTACATTCAGGCATAAAAATATTATAATTTCAACTTCTATTTTAGATTAAGGGGGTGCATATACAGGTTTGTTAACGTAGGAATATTGCATGATGCTAAGGAGTGGAGTGTGTCCGATTCCATCACTTAGGAAGTGAACATAGTACACAGTAGGTAATTTTTCAGCCCTTTTCCCCTTCTGTGCCTCCTTGCTCTAGTAGGCCCCAGTGTCTATTGTTCCTGTCTTTGTTTCCATGTGTGCTCAATGTTTAGCTCCTACTTATAAGTTAGAAAATATGGCATTTGGTTTCCTGTTCTTCTGTCAATTCACTTAGGATAATGGCCTCCAGCTGCATCGATGTTGTCTAAATGACAAGATTTTATTCTTTTTTATGGCTGCATAGTATCCCATGGTGTAGATGTACCATATTTTCTTTATCCAATCCACCAGTTATAGGCACTCAGGGTGATTCCATGTCTTTGCTATTGAAAATAGTGTGCTGATGAACATGCAAGTGAATGTGTCTTTTTGATCGAATAATCAATATGTTTTTTTTTGAGATGGAGTCTTGCTCTGTCACCCAGGCTGGAGTGCAGTGGTGCAATCTCGACTCACTGCAAGCTCCACCTCCTGGGTTCACGCCATTCTCCTACCTCAGCCTCCCGAGTAGCTGGGACTACAGGCGCCCGCCACCACGCCCGGCTAATTTTTTGTATTTTTAGTAGAGACGGGGTTTCACCATGTTAGCCAGGATGGTCTCGATCTCCTGACCTTGTGATCCACCCGCCTCGGCCTCCCAAAGTGCTGGGATTACAGGCTTGAGCCACCATGCCCAGCCTCGAATAATCTATTTTTTGATACATACCTAGTAATGGGATTGCTGGGTTGAATGGTCACTCTGTTTCAAGTTGTTTGAGATCTCATGAGATCTGATGGTTTTATAAGCATCTGGCATTTCTTCTGCTTGCACTCGCTCCATCCTGCCACGCTGTGAAGCAGGTGCATGCTTCTCCTTTGCCTTCCACCATGATTGTAAGTTTCCTGAGGCCTCCCTGGCAATGCAGAACTGTCAGTCAATTAAGCTTCTTTCTTTTATAAATTACACACTCCTGGGTATTTCTTCATAGCAGCATGAGAACAGACTAATACATAACCAGAATACATAAGGAGTTCAAAGAACTTAGTAGAAAAAAAGTAATAATCTGATTTTAAAAAGGGCAAAAGATCTGAATAGAAATTTCTCAAATGGCAAACAGGTTTATGAAAACCTTCAGTTTCACCGATATAGCTGCAAAGAACAAGATTTTATTCTTTTCTATGGCTGCACATTATTCCATGGTGTATATTTACCACATTTTCTTTATTCAATCTACTGTTGATGGGCACCTAAGTTGATTCTATGTCTTCGCTATTATGAAAAAGTATGGTGATAAATATGTGAGTGCATGTGTCTTTTTGATAGAATAATTTATTTTCCTTTGAGTACATACCTAGTACTGGGAATGCTGGGTTGAATGGTAGCCCTGTTCTACGTTCTTTGAGAAATGACTAAACTGCTTTCCACAGTGGCTGAACTAATTTACATTCCCAACAGCAGTATATAAGTGTTCCCTTTTCTCTACAGCCTCACCAGCATCTGTTACTTTTTGACTTTTCATAGTAGCCATTCTGACTGATATGAGATTGTATCTCATTGTGGTTTTGATTGGTATTTTTCTGATGACTAGTGACCATGAGCATTTTTTATATGTTTCTTGGCTGTTTATGTTATCATTTGGGAAGTTTCTGTTCATGTTCTTTGTTCATTTTTAATGGGGTTATTTGTTTTTTGCTTGTTGATTTAAGTTTCTTATAGATTCTGGATATTAGACCTTTGTTGGATGCATAGTTTGTGAATATTTTCTCCCATCCTATAGGTTATCTGTTTACTCTGTTGATAGTTTCTTTTGGTGTGCAGAAGCTTTTTATTTTAATTAGGTCTCACTTATAAATTTTTGTTTTTGCTGCAATAGTTTTTGCGAACTTAGCCACAAATTCTTTCCCAAGGCCAATGTTGGGAAGGGGGAAGGGTATTTCCTAGGTTTTCTTCTAGGATTTTTATTATTATTATTATCATTATTATTATTATTATTATTATTATTATTTTCATACTTTAATTTCTAGGGTACATGTGCCAACATGCAGGCTTGTTACATATGTATACATGTGTCATGTTGGTGTGCTGCACCCATTAACTCATCATTTACATTAGGCATATCTCCTAATGCTGTCCCTTCCCACTCCCCCCACCCCATAACAGTCCCCGGTGTGTGATGTTCCCCTTCCTGTGTCCATGTGTTCTCATTGTTCAATTCCCACCTATGAGTGAGAATATGCGGTGTTTGGTTTTTTGTCCTTGCGATAGTTTGCTGAGAATGATGGTTTCCAGGTTCATCCATGTCCCTACAAAGGACATGAACTCATAATTTTCTATGGCTGCATAGTATTCCATGGTGTATATGTGCCACATTTTCTTAATCCAGTCTATCATTGATGGACATTTGGGTTGGTTCCAAGTCTTTGCTATAGTGAATACTGCCGCAATAAACATACGTGTGCATGTGTCTTTATAGCAGCATGATTTATAATCCTTTGGGTATATACCCAGTAATGGGATTGCTGGGTCAAATGGTATTTCTAGTTCTAGATCCTTGAGGAATCGCCACACTGTCTTCCACAATGGTTGAACCAGTTTGCAGTCCCACCAACAGTGTATCTTCTAGGATTTTTATAGTTTGAAGGCTTATATTTAAATATATAATCCATCTTGAGTTAATTTTGCATATGATGAAAGTAGGGGGCAATTTCACTATTCTGCATATGGACAGCCAGTTATTCCAGCACCAGAAAAATAATCCTGGATAATTTAGAAAGCAATAGACTTTTCTCTTTTATCACTTTATATTCGGCCATGAGAATGATTTGCAGCATATTTTCCAAGCACTCGATTGAGAAATGCTCTTTCACAGAAATAACATGTTACTTTAAAATAAATAAACTTTAAACATTTTAATGAGAATGACATTTTCTAAAAAGTAAAACCAATTCTAATGTTTCCCATTCTCTCAAAATGATTGACATTGCTTCCAAGTACCAATACAATTTGTTTCCCCTTGTTTCTACTTAGATCACTTATATAGAAAAAGCAATAGACTGCTGCTGACATAACAGCTGTACAACTTCTGAGTCTTACGGAAAGACAATTTTAACTCATGAAGTAGTTTCACTCTCCTTTAGACACATAAATGTACACACTGAATGACAGGAGTGACTGTGAATCTCCCAAGTTTATCCATAAATGCTCTGAATGGAGACGTGTGAAGAGTGAGTGATGAAGCTTAACAGGTCTTTGCCAAAGCCTGTCTCTTTTAGCTTTTTTATTATTGACAGATGCATTATGTTGTAAGCCCATAAGTGGCTACATCTATTTCTCCTCTGTCAGAAAGAAGTCCTGAATCTTGGCACATTTAAAATCTTCATGGTAAGCATAAAATCATTCAATGTCATAAGGAATAGGTCTTTAAAAGACCTATTAGATTTTTAGATCATTTAGTGTTATATGGAGAAGATCTTATAAATGCCTCTTAGGTAATAAGACTCCATAAGTTTTATGGTAGAAGACAAAAAATATGCCTTAATAATATAAACAAATTCGATGAAAATAAATCATTCCAGTTATTGTGCTTTGGTTGTTCAGAGGCGTTAATTGCCATGATTTTATGCTTTGGCTGTTTCATTGTCATTTAGCTTCCTTTTCCATAAAAAGGGGAAGATAAATATGTTTAAGTGACAACAAAAGATTGTATACATTCACCCCCTGAAAAAGTAAACAAGGTAATTTCAGAATTATGTCTCTAATCACAGGTTTAATTTGGCCACTGCCACTGACATTTTGCCAAGTCCATAAGAAAATTCAAATGCAGTAGATCAACATTTAAGAGACTGCTTTGTAATCTGGCCCTGTATTAGTCCATTTTCACACTGCTGTAAGAAAATACCCAAGACTGGGTAATTTATTAAAAAAGAGGTTTATTGGATGCATAGTTCTGCATGGCTGGGGAGGCCTCCGTAAACCTACAATCATGGCAGAAAGGGAAGCGAACATGTCCTTCTTCACATGGTGTCAAGAGAGAAAAGTGCAGAGAAAGCCCCTTATAAAACCATCAGATCTCATGAGAACTCACTCACTATCATGAGAATAGCATGGAGGAAACCACCTCCATAATCCAATCACCTCCCATGAGGTCCCCCACAAGACATCAGTATTACAAATCCAAATACAATTCAAGATGAGATCTGAATGGGAAAACAGAGCCAGATCATATCATTCCACCCCTGACCCTTCCCAAATCTCATCTTTCTCACATTTCAAAATACAATCATGTCTTCACAACAGTCCCCCAAAGTCTTAACTCATTCAGCATTAACTCAAAAGTGCAAGTCCAAAGTCTCACCTGAGACAAGGCAGGGACCTTCTGCCTAGAAGCTTAATTAAAAGGAAGTTAGTTACTTCTTAGATACAATGGGGGTACAGGTATTGGATAAATGTTCCCATTCCAAATGGGAGAAATTGGCCAAAACAAAGGGACTACAGGACCCATGCAAATCCAAAATCTAGCAGGGCAGTCATTAAATCTTAAAGCTCCAACATAACCTCCTTTGACTCCATGTCTTACATCTGCGACACACTCATGCAAGAGGTGGGCTCTCATGGTCTAGGGCAGCTGTGCCCCTGTTGCTTTGCAGGGTACAGCCCCCCTCCTGGCTGCTTTCATAGTCTGGGATTGAGTCTGTGGCTTTTCCAGGTGCATGGCATGAGCTGTCAGTATATCTACGATTCTGGCGTGTGGAGAATAGCAGCCCTTTTCTCACAGATCCACTAGGCAATATCCCAGGTGGGACTCTATATGGGGGCTCCAATCCCACATTTCCCTTCCATACCACCCTAGCAGAACTTCTCCATGGGGGCTCCACCCTTGCAGAAAACGTCTGCCTGGGCATCTAGTTGTTTCGATACATCCTCTGAAATCTAGGTGGAGGCTCCCTCCACCTAGATTCTTCACTTCTAGAATTGAGGTGAAGAAACCTCAATTCTTCACTTCTGTGCACCCACAGGTCCAGCACCATGTGTAAGCCACGAAGGCTTGGGGCATGCACCCTCTGAAGCAACAGCCTGAGATGTACATTGGCCCCTTTTAGCCACAGCTAGGATGCAGAGCACCAAGTCCCAAGACTGCACAAAGGAGCAAGGCCTTGAACCCAGTCCAGGAAACAGTTTTTTCCTCCTAGGCCTCTGGGCCTGTGATGGGAGGGGTTTCTGTGAAGGTCTCTGACATGCCTTGGAAACATTTTCCCCATTGTCTTGGTGATTACCATTTGGATTACTCCAATGTATCTCCATTATGTATGCAAATTTCTGCAGCTGGCTTGAATTTCTCCCCAGAAAATGGGGTTTTTCTTGTCTATCACATTGTCTGGCTGCAAATTTTCCAAACTTTTATGCTCTGTTTATCTTTTAAATAAAAGCTCCAATTTCAGATCATCTCTCTCAAGTTCAAAGCTCCACAGATCTCCAGGGCAGGAACAAAATGCTGCCAGTTTCTTTTCTAAAGAATAGCAAGAGTCACCTTTGCTCTAGTTCCCCCCAATAAGCTCCTCATCTCCACCCAAGACCACCTCAACCTGGACTTCATTGTCCATATCACTATCAGCATTTTGGTCAAAACCATTTAACAAGTCTCTAGAAACTTTCAAAGTTTCCACATCTTCCTGTCTTCTTCTGAGCCCTCCAAACTGTTCCAAACTCTTCTCATTACTCAGTTCCAAAGTCACTTCCACATTTTGGGGTATTTATTATTTATTTATTTATTTGTTTGTTTATTTATTTTGAGACAGAGTCTCACTCTGTCACCAGGCTGGAGTGTAGTGGTGTGATCTCAGCTCACTGCAACCTCTGCCTCCTGGGTTCAAGTGATTCTCCTGCCTCAGTCTCCTGAGTAGCTGGGATTAGAGGCACCTGCCACCACTCCTGGCTAATTTTTGTATTTTTAGTAGAGATGCAGTTTCACCATGTTGGCCAGAATGGTCTCAATCTCTTGATCTCATGATCCACCCACCTCGGACTCACAAAGTGTTGGTATTACAGGCGTGAGCTACCGCGCCCAGCCCTCGGTTATTCTTATAGCAGCACCTCACTACCTCAGTACCAATTTACTGTATTAGTCCATTTTCACATTGCTATGAAGAATTACTCAAGACTGGGTAATTTATAAGAAAAGAGGTTTAATTGTCTCACAGTTCTGTATGGCTGGGGAGACCTCAGGAAACCTAGTCATGGCAGGATGGGAAGCAAACACATCCTTTCTTCACAAGGCAGAAAGAAAGAGAAGTGCAGAGCAAGCTCCTTATAAAACCATCAGATCTCATGAGAACTCACTTACTATTATGAGAACAGCATCAGGGAAACTGCCTGCATGATCCAATCACCCCCAAGAGGTACTTCCCTCAATACATGGAGATTGCAACTTGGATTACAATTCAAGATGAGCTTGGGTGAGGACACAGAGCCAGACCATATTAAGCCCCATTGCATGTTCTTGCTTCATTCTTTGCCATTCTCCTCCCCATGTACAATTTATACTCCAGTCACATTAAACCATTCTCAGTTCTTCAAACATGCATATTATTTCTATATCCTTTTCCCCAGTTCATACTACTAACTATGCCAGACCTGCACTTCTCCCTGGAGAAAAATTTTCAGAATTTATCTCTTTAGTGAAGGCTGATTAACATTCTTTCCTTGTTTTCATACTGAATACCACAATGTCTGGCCACCAAAATATAGTGCTCTCTTCAAAAATCTCCCAAAAATCTTTTTCTTACCAAACCAAGTTCTATAAACAGAGGCAATGCTATTCTTCTTTGGAATTTTAACATCATCTGTCATGTCAAGACCTCAATAAATGTGTGTTTAATTAATGAATAATTGAATGAATACATGAATGAAGATGTCATAAATGTATTGCTAGAAGTCCAAAAAATACAGAAATACAGTTAACCAGTCTAGAAATTAGAGTACTAAACAGCAAACTTTCTTTTAATGCAACAGAAATGCTTAGAAATCAACCTACCTATATATATATATAATATATATATATTTATAACCATCACAGTATTAATGGCAAATGCCTACAAATTATTGAAATAAATATTTATTGCCATGATAAACACACAAGAACTAAATAACAATCTCTTTTCTTCAAGTCTTTTCAGAACACTATCTGACATACTTTACTCTCTGCAGATATATCTTTCAAAATTGCAGTTAATGTCTACTTTCTGCCAGTAAGTTTTCCATGGTAAATTATTAAGATTTACGTCTTCCTAGGATTTTGTAGAAAAATCATAAAAAGTAGACCAGAGTCTGAGCTAAAGAGCCTATACCTGTCAACTTTCTGTTTTGCCTCTTCCTCCAGAAGTAAATGTATGCTAAGCTGTACTGTAGATTATGTACTTCAGACTCCAAGAATCTAAATGGAGTTGAAGGAGGAGACAGGTCAAGAGGAGGGGAAACAGCAGAAATGAAGTCCTTAAGACTGGAAAGGACTTAGTATGCTTGAGGCCCGGGGAAAGAGTGTTAAATGGTGTAGAGTAAGATGGGGTCCAATGGCCTGAAATAAGGTTGGAAAGACATAGGGGACCAAACATGGAAATCCCCTGTAGGCCATGATTTCAGGATTTAGATTGTATTCCAACTACAATGAGAAACCACTAAAAGATTCTAAGGAGAAAGTAGCACAATCTTCACTTGTATTTGTATAAATATTTATTATAATCATTATACTATCAAACAGTTACAAGAAGTGAAGAGATGAGTTCTGTAACAGAAAATTACAGCTTTCCAAATTTTCCATTTGTTCTCCTACATTTCCCAGCCTGGTTAACCAGTGGGCTCTTAGGGAAATAATGTGTATTTCCTCACCAAGCCAGTTAATTTATAGTGTGCTTCTTCTATCTCTCCTTCTTGAGTCATAGAGACCTGGAACACCATATCCTACAGATGATGCACCATCAGCACGGGTTCCTGGACAACTGTGTGGACTCTGTTGCCATTCCATGATAGGCATGTAACATAACCAGGAAATAAACTTTTAATATATAAATCTATTGAGATTCAGGAGTTTGTCTCTTATCATGCAGTAAAGGCCAGAATAAATTCCAAATGGAATAGACTAAAATGCCAGAAAAATCAAGCATAATAATTTTTAAAAGGCCATGCATAGTGACTCACATGTGCAATCCCAGTTCTTTGGAGGCCAAGGTGGGCAGATCACCTGAGGCCAAGTGTTTAAGACCAGCCTGGCCAACATGGTGAAACCACGTCTCAACTAAAAATACAAAAAATTGCCAGGCATGGTGGCAGGGGCCTGTAATCTCAGCTACTCAGGAGGCTGAGGCAGGAGAGTCACTTGAACCCAGGAAGTGAGGGTTGCAGTGAGCTGAGATGGCACTATTGTACTCCAGCCCAGGCAACAAGAGTGAAACTCTGTCTCAAACAAAAAAATTTTAAAAATATTATGTTGACAAATCTGTAGTTTGAAGTGTTTTCCAAACCAAAAACAATGTAAGAAATGAAAACAGGAAAACACTGATATTTGACTTGATAAAACTTTAAACAACAAAACTAAAAGGGAATATTAAGATTAAATGGAAATGAGCTAAACATCATTAATTCATAATAAAATCTAAGAAAAAACATTAATCATGCTAATAAAATAAGTAATTTATAAAATCAGAAACTAATTTTTACATATCAACTTAACTATATTTCTTTAAACAAGAACTCTATGTGGAGTGACGATGTAGTATGCTGTGCAATATAGGTATGTAACTGACATCGCCTTTCTTAAAGACAAGGTGGCAATAGTATAAAGACTCAAAAACTTATTTACAGCTTTGGATTCAGTTCCTCTTTCTCACAAAAGAATGTGAAAAGGAGATCAATCTTTATTTTAAAAATTGACATCAGACTTCCAGTTTCCAGTCCAGCATATAAGGATATTACAAGTTGCCACTGCATCCTAACAACAAGTACAAAGATATGGAAGCTGAAAAATCAACAACTCTTCTTAGATCCAACAGAGAAGTGAGGTCACAAGGAAAATCACTGTTGCAGAAATTAGAGAGGAAAACAACTTGACACAGAAATGTACAACCTATCTAAGCAGAAACTGCTGCAGGGACCATTGCCAGGATAGGCAAACCTAAACTATAATTGAAAAATCGCTGGAAGCTCAGGGCAGACAACTCTGAGAGTTAAAAACTCCAGGAATACTCAGTCATGGGGGGTCTCCAAACTTTTTTTTTACTTCTGGGAACTCTATCAGGTTTTCACAGTGCATATCAGAAAAATATCCCCTAGTATTACTGACAGGGAGAAAAGAAAAGGAGCCATGCTATAACACATCAGAGAATTCTGATTTTCTTAAGAAGGCCTGCCCTCAGGAGAATCTGTTCAACTAGTACCTAGTCTTCTGGGGCTTTATCAGAACCAAAATGACCTAGCAGAAGGGAAATACCTAACTCCAGCCCCTACTAACAATCCCGTGCCACCTAAATGGGGAATAAACCTGAAAAATACTAGTGAAGTTCACAGTTCAAAAGCCTGGACTCACTAAAAGATTGAGACTAATCATACAACTATAGAATGTTTTCCCTGCTCCTCACCTGTCACACTACTAAAGGATTATTTTCAACAGTTCGTTTTACCCAGTACATTGTATCCACTTTTCAAGAAAAAATTACAAGACATGCTAAAAGGTAAAAAACACAGTTTCAAGAGACTAAACAAACACCAGAACTATAGTCAGATACAGCAGAAACTTTGGAATTACGAGACTAGGAGTTTATAAAAATTATGATTAACATGCCAAAAGCTGCAATGTAAAAAGTAAATAATGTGCAAGAACAGAGAGATATAAATTCTAAAAAAGAATCAAAAGAAATGCTAGACATCAAAAACACTGTAACAGAAATGAAAAAACACCTGTGATAGGCTCCTCAGTAGACTGGACATGACTGAGGAAGAAATCCTTGAGAACATAAGAACAACAACAACAACAACAACAACAACAAAAACAGAGCAGAACATCCAAGGACAGTGGGATAATTACAAAACTTGTAAATACAAAAATGAGAATTCCAGGACAGAAAAAAAGAACAGGAGCAATGTTTGAAATAATGATGACTCAGAACTTCCCAAAATTCATTTTGGTCATCAAACTGCAGATACAGAAATTTCAGACAATACCAATAAATGTCAGTATAAATGCCAAAACAGGATATATATTGTCATATTCAAATTTCAGAAAATGAAACATAAAGTAAAAATATTGAAAAATGGCAGAGGATAAAAACACTTTACCTATAGAGGAAAACATATTAAGAATTACTTTGACTTTTCCTCAGAAACCATGCAAGCAAGAAAAAAGTTAAGTGAAATATTTAAAGTGTTGAAGGAAATAAAAACCCTACCAACCCAGAATTCTCTATCCTGCAAAGTCATTCTTTATAAATGAAGGAGAAATAAAGAAACAAAATTGAGGATGTTGGTGTTGTAGAACAATCTTGCAAGAAACATTAAAATAATTTCTTCAGACAGAAACTCATATCTACAAAAAAAAGAGCATCAAAGAATGAATAAGTGAAGGTAAAAAAACACACCTATTTTTTATTCTCAAATGAGTTAATAATTAAGTTTATTCAAGATAATAATGGCAATAATGTATGTGATTATGTATACACATGTGTACGTATGTGTGTGTATATATATATATATGCATATATATATATATATGCATATATATATATATATATATATCCTTACATATAAGTAAAATGAATGACAGCAATAATACAGGGGATAAGGTGAAAGAAATATTTTGTTATTATAAGGTACTTTTACTATAAATTAAGAGGTATAGTGTTATTTGAAAATGGACTTGGATTGGTTGTAAATATATTTTTGCAAACTCTAAGGCACCCCTAAAAAAGGGTTTAAAAATGTATAATCAATATGCTAAGAAAAGAGAGAAAATGGAATCATATAAAATGTTCAATTAAAACCACAAAAGCCAGAAAAAAATTGGAAGACAAAGATAGAAGAAAAGAACAAGAGTGATACATAGAAAGCATTAACAAATATGTTAGATATTAGTCAAAATATATAAATAACCACTTTAAATATTAATGGTCTAAATATAGCAGTCATAAGACAGAGATTGCCAGAGTGGGTCAAAAAATAAGACCCAACAGTGTTTTGTTTTCAAGAAACCAATTTTAAATAAAAGATATATATAGATAGATTAAAAGTAAAGAGGGGGAGAAAGATATACAATGTTAACACTAATCAAAAGAAAACAGAAGCAGCTATATTAATTTCTGAAACAGAAGACTTCAAAGTAAAAAGAGTTACCAGATAATCTGGGGAGAAATGGCAGATAAGAAGCAGAATTAACTTGCAGCTCCCACTTGGACAGACAGAGCAGCACGTGGAGACTCACGTCATAAAACTTTGCTTCTAGAACTACCATAAGAACATACCAGAAAAGCTGAGAGAATCCAGAGACCATATGAAGGAAACAGATTGCTGTTGCAGGCTCTCAGAGACAGCTGAAAACCTCAGCTGCAGGAAGCCCCACCCAAGGAGAGTCTGAGCTCAGACATGTCTAACACGATCCCCACTGGATGATCTTCCTCTGCCCACCCTAGTAGCCTAAGACAAATGACATAATCTCCTGGGAGCTGTATGTCCACATCCATCACCTGATCCTCCCTATACTACCATAGCTGATGCTCTCTTGAAAGCACCACCTCCTGGCTGGAGGCCAGCCAATACAAAACTAGTCCAATAAACAAAACTAAAACCAAGGACCTTCAAAAAGTCCACTTCGCTCTCCTGCCACCTCTTCACCAAAGCATGTGCTCATATCCACAGCTGAGAGACTTGAATACAGTTCACATCACAGGACTCTGTGCAGACACTCCCCAGTACAAGCTGGGAACCTGCTAGCTCCTCTGAGTGGCTAGATCCAGAAGAGAAATTACAATCACTGCAGTTTGGCTCTCAGGAAGCCACATCCCTAGGGGAAGAGGGAGAGCACCACATCAAGGCAGCACCCCATGGAACAAAAGAATCTGAACAGTAGTGCTTGATCCCCAGACCTTCCCTCAAAGACAGTCTACACAAATGAGAATCAAACAAACAAACAAACAAAAACATAGAAAACAGAAAAACAATTCTGGTGATATGACAAAACATGGTTCTTTAGCACCCCCAAAAGATCACACTAGCTCATCAGGAATGAATTCAAACCAAGAAGAAATCTCTGAATTGCCAGAAAAAGAATTCAGAAGGTCAATTATTAAGCTAATCAAGGAGGCACCAAAGAAAGGTAAAGTCCAAATTAATGAAATAAAAAAAATGACACAAGATGTGAAGGGAAACCCCTTCAATGAAATAAATAGCATAAATAAAAAACAATCACAACTTCTGAAAATGAAGGACACAGAGAAATGCAAAATACACTGGAAACTCTCAGCAATAGAATAGAACAAGTAGAAGAAAGAACTTCAGAACTAGAAGACAAGGCTTTTGAATTAACTCAATCCAACAAAGACAAAGAAACAAGAATTTTAAAAAATGACAAAGCCTCCAAAAAGCTTGGGATCATGTTAAATGACCATGCCTAAGAATAACTGGCTTTCCCAAAGAAAAAAAAATCTAACAGTTTGGAAAACATATTTGAAGGAATAATCGAGTAAAACTTCCGCAGTCTTGCTAAAAATATACATACAAACACAAGAAGCTCAGAGAAAACCTGGGAAATTAATCAGAAAAAGATCATCACCTAAGCACATAGTCATCAGGTTATCTAAACTCAAGATGAAGAAAAGGATCCTAAGAGCTGTGAGGTAAAAAGCATTAGGTAACGTATAAAGGAAAACCTCTCAGATTAACAGCAGATTTCTTGGCAGGAACCCTACAAGCTAGGAGGGACTGAGGCCCTATCTTTAGCCTCCTTAAAGAAAATAATTATCATCCAAGAATTTTTGCTTCATAAATGAAGGAAACTAAGCTTCATAAATGAAGAAATGATACAGTCTTTTTCAGACAAACAAAGGATGAGAGAATTTGCCACCACCAAGCCAGCACTTCAAGAACTGCTAAAAGGAGCTCTAAATATTGAAACAAATCCTTAAAATTCACCAAAATTTTGAACCTCCTTAAAGTATAAATCACACAGGACCTAAAAAATAAAAACACAATGAAAAACAATAACAACAAGGTATTAAGGCAACAAATAGCTCAATGGATAAAATAGTACCTCATATCTCAATACAGACATTGACTGTAAATGGCCTAAATGCATCACTTAAAAGACAAAGAATGGTAGAATGGATAAAAATTCACCAACCAAGTATCTGCTGTCTTCAAGAGACTCACCTAACACATAAGGACTCATGTACACTTAAGGTAAAGGGATGGAAAAAGATATTCTATGCAAATGGACATCAAAAGCAAGCAGGAGTTGCTATTCTTATATTAGATGACACAGACTTTAAAGCAACAACAGTTAAAAAGGACAGTGATGGACATTATAAAATGATAAAAAGGACTTGCCCAACAGGAAAATATCACAATTCTAAATATATATGCACCTAATACTGGAGCTCTCAAATTTGTAAAACAATTACAACTAGACCTAAGAAATGAGAAAGATAGCAACACAATAACAGTGGGGGACATGAATATTCCACTGACAGCACTAGACAGGTCATCAACACAGAAAGTCAACAAAAAAACAATGAATATAAACTACATCCTGGAATAAACAGTTATTACAGAACATTCTGCTCAATGACTGCAGAATATAAATTCTTTTTATTAGCACATGGAACATTCTTCAAAATAGACAATATGATAGACCACAAAATAAATTTTTTTATTTTATTTTATTATTATTATATTTAAGTTTTAAGGTACATGTACACAATGTGCAGGTTAGTTACATATGTATACATGTGCCATGCTGCTCTGCTGCACCCATTAACTCACCATTTAGCATTAGGTGTATCTCCTAAAGCTATCCCTCCCCACTCCCGCCACCCCACAACAGTCCCCAGAGTGTGATGTTCCCTTCCTGTGTCCATGTGTTCTCATTGTTCAATTCCCATCTATGAGTGAGAATATGCGGTGTTTGGTTTTTTGTTCTTGCAATAGTTTACTGAGAATGATGATTTCCAATTTCATCCATGTCCCTACAAAGGACATGAACTCATCATTTTTTATGGCTGGTGTATATGTGCCACATTTTCTTAATCCAGTCTATCATTGTTGGACATTTGGCTTGGTTCCAAGTCTTTGCTATTGTGAATAGTGCCACAATAAACATACCTGTGCATGTGTCTTTATACCAGCATGATTTATAATCCTTTGGGTATATACCCAGTAATGGGATAGCTGGGTCAAATGGTATTTCTAGTTCTAGATCCCTGAGGAATCACCACACTGACTTCCACAATGGTTGAACCAGTTTACAGTCCCACCAACGGTGTAAAAGTGTTCCTATTTCTCCACATCCTCTCCAGCACCTGTTGTTTCCTTTTTAATGATTGCCATTCTAACTGCTGTGAGATGGTATCTCATTGTGGTTTTGATTTGCATTTCTCTGATGGCCAGTGATGATGAGCATTTTTTCATGTGTTTTTTGGTTGCATAAACGTCTTCTTTTGAGAAGTGTCTGTTCATGTCCTTCGCCCACTTTTTGATGGGGTTGTTTGATTTTTTCTTGTAAATTTGTTTGAGCTCAATGTAGATTCTGGATATTAGCCCATTGTCAGATGAGTAGGTTGCAAACATTTTCTCGCATTCTGTAGGTTGCCTGTTCACTCTGATGGTAGTTTCTTTTGCTGTGCAGAAGCTCTTTAGTTTAATTAGATCCCATTTATCAATTTTGGCTTTTGTTGCCATTGCTTTTGGTGTTTTAGACATGAAGTCCTTGCCCATGCCTATGTCCTGAATGGTAATGCCTAGGTTTTCTTCTAGGGTTTTTATGGTTTTAGGTCTAACATGTACATCTTTAATCCACCTTGAATTAATTTTTGTATAAGGTGTAAGGAAGAGATCCAGTTACAGCTTTCTACATATGGCTAGCCAGTTTTCCCAGCACCATTTATTGAATAGGGAATCTTTTCCTCATTGCTTGTTTTTGTCAGGTTTGTCAAAGATCAGATGGTTGTAGATAAGCGGCATTATTTCTGAGGGCTCTGTTCTGTTCCATTGATCTATATCTCTGTTTTGGTACCAGTACCCTGCTGTTTTGGTTACTGTAGCCTTGTAGTATAGTTTGAAATCAGGTAGCGTGATGCCTCCAGCTTTGTTCTTTTGGCTTAGGATTGACTTGGCGATGTGGGCTCTTTTTTGGTTCCATATGAACTTTAAAGTAGTTTTTTCCAATTATGTGAAGAAATTCATTGGTAGCTTGATGGGGATGTCATTGAATCTATAAATTACCTTGGGCAGTATGGCCATTTTCATGATATTGATTCTTCCTACCAATGAGCATGGAATGTTCTTCCATTTGTTTGTATCCTCTTTTATTTCATTGAGCAGTGGTTTGTAGTTCTCCTTGAAGAGGTCCTTCATGTCCCTTGTAAGTTGGATTCCTAGGTATTTTATTGTGTTTGAAGCAATTATGAATGGGAGTTCACTCATGATTTGGCTCTCTTTCTGTTATTGGTGTATAAGAATGCTTGTGATTTTTGCACACTGATTTTGTATCCTGAGACTTTGCTGAAGTTGCTTATCAGCATAAGGAGATTTTGGACTGAGACAATGGGGTTTTCTAGATATGCAATCATGTCATCTGCAAACAGGGACATGATTCAACTTCCTCTTTTCCTAATTGAATGCCCTTTATTTCCTTCTCCTGCTGAATTGCCCTGGCCAGAACTTCCAACACTATGTTGAAAAGGAGTGGTGAGACAGGGCATCCCTGTCTTGTGCCAGTTTTCAAAGGGAATGCTTCCAGTTTTTGCCCATTCAGTATGATATTGGCTGTGGGTTTGTCATAGATAGCTCTTATTATTTTGAGATACGTCCCATCAATACCTAATTTATTGAGTGTTTTTAGCATGAAGAGTTGTTGAATTTTGTCAAAGACCTTTTCTGCATCTATTGAGATAATCATGTGGTTTTTGTCTTTGGTTCTGTTTACATGCTGGATTACAATTATTGATTTGCATATATTGAACCAACCTTGCATCCCAGGGATGAAGCCCACTTGATCATGGTGGATAAGCTTTTTGATATGCTGCTGGATTCGGTTTGCCAGTATTTTATTGAGGATTTTTGCATCAATATTCATCAAGGATATTGGTCTAAAATTCTCTTTTTTTGTTGTATCTCTGCCTGGCTTTGGTATCAGGATGATGCTGGCCTCATAAAATGAGATAGGGAGGATTCCCTCTTTTTCTATCGATTGGAATAGTTTCAGAAGGAATGGTACCAGCTCCTCCTTGTACCTCTGGTAGAATTTGGCTGTGAATCCATCTGGTCCAGGACTCTTTTTGGTTGGTAAGCTATTGATTATTGCCACAATTTCAGAGCCTGTTATTGGTCTATTCAGAGATTCAACTTCTTCCTGGTTTAGTCTTGGGAGGGTGTATGTGTCCAGGAATTTATCCATTTCTTCTAGGTTTTCTAGTTTATTTGCATAGAGGTGTTTGTAGTATTCTCTGGTGGTAGTTTGTATTTCTGTGGGATCGGTGGTGATATCCCCTTTATCATTTTTTATTGTGTCTATTTGATTCTTCTCTCTTTTCTTTCTTATTAGTCTTGCTAGTGGTCTATCAATTTTGTTGATCCTTTCAAAAAACCAGCTCCTGGATTCATTAATTTTTTGAAGGGTTTTTTGTGTCTGTATTTCCTTCAGTTCTGCTCTGATTTTAGTTATTTCTTGCCTTCTGCTAGCTTTTGGATGTGTTTGCTCTTGCTTCTCTAGTTCTTTTAATTGTGACATTATGGTGTCAATTTTAGATCTTTCCTGCTTTCTCTTGTGGGCATTTAGTGCTATAAATTTCCCTCTACACACTGCTTTGAATGTGTCCCAGAGATTCTGGTATGTTGTGTCGTTGTTCTCGTTGGTTTCCAAGAACATCTTTATTTCTGCCTTCATTTCGTTATGTACCCAGTAGTCATTCAGGAGCAGGTTGTTCAGTTTCCATGTAGTTGAGTGGTTTTGAGTGAGTTTCTTAATCCTGAGTTCTAGTTTGATTGCACTGTGGTCTGAGAGACAGTTTGTTATAATTTTTGATCTTTTACATTTGCTGAGGAGAGCTTTACTTCCAACTATGCGGTCAATTTTGGAATAGGTGTGGTGCTGAAAAGAATGTATATTCTGTTGATTTGGGGTGGAGAGTTCTGTAGATGTCTATTAGGTCCGCTTGGTGCAGAGCTGAGTTCTATTCCTGGGTATCCTTTTTAACTTTCTGTCTTGTTGATCTGTCTAATGTTGACAGTGGGGTGTTTTAGTCTCCCATTATTATTGTGTGGGAGTCTAAGACTCTTTGTAGGTCACCCAGGACTTGCTTTATCAATCTGGGTGCTCCTGTATTGGGTGCATATATATTAAGGATAGTTAGCTCTTCTTGTTGAATTGATCCCTTTACCATTATGTAATGGCCTTCTTTGTCTCTTTTGATCTTTGTTGGTTTAAAGTCTGTTTTATCAGAGATTAGGATTGCAACCCCTGCCTTTTTTTGTTTTCCATTTGCTTGGTAGATCTTCCTCCATCCTTTTATTTTGAGCCTATGCGTGTCTCTGCATGTGAGATGGGTTTCCTGAATACAGCACACTGATGGGTCCTGACTTTTTATCCAATTTGCCAGTCTGTGTCTTTTAATTGGAGCATTTAGTCCATTGACATTTAAAGTTAATATTGTTATGTGTGAATTTGATCCTGTCATTATGATGTTAGCTGGTTATTTTGCTCGTTAGTTGATGCAGTTTCTTCCTAGCCTCGATGGTCTTTACAATTTGGCATGATTTTGCTGTGGTTGGTACTGGTTGTTCCTTTCCATGTTTAGTGCTTCCTTCAGGAGCTCTTTTGGGGCAGGCCTGGTGGTGACAAAATCTCTCAGCATTTGCTTGTTTGTAAAGGATTTTATTTCTCCTTCACTTATGAAGCTTAGTTTGGCTGGATATGAAATTCTGGGTTGAAAATTCTTTTCTTTAAGAATGTTGAATATTGGCCCCCACTCTCTTCTGGCTTGTAGGGTTTCTGCCGAGAGATCCGCTGTTAGTCTGATGGGCTTCCCTTTGTGGGTAACCCGACCTTTCTCTCTGGCTGCCCTTAACATTTTTTCCTTCATTTCAACTTTGATGAATCTGACAATTATGTGTCTTGGAGTTGCTCTTCTCGAGGAGTATCTTTGTGGCATTCTCTGTATTTCCTGAATCTGAATGTTGGCCTGCCTTGCTAGATTGGGGAAGTTCTCCTGGATAATATCCTGCAGAGTGTTTTCCAACTTGGTTCCATTCTCCCCGTCACTTTCAGGTACACCAGTCAGACGTAGATTTGGTCTTTTCACATAGTCCCATATTTCTTGGAGGCTTTGTTCATTTCTTTTCATTCTTTTTTCTCTAAACTTCCCTTCTCGCTTCATTTCATTCATTTCATCTTCCATCACTGATATCCTTTCTTCCAGTTGATCGCATCGGCTCCTGAGGCTTCTGCATTCTTCACGTAGTTCTCGAGCCTTGGCTTTCACCTCCATCAGCTTCTTTAAGCACTTCTCTGTATTAGTTATTCTAGTTATACATTTTTTCTACAGCCACCGCGGCTGGTACCCAGGAAAACAGCATCTGGAGTGGACCTCTAGCAAACTCCAACAGACCTGCAGCTGAGGGTCCTGTCTGTTAGAAGGAAAACCAACAAACAGAAAGGACATCCACACCAAAAACCCATCTGTACATCACCATCATCAAAGACCAAAAGTAGATAAAACCACAAAGATGGGGAAAAAACAAAGCAGAAAAACTGGAAACTCTAAAAAGCAGAGTGCCTCTCCTCCTCCAAAGGAACGCAGCTCCTCACCAGCAACAGAACAAAGCTGGATAGAGAATGACTTTGACGAGTTGAGAGAAGAAGGCTTCAGACGATCAAACTACTCCGAGCTACAGGGGGAAATTCAAACCAAAGGCAAAGAAGTTGAAAACTTCGAAAAAATTTACACAAAGTAAATTTAGAAAACTGAAATTATATTAAGTATTATCTCAGATCACAGTGGAATAAAACTGGAAATCAACTCCAAAAGGAACCCTCAAAATCATGCAAATACATGGAAATTAAATAACCTGCATTGGGTCAAAAATTAAAGCAAGATGGAAATTTAAAAATTCCTTGAACTGAATGATAATGGTGACACAACCTATTGAAACCTCTGGGATACAGCAAAGGCAGTGCTAATAGGAAAGTTCATAGCCCTAAATGCCTATATCAAAAAGTCTGAAAGAGCACAGATAGAAATCTAAGATCCCACCTCAAGGAACTAGAGAAACAAGAACAAACCAAACCCAAACTCAGCAGAAAAAAATGAAATAACAAAGATCAGAGCAGAACTAAAGGAAATTGAAACAAAAACACAAAATACAAAAGTTAAATGAAACAAAAAGCTGGTTCTTTGAAAAGACAAATAAAATTGATAGATCATTAGCAAGATTAACCAAGAAAAAAGAGAGAAGATCCAAATAAGCTCAATTAGAAACAAAACAGGAGATATTACAACCGATATCACAGAAATACAAAAGATCACTCAAGGCTACTGTGAACATCTTTATTCACATAAACCAGAAAACCTAGAGGAGGCGAATAAATTCTTGGAAATATACAACTCTCCTAGATTAAACCAGGAAGAAATAGAAACTCTGAACAGACCAATAACAAGCAGAGAGATTGAAATGGTGATAAAATAATTGCCAACAAAAAATAGTTCAGGACCAGACTGATTCACACCTGAATTCTATCAGATATTCAAAGAAGAAATGGTACCAATCCTATTGACACTATTCCACAAGATAAACAGGGAATCTTCCCTGGATCATTCTAAGTCAGTATCACCCTAATACCAAAAGCAGTAAAGAGGATAACAATAAAAAAAGAAAACTACAGATTAATATCACTGGTGAACATAGACACAAAAGTCCTTAACAAAATACTAGCTAACCAAATCCAACAGCATATGAGAAAGATAATCCATCATGATCAAGTGGGTTTCACACCAGGGATGCAGGGATGCTTTAACATATACAAGTAAATAAATGTGAGACACCACATAAACAGAATTTAAAACACAAATCACATGATCATCTCAATAGACACAGAAAAAGCATTTAACAAAATCCAGCATCCCTGTATGATTGAAACCCTCAACAAAATCAGCATAGAAGGGACATACCTTAATGTAATAAAAGCCATCTATGACAAACTGACAGCCAACATTATACTGAACAGGGAAAAGTTTGAAAGTATTCCCCTGAGAACTGGAACAAGACAAGGATGCCCTCTCCCACCACTTCTATTCAACATAGTACTGGAAGTCCTAGCCAGAGCAATCAGAAAAGAGAAAGAAATAAAGGGCATCCAAATTGGCAAACATGAAGTCACACTGTCACTGTTTGCTGATGATATGATGGTGTACCTAGAAAACCCTAAAGATTCCTCCTGAAAGCTCCTAGAACTGATAAATGAATTCAACAAAGTTTCCGTATACAAAATTAATGTACACAAATCAATAGCTCTGATTTGTGGTATACAATAACAGTGACCAAGCTGAGAATCAAATTAAGAACTCGACCCCTTTACAATACCTCCAAAAAAATTAAATACTTAGCAATATGATTACCCAAAGAGGTGAAAGACCTCTACAAGAAAACCTTCAAATCACTGCTGAAAGAAATCATAGATGACACAAACAAATAAAATCACATCCCATGATCATGGATGGGTAGAATCAACATTGTGAAAATTCTAGCAAATGTAATAAAAAAAGGAAACAAAAGTTACATAGATGGGGGAAAAATAAAATTGTCTTTGTTCACAGATGATCATCTATGTACAAAATCCAAAATAGTTGACAAATACAAGTAACTGGAACTAATCAGTGATTATAATAAGGTTGCAGGATACCAGGCTAATATGTAGAAGTCGATTGCTTTTCTATATATGAGCAATGAAAAAGTGGAATTGAAAATTAAAAATACATTACCATTTACATTAGCACATCCAAAATTAAGATTTAGGTATTAATTTAACAAAATCTCTACAAGAGCTAGATGAGCAAAATTGCAAAATCTGATAAAGAAATTGAAGAACTAAATAAATGGAGAGATATTCCATGTTCATTAATAGGTAGACTCCATATGGTTGAGATGTCAGTTATTTTCAGCTTCATCTATAAATTCAGTACCATTCCAGTCAAAATCCTATCTACTTATTTTACAGATATTGACAAGCTGATTCTAAAGTTTATATAGGGAGGCAAAAGACATAAAATAGTCAAGTCAATATTGAAAAAGAAGAACAAAATTGTAGGACTGACAAGACCTGACTTCAAGAATCACTATAAAGCTACCGTAATCACAGTGTGATATTGGTTAAAGAATAGACAGATAGATCAATGGAACAGAATAGAGAGCCCCAAAATAGACTAAGATAAATATAATCAGGTGATCTTTGACAAAGGGGCAAAGGCAATGTCATGGAACAAAAACAATCTTTTAAACAAATGATGGTGGAAAAACTGGAGATTCACATGAAAGAAAAGAGAAGATGAAAAGATAAACAAATCTAGACACAGACCTTGCACTTTTCACAAAGATTAACTCAAAATAGATCACATGACTAGATGTAAAATGCAAAACTCTAAAACCCCTAGAAGATAACTTAAGAGAAAATTGAGATGATCTTGAGTTTGATAACTTTTTTGATACTACACCAAAAGTACAGTTCATGAAAGATAAATTAATAAATTGCAACGCATTAAAATTTAAAGTTCCTGCTCCATGGAAGACATTGCCAAGATAATGAGAAGACAGGCCACGCACTGGGAGAAAATGTTTGCAAAAGATAAATCCGCTAAAGAGCTATTATCCAAAATATACAAAGACCTCCTAATACTTAGCAATATAAAAATGAACAATCAATGAACATATAAGCAAAAGACCTGAATATCCATCTCTCCAAAGAAGACATAAAGACGGCAAGTAAGCATATGAAAGATGTTCAACATCTGCAGTAGTTGGAATGTGTCCCCAGAATTTCAGGTATTGGAAACTTAATCCCCAAATTCATATGTTAATCATTTGGAGGTGAGGCCTTTGGGAGGCAATTAGGGTTAGATAAGTTCATTAGGGTGGGGCCCTATGATGGGGCAGTGGCTTTATAAGAGGTAAAAAAGAGACCTGAGCTAGCACACTTGCTCTGTCTTGCCATGGATGATATCCTCTGCCATGTTATGATGCAGCAAGAAGGAGTTCACCAGATGCCAGTACCATAATTCTGACTTCCCAACCTCCATAATCATGAGATAATTGAACCTTTATTTTTTATAAATTACATAGTGTGCAGTATTCAGGTATATCAACAGAAAACAGACTAGGACAACAACATATATCATTAGAGAATTACAAATTAAAACAATAAGCTATCACTACACATCTATTGAAATGGCCAAAAATCAAAATGCTGTCAATACCAAATGCTGCTGAAAATGTGGAACAACAGAAATTCTCAATCATTGCTGGTGAGAATGCAAAAATGATACAGCCACTTTGGAAGACAATTTGGCAGTTTCCTACAAAACTAAATATACTCTTGCCATACACTCCAACAATAGTGCCCTTTGGTATTTGACCAAATGAACTGGAAACATATCCACACAAAAACCTGCACATTAACATTTACTGTATCTTTATTCATTATTGTCAAAGCTTGGAAGCAACTGAGATGTCCTTCAGTAGGTGAATGGATAAACTGTGGTATATCCAGACAATGGAATATTATTCAACACAGAGAAGAAATGAGCTATCAAGCCATGAAAGGACATCGAGGAAATTTAAATGCATATTACTAAGTGATGAAGCCATTCTTAATAGAGTACAAACTGTTTGATTTCAACAATACGAAATTCTAGGAAAGTTAAACCATAGAGACAAAAAATTAGTGGTCTCCAGGGGCCAGAGGGAGGAGGATGAATAGGTAGAGCACAGGTAAGTTTTAGGGCACTGAATACATGTCATTATATATTTTTCCAAACCCATAGAATATACACCAAGAATGAACCCTAATGTAAACTACGGACTTTGGGTGATAATATGTCAGTGTACATTCATCAATTGTAACAAATGTATCTGCACTCTGGTGGAGGATGTTAGTGGGAGAGGTTGTGTGGGTGGGGGAATGAGTGTATGGGGACTCTGTACTTTTCACTCGATTTTACTGTGAACCTAAAACTTCTCTAAGGAATTTATTAATTTGAAAAAATGGACATCATAGCATAATTTATTCTAAGAATGCTTTTAAGTTTTAGATTCCAAATATAGCTTTGTGGTTAAATCAATCATGATTCACCCGATTATAAAATGTTATATAGCCATTAAAAATGATATGAAGTATCTCTGTTCATCGATAACATGAAGCTATATGTAGAAAATACTAACAATTACACACAAATGCAATAACTAATAAATAAATTAAGTAGAGTTGCAGAATACAAATGTACTGAAATGATACAAAAGATACAAAATTCAATTGCATTTCTATACAATAACAATGAAAAACCTGAAAGGGAAATTAAGAAAACTATTCAATTTACAATAGCATCAAAAAGAATAAAATACTTACAAATAAACTTAACCAAGGAGTTAAAAGATTTGCACACTGAAAACTACAAAAACGTTGCTGAGAGACATTAAAGAAGACACATACAAATTGAATGATATCTCATGTTCATGGACTGGAAGACTTAATATTGTTAAAATGTCAATACTCAGTGTGACCTACAGATTCAATGCAATCTGCATCAAAATACCAATTGATAGATGCTGGAGGCAGATAAGGGAGGATCCCTGGAGAATCTCTGACCCAACCCACAAGTGTTTACATCAGATGCTTTTGTGCAGATGAAGGAACCTGCCTAGGGCCCTGTCTGGGCATGCCCACAACTGACTGGGGGGGCCAGCTGTGCACTGGGGGAATGGGGTGGAGCTACTGGGGGTTTGTTTGCAGTGGGGAGGAGCTGGGCCTCCAGTTGGTGTGTGCGTGCGTACGCGTGTGTGGTGGCCTGTATTTAATCTGTGAGGTGGGAGCCTGTTAGGAGGACCCCCCATTTTTTTTCCACTGAAAGCTTTCCTTTAATAAATCCCACTCTCCTCACCTTTCAGTGTGTCCACATGCCTAATTAATCCTGGTTGTATGATAAGAAGCTGGATTTTAGCTGAACTAAGGAGCAAAAAAATCCTACATCAAATTGACTATTTTTTTGAAGAAATAGAAAAGTCCATTCTAAAATTCTCATGGACTCTGAAGAGACCATAAATTGCCAAAACAATCTTGAAAAGGAAGAACAAAGTTAGAAGACTTACACTTCCTGATTTCAAAGCTTACTACAGTGTTACAGTAATCAAAATAGTTTGGTACTACCATAAAGACAGAAACATAGACCAATGGAATGAAATACAGAGCCCAAAAATAATTCCTTACAAGTATGGTCAAATGATTTTTAACAAATGTGTCAAGACCATTGTATGTGGAAAGAACAGTCTTTTCAACAAATGGTGCTGAGAAAATTGGATATCCATATGCAAAATAATGAAGTTGGAACTTTACCATACATCATATGTAAAAATTAACTCAAAACGGGTCAAAGACCTAAATTTAAAAGATAAAACTATATAAAACTCTGAGAAGAAAACATAAGAAAAAATCTTTATGACATTGGATTTGGCAATGATTTCCTGAATATGACACTAAAAGCACAAGCAACAAAAGGAAAAATAGATAAATTGGTCCACAACATAATTTTTAAATTATTTACGTCAGATGACACAGTCAACAGAATAAAAAGGCAACCCATGGAATGGGAGAAAATATTTTCAAACTATTTATCTGATGGGGGTTAATATCGAGATATATAAGACATATAAAGAAATTCTATAACACAACAACAAAAACAAACAACAGAATAACAAAGAACCCAATTTAAAAATGGCCAAAAACTTTAATTAGGCATTTCTCCAAAGAAGATATACAAATAATCAATAAGCACATAAAAAGAAGCTCAACATCCCTCACAATTAGGTAAAGGCAAATCAAAATCACAATGAGATACCACCTCAAATTCATTGGGATAGCTACTAAAAAAACAAAAGAGAAACACATGTGGGTAAGGATGTAGAGAAATTGAAACCTTATATACAGATGCAAATGTAAAATGGTACACCCTTTATGGAAAATAGTGTGGCAGTTCCTAAAAAATGTAAATATAGAATTACCATATAATCCAGCAATTCCACTTCTGGGTATATGCCCAAAATAATTAAAATGTGGGATGTAAAAGGATGTTTGTACTTCATATTCACAAGTGCCAGAAAGTGGGAGCAAACCAAATGTCCATTGACAGAGGAATGGCTAAACAAAATGTGATATATATACATACAATGGAATATTACTCAGCCTTAAAAAGGAAGGAAATTCTAACATATGTTACAACATGGATGAACTTTGATGATATTACGCTAAGTAAAATAAGTCAGGCACAAAATGAAAAATACTGTATTATTTCATTTATATGAGGTACCTAGAATAATCAAACTCATGGCGATAATGAGCAGAATGTTAGTTGCCAGGTTCTGGGGGAGAGGGAAATGGGAAATTATTGTCTTTAATAGGTACAGAGTTTCAGTTTTGCAAAATGAAAAAATTTCTATGGCTAGACGGTAATAATGGCTGCACAACAATGTGAATATACATAATGCTACTGAACTGTACTTTTTAAAATATTGTGAAGAGTACTTTTTATGTTACGTATATCTTACAATTAAAAGTGAAAAAAAGACATGAACTAAATATATAAAGATAAAAATTGTGTGCACATGATGACTTAAAATGTGTAGAATAAAAAAATTAAAATCCTAGGAAAAAAATACACATATTAAGTCTATTTTTTTTGAGGAGTAGAGTTGTGGTTACTTTTTAAAATTTTTCATTTATATACTTTCTAAGTAGTTCACAATAAAGGTACTACTTTTATAGTAACATAAACTTAAGGCCAGGCACGATGACTCACGCCTGTAATCCCAGCACTTTGGGAGGCCAAGGTGGGTGGATCACAAGGTCAGGAGTTCGAGACCAGCCTGACTAACATGGTGAAACCCCATTTTTACTAAAAATACAAAAATTAGCTAGGCATGGTGGTCCACACCTGTAATCCCAGCTACTCAGGAGGCTGAGGCAGGAGAATTGGTTGAACCCGGAAGGCAGAGGTTGCAGTGAGCCAAGATCGTGCCATTGCACTCCAGCCTGGGCGACAGAGCAAGACGCCCCATCCAAAAAAAAAAAACTTAAAAAAATGCACAACTAAAGGAATATACAGTTAGCAGACACATATTCAGTGTAAGGCAGAAACCAAGGAATTAGTAACACAGAGAGCTAAAGGTCAGTGAGAAAAACAATACAGACATTAACGTGAAATTGATGAGGTAACTAAAAACCAGTTTCTTTGCTTCAGCTACATATACAGAAGCAACATATCATTCTGGTTTTAACAAGAATGTCAGGCCTGTTAAAACCAGGTCCAGGGGGAACAAACCAAAGTCACTGACTTCACTAGGGTAGTTGTAGATAAGAAGACCTAAAACAGACTTCACAAAAAAGGTAACATTGTTTTCTTTCCCTTCATTTTATAAAAGGTCCATTCTTTCTTTTGTCATAATGGAATTTCTAAGAAGTCACTAAAGCTGGTAAAAGTAGAACTATAAATAGTAGTCTAGGAGTTCCAGCAGTAAGTCAGCAAAGTCATACTTATTATGGAATATGAGAGAAGCAATAAGAGAAAAATGATTCAATAAAAAAGAGGGAGCTGCAGCTGACCAATAGGAAGGTTAGCTATGAGACTTAGACAATCTTCAGGGATGTAAAGATGACACCATTTAAATTGGGCTAGGGAAACCGATCAAATTACTTTTTTAATATTTGGGAAGCAATTTTACAACAGCTTGAATAATAATAAATGTAACATTCCCCTCTGGATTTAAATTTAAATTCAAAATCTTGTACCAAGCAGCAGAACTGACTGGCTCCTTTATATAGCAGTTTATCCTCAGAAACCCTACCTCTAGAACAGGGCTCTGGTCAATTATGATGAATACATTCCTTTTTGTAGGGAGAGAAGAGTGAAGGAAGCACTTCCACATCTCTCAAGTTCTATCTTTACCATCTATCAAGATTTTTTAAATGCTGAACATTTGACCCAGCAATTCTACTTCTAGGAATGCATACTAAAGAAATTCTGACATAAGTATGCAAAAGTAAAGGGACAAGAAATGTTCATTGTAGTATTTTTTAGTAAAGACAAAAATATGAAGTAAGTGAATGTCCATTAACTTACTAGCAATACTATATAATCACTAAACAGAATCAATTATATGGGTATAGGTCCAAAGTATGTTGTCAAGACGAAAAAAATCAAAATTTTCAAAATATATAATGTAATCACCTGGCTTAAAAATGTATGTATATGTGTGTGTAAAG
This sequence comes from Homo sapiens, assembly GCF_000001405.40. Lineage (NCBI taxonomy): Eukaryota > Metazoa > Chordata > Mammalia > Primates > Hominidae > Homo > Homo sapiens. The sequence goes on from NC_000005.10 coordinate 114,928,546, forward strand.
GTGTGTATAAACATCTATATATCTGTGTATGACTGTATAGAAAGATAGTAATAACAATAGCTAACACTCATATAGTCTTAGTAATTATTAGCAATAACAAATTATTAGCAATAACACACAAGTGACAGATGACAGTGTGCTGGCAGCCCTCGCAGCCCTTGCTCGCTCTCGGCACCCCCTCGGCCTTGGCACCCAGTCTTGCTGCGCTTGAGGGGCCCATCAGCCCACCACTGCACTGTGGGAGCCCCTCTCTGGGCTACCGAGGCCAGAGCTTGCTGGGAGGTGTGGAGGGAGAGGCATGGGCAGGAACTGGGGCTGCGCGTGCGCGCTTGTAGCCCAGCGTGAGTTCCAGGTGGACGTGGGCTCGGTGGGCCCCACACTTGGAGCAGCCAGCTGGCACCACCAGCCCTGAGCAGTGAGGGGCTTAGCACTGGGGCCAGCAGCTGCGGAGGGTGCGCCGGGTCCCCCAGCAGTGCTGGCCCGCCAGTGCTGCACTCGAATTCGTGGAGCCTCAGCTGCCTCCCCTCAGGGCAGGGCTCGGGACCTGCAGCCCGCCATGCCTGAGCCTCCCCGTAACCCCCGACAACCCCCACCCCCCGAACCCCTACCCCCACCCCACTCCCCCCAGCCCACCCCCCCATCCCCCCCGGCTGTGGGCTCCTGCGTAGCCCGAGCCTCCCCTAGGAGCGCTGCCCCCTGCTCTAAGGAGGCCCCATCCCATCAACTGCCTGAGGGCTGAGGAGTGCAGGCGCATGGCACGGCACTGGCAGGCAGCTCCACCTGCAGCCCCGGTGTGGGATCCTCTAGGTGAAGCGAGCTGGGCTCCTGAGTCTACTGGGGACTTGGAGAATCTTTATGTCTAGCTAAGGGATTGTAAATACACCAATCAGCACTCTGTGTCTAGCTCAAGGTTTGTAAATGCACCAATCAGCACCCTGTGTCTAGCTAATCTGGTGGTGACTTGGAGAACCTTTATGTCTAGCTAGGGGATTGTAAATACACCAATCAGCACTCTATGTCTAGCTCAAGGTTTGTAAACACTCTAATCAGCACCCTGTGTCTAGCTCAAGGTTTGTAAATGCACCATTCAGTGCTCTGTGGGGACTTAGAGAACTTTTGTGTCTAGCTCAGGGATTGTAAACACACAAATCAGCACCCTGTCAAAACAGACCAATCAGCTCTCTGTAAAACAGACCAATTAGCTCTCCATAAAATGGACCAATCAGCAGGATGTGGGTGGGGCTAGATAAAGGACTAAAAGCAGGCTGCCTGAGCCAGCAGTGGCAACCGACTCCGGTCCCCTTCCACACTGTGGAAGCTTTGTTCTTTTGCGCTTTGCAATATATCTTGCTGCTGCTCACTCTTTGGGTCCACACTGCCTTTATGATCTGTAACACTCACCACGAAGGTCTGCAGCTTCTCTCCTGAGGCCAGTGAGACCACGAACCCACTGGGGGGAATGAACAACTCCGGATGGGAGGAAGGAACAACTCCAGATGTGCCGCCTTAACAGCTGTAACAGTCACGGGGAAGGGCTGCAGCTTCACTCATGAAGCCAGTAAGACCACGAACCCACCAGAAGGAAGAAACTCCTAACACATCTGAACATCAGAAGGAACAAACTCCAGACACGCCACCTTTAAGAACTGTAACACTCACCACGAGGGTCTGTGGCTTCATTCTTGAAGTCAGTGAGACCAAGAACCCACCAAGTCCAGACACACAAGGATGTAGATAGGGGCAAGAACAGATGAGGAGAGACTATCCTTTTTAAATTTACAATCTTATACATTGATTTAAAAACTCTTTACAATTCTAAATATTAAGTTAAAAAATTTTTAAACTTATTTTAAATTCTGCTTTTCTTCTAAAATGTCCTAATGTACAGAAGTAAAGCTTAGAAGCCAAGCCAATTACAAAATTAAGAAGCCACAAAGATCCATGTCATTCTAAAATATGCAATGTATAGGAATACATTAGACTCTCTTCTCCTTGTGAAAAAAAGTCTCCTGATACGACAATGCTTATTTTTGTCAAACCTTATTTAAAACAATGCAGAATCTTCACCTAAAAGCCAATCATAAATTAAACAGTACTTCCATGTTTCTGTACCAGAACCATCCCGAAAAGCAGGTCCTGGCCTGAGCTTGCTCACTAGTGCTCTAAAGAAAGGATGCAACATAACTTACATTTTCCTTATGCTGACTATAGCTATCATAAGCGAAGTATAATCTGCAAAGAATTCCAATTTTCCAGTCTTTGCCTTTGACTAGACTTACACCTTTCTTAGTACCTTTCTTCTATGTGCGTGAATTTGGTATTTTACCCAAATTTCCTGAGTCTACATGTATTCCTCAGGCTGCTGTCACCCAGTATTTCATATTATTACATCAATGTTTTTGTCACTTTAATAAAAGTTGAAATCATCATTGAGGCTGGAGCAACAGGAAGATAGATCAAACCCATTTTCCTGTTAGGCCACTGTGCTTGCAGTTGGCATTTTACCCAGTCTGTGCCCCTCTACTCCCTTCTAGGTACTGGCTTCACAGGACACCAGAATCAAGGATCCAGGCAGACCTGTGGTCTCAGGAAGACCCAGGATGAGAATATGGAAATAAAAACAAGACAGGTTTCTGAGAAGTTGGTTGCACTATTCAAGTACTATTAAGTCTGTCCTATGCCTTAGCATCTCACAGAAGAGATATGTGCCAATAACTTTTGATGATGGTGCATTAACACAAAGAAATGTAAAGAATCATGAGAGGTCACCTCATCAGTCACCAAGAGTCTCAGCATTCCCATTGCTGGGAATATCAGGTTCCAAAGACAACAGAGAAAACCTTAAGTATCTCTGAGACAAAAACAGAGCTAGAAAGATCATCTTCTCTTGTTTACCTAACAAAGAGCATTTATTCCTGTTCTTCCTTGTCTCTGTTTTCTAGTTAACATGATTCAGCCTTCATACTCAGATCAGGTTTGACATCTCCAGCCAAGCTTTCCCTGAACTAGTCAATGTCCCAATTACAAGCTCTCAGAAAATTATGTACTGTCTTATCACAGCATATGCCAACATTACAATTACTCCCTTGTTTATGTGATTATTTTATTATGATTATGACTGCCTCCTCACTAACCTCTAACTTCCACAAGGTCAAGAACTATGCTTGTAATGTGGTGGGCCCTCAAAAAATATTCATTGAATGGAGGAGTGAATGAATGAATAAATAAATGAGTGAATAGAGCGTGCTAGTTCATCTCAGAGGCTGCTGGCCTTCCTCATGCTCAACCACAGCATGCTTAGCTTTGACTGGTTTGTCAGTACATGGTCCAGTCATCACTGCCAAGGTAGAAAGTTTGTTTTTATCAATAATTTATGAAGTACAAATCATTGCAGTTTATGCAAGAAAGAAGGTAAGGTCTTACGGGTTCCTGCTTCAGCTTCTCTAGTTAATCAGATATTCTGAGGTGTGAGTCTGAAGAGTAAAACAGGAAATTTCCTTGTTGGATAAATAACAGGTGATAGAGAAGACTATTTGATAAAGCAGGAAAGGCCATTCTTGGTGACAGTCTAGCAGTAATCCTAGCAGTTCAGTCCCAGGAACTGTGTTTTGGCTGAGCTTCAGTGCCAGGAAATTTGATTCTTTGAAGGCCTTGGTACTAGACATAAGCTCAACATAGAGGGAGTATATTCTTTCAAATGAGATGTCCTTCATTAGTCATTGTCCCTAACATTGCCAGAAAAGCATAAAGGTGATAAGGACCAATTTAACTTGTAATAACTTGGGAGATTTTATTGCCCCTATAAAGCAAATAGGCAATTCAATGAATCAAACCTATTTTTAAAAAGCACACTTTGACAAATTATGTATCACTTTAAAACAAACTTATCCATTATCAACATACTACCTCTCGTTACAATTTCAGCCACCTTCCCTTTACCATAACAACTTGCATCCCATGAAAAGTAGAGCTACTAACAGCAGAAAGATGAGCAGTCCCAATTCAGATATGTCTACCTTCTTTTTGAAAGCTCTCTCAGCCTACCTAAGTGTTTTAAAATAATTTTATCTTTTATTTTAGATGCAGGGGTACATGTGCAGTTTTGTTACATGAGTATATTTTATGATGCTGAGGTTTGGAGTACAGATCCCAACACCCAGGTAGTGAGCATAATACCCAATTGGTAGTTTTTCAACCCATGCTCCTCTCTTTCCCTCCCCCATCTAGAAGTCCACAGTGTCTATGAAATGCATTTTCAAAACGTATATGACCCAGTTATCACTACGAAGGTAGCACAGTTCCCATCTTTATGTCCATGAGTATCCAATGTTTAGCTCCCACTTACAAGTGAGAACGTGCAATATTTGGTTTTCTGTTCCTATGCAACATTTTAAATTCTTGTGCACTTAAACTAACCATGGATGGCTTTAAAATGGGAAAAATAAAGACTCCAAAGGAAATGTTTGTCAGCATGCAAATAAAATTGGAATATATTAAAAAGTAATAAATATATCAGTTAATTCATGTACTAGATAAAATAAATCAATAGTGCAAAGGAAAAGGCATTTCTAAATAAAAAAACTTCTTTCTTAATTTTACTATAATAATAGCTTTGGGCTTCTGTATTTCAACAATTTCGATTTATCAAAATCCACATATTTTGAATTTTAGATAGATTTTGTATTATGACTATTAATTGCCTCTAATTACTATTTTCCATTCTTTTTTTTTTTTTTTTTTGAGGTGGAGTCTCACTCTGTCACCCAGGCTGGAGTGCAACAGCTCACTGCAACCTCCAACTCCCGGGTTCAAGCAACTCTCCTGCCTCAGCCTTCCAAACAGCTGGGACTACAGGCACCCACCACCATGCCCAGCTAATTTTTGTGTTTTTAGTAGAGACGGGGTTTCACCATGTTGGCCAGGCTGGTCTCGATCTCCTGACCTTGTGATCCACCCGCCTCGGCCTCCCTAAGTGCTGGGATTACAGGTGTGAGCCATCACGCCTGGCCTACTGTTTAATTTTCTAACAAAGTTTTAAATTTATTTAATCTGATTCTGCCTTACTTCCCAAAGCAATCTTTTTGCTATGTTGTTTTCAATATACAGAAGCTGCTTTTTTTTTCTAGAATGCCCAAACATATTTCTATCCTTAAGCTTTCTCCCTTAGATAAATGCCTCTCAGTGGGCTTTAGACTTTAACAGGAGTGCGGCTTTCTCCAGCTGCAACTAACTAAACCCTTTTAGATGAATGACTCAGAAACTTTTCTTACCTTGAGCTGTTTCCATTACAGGTATAGTAATTTAACACGGCCATTTTAAAATAAAGCACATCCGTATTTAAATAAGCATAGCCCATGAGAATATTCTTGTGTACTGTTTATAAATCTAGAAATAAAGTAGCAGGGGCTACATTTCCGTTTAAAACAATGGCAGTGCACTGAAAGGAATGGGAGTGCCAGACGGTGGGTGGGAGGCTGGAGAGGAGATCAGATCAGTTCGCATCTGTCTTGAAGGACTTTAGCAGCTGATACCAAGGAACATGCTCTCCCTCCAGACAAACCTGTTTTGTTTTGTTTTAAATTTTGGGAGTTCCTGATTTGCAAAACAGATGGTATCAGACTTTTTCAAGTTCTTTCTTTTTATCCAGAGCAGACATTCTCTGGGTACATGTGTCAGGGAAACATGTAAGGGTGGTGGTGTGTGTCGGGAAGATGGGATGAGGATAATGTGCAGCTTGAAAAAGTGTATGATATACCTTCTTGAGGAGGAATGAAGCTGGCACAGCTTTAGGGAATGACTCATAACTTAAGGTGCATTTGATCTAAGGAACAGGCTTTTTTGTGCAGAGGAGCAAAAAAAGGTAAGGAACACTGCTGTTGATAATTACGATTGTCTAATCAAGGTGTTCACATAGGGAGATATTGTAAACATGCTATCCCCAAGCAGACTCCTTTTTCTGAGTTATCAGCACCATGAGATCATCCAGGCAAGAGCTCTGGGCAAAGTTGTAAAGAACGGCTTTGGTATAGTCACATCTCTTCTAATGGTGGTCATTTCAACCTCCTGGGCATCTTTTCCTCTCCTGCTTGGATTTCCAAAGGCCCAGTGCTCCTGTATTGTACCCCTGAATGACTAGACTCTTAACCACATCTCCTACCTAGGCTTATCTTTCCCAAGACAGCACCTCATGTATTGACTTTATCTTACTCCTCCGTCACAGAGACACTTACCTTCTCAATGTCTCGCATTCATTGGTTGCCTCAAGAGATAATAAATAATTTGGTGTAAATGTAAATGACTGGTTATGGCTTAAGGTTTTATATCTGCACAGTAATAATTTTGTTTATGCTTATGTATTCTATGTGAGTGAGCTGAAATAGATTGATGTTCTAAGATAAAATTGATTTGAACTATGATAGTTAGCAATGATGAGGTGAGTGAATTCTTTAGCAGATATATGTTGATGTGGGGTGTAAAATTTTAAGTTGGAGTTATAGCAATAATATTTAGGGAAACAAAAAGGATATAAAGAGGTTTTCTAAGCAAGAGAAGCATAGATGATTATCTGCTGCAGAGCTGAACCAGATGTTCCAATAGCCCAAAGTGAGCCCAATATTGATTTCTGGTACATTTGTACCAACATACACCCCCAGTAGCCACTTGTGGCAGTATTTATCCACCTAAGAGATCACAAACCAGTGTAGTGTGTATAGTGTTTATTGTGTCAAGTCCTCTGGGCTCATCTCTTTCTAGCTATATGTCCTTGGGCAATTATTCATCATCATTCTGCTTTAGTTTCTTCATCTGTAAAATTAGAGTTGACATTATCTACCACAAATGTTTTTTATTATTATTAAGTGCATTAGTAAAGATAAAACACCAAGTACTGTATCTAGCACATAGTAAGCACTCAATAAATGTTAGCCATTATTATTGTAGCACTGACAATTATTTTCAGTTTGTATAGCTTTATATCTCCTTAATCTTTTCAAATTCAATTCTATTGTTATCTTAATTTTTATTTATACCCTAAGTATAAATGAACATTTTTCACATGCTGCATTAGACATTTATTATTTTTATATTGGAAATTATTGTTTTCCCTTGCTCATTTTTCCTATGTGATTTTTTTTTCTTGCTGACTTGCAGATATTTCCCCAAGGTTGATATTGGCCTTTGAGATTTTTGAAATTATTTTAAAAAGGATATTCCCCTTTAAAAATTCAAATAATACATTTTTCAGACATGAAAGTTATATGAAGTATATTTCAAGACACCAAGATCTTATGGTTATTTTAAATATGAACAAACTGAAGGCTGAAATCTTATAGACATAAAATAAAATCTGGAAAACATATATACATATAGATACATACATACACTTCATGAGGCTTTTGTTAGCAACGCTTCCATATACTTTTTGTAGCACTCCTATAAACAAGGTCTTTGAAGTACTTTTCAATTATGAGATGTTAGAAGTGTATTAATATAACATCACACTGCCCTTTCTTACCCACCTTATTGCAGCTAGGTCTTCTTCAACAAGACTCCTCTACACATGAAATGCACCAAGTCCAGCTACTTTTACAGAGCAAGAGCATCCAGAGAAGTTACACGTTCTATAAAGAACAGAGACAAGGCATTTCCGTTTGTTTCACAGGACATATTTCTTTTTTAAAATTAGAACAGAAATGTTGACAGCTTCAATGTATACAATGCTGAGAGGACTTTATCTTAAGTCAAAGAACATCAATTAAGCTAATGTACCCATTAAAGCTAAGTCTCAAGTGAGGTTTAAGTAAGGTTTTGAAGATTCTGGTTAGATGTTCATTAAAGCCTTGTCATTATTTTTACTGTTTCTCAACAAAATGTAAGACATTTTGATATCACACACATAAAAAGCAAGCTCCAACAGAATAGTTTATGTCCAACTGCTAGTAGTCATCTGTCAGCATAAAGATACTTAGATGTCCTTAATTTTTTTTATAACTTCATTCAATAACAGTCCTTGCTGTTGAATCAAATATTTAATGATTGTCTACTATGTGCCAGGGCTGGAAACACACAATAAACACAATACCTCTATCTTATCAATCATGGAATTTAGGGACCAGTGGGGATGACAGCACAGTAAGAGAAGTTATGGGGAGCTCCTAAACAGCTTCCTGGAAGAAGTGACCTCCAAGTTAAGATCTTAAAAATAATGAACACACTTAAGAGAAATAAATTCCAAGCATAGAAAAATGCAATTGCAAATGTGTAGAAAAGAAATAGTAAAGCTTTAGAGGGACAGAAAATATTATACCATTGGTGGGTAGCAAGAGGTAAGTAATGAATTATATTAAAGGGCTCAGGTAAAAGATCTAGCTTTAGATGTTCATTGAAGCTGCAGGATAAATTGAGATTTACCAAAAAAAATTTAAAATTTTTTTTAAAAGTATAAAGTAAGAAGAGACAAGGGCCTAGGACAGTACTCATGGAGAGCAGATTTTAAGTAACCAACAGATGAAAATATATTCACAAAGAAGGCTGAGAAAAGGGAAGAAGGCAGGGAGGAAGGGATCCAGAGGAGGACAGAGACAGAGGAAAACTAGAAGAGCGTGATGTCCCCAAATACAAGGAAAGATGGGGACCTATTCTTCAATGGGTGCAGTTTTCATTTGGGATGATAAAAAACTTTGAAAATAGATAATGGTGTTGGTTGAACAATATTGTGAACATAATTACTGACATGGAAGTGTACATTAAAAATTGTTAAAATGGCAAATGTTATGTTATATATGTTACTTATAATTAAAAATAGCAACATAAAATAAAAGAAACAAGTACTCCAAGAAGGAGGATGTGATCAAATACTGTTTGCTCTTAAAAGTTCTAGGATTTAATTTGTGGTACTAGTAAGTGCTTCAGAGAAGAGAAGAGGAGAGAAGAGGGGTCAGGATGCAGTGGGCTGAAAAGTGTTATAGATAGGGAAGTGGGATTGGCAAATGTAGACACATCTTTAAAGAGCCTTGTCTGGTAAGAGCAGTAGACAGATAAGGTGGCAGCTGGAGGGAACCCTGGAGTTGAAAGACATACTACCTTTTTAAGATGGCAGTAATTGAGCATGTTAATATGCTAATGGGAAAAAGCCAATAGAAAAAGAGAGGTTAAAGCTACTGAGAAATAACATCTGACAAGGAGAAGCAAGGAGTCTAAAGAGAAAATGGATGTCTGGAGAAGACAACATTTTGGGCAAGCAGCCCTACTCAAGCACAGCAGAGATCTAAGGAACAGGGTAGTCCCAGGCAAAGTGGTGAAAGGGGAGGGGGTGGCACTGAGTGGGAAAGAATTAAGCCTGTTAACATCAGCCTCTTACAGTGGAGGGATTAGTCAACTCAGTTTACTCGAGTGAGTCAGTTATGCAATCTTACACCATACACATTAATACAGTTTGGCTCTGTGTCCCCACCCAAATCTCATCTCAAATTGAAATCCCCATGTGTAGGGGGAGGAACCTGGTAAGAGGTGACTGGATCATGTAGTTTCCCCCATACTGTTCTCATGATAGTGAGTGAGTTCTTATGAGATCCAATGGTTTAAAAGTATGGGGCAGTTCCCCTCACCTCCTGCCGCCATGTAAGACATTCCTGCTTCCCCGTTTGCCTTCCACCATGACAGTAAGTTTCTTGAGGCCTCCCCAGACATATGGAACTGTGAGTCAATTGAACCATGTTTCTTTATAAATTACCCAGTCACAGATAGTTTTTATAGCCATGTGAAAGTAGACTAATACAGAAAATTGGTAATGCAGAAAGTGGGGCATTGCTATAAAGATAACCTGGAAGTGTTGAAGTGACTTTGGAATGGGTAATGAGCAGAGATTGGAACAGTTTGGAAGTCACAGAAGAAGACAGGGAGATTTGGGAAAGTTTGGAACTTTCTATAGATTTGTTAAATGGTTTTGACCAAAATGCTGATACAAACAATGAATTCAAGGCTGAAGTGGTCTCAGGTGGAAATGAGGAACTTATTGGGAATAGAGCAAAGGTCACTCTTGCTATGCTTTAGCAAAGAGGCTCCTAGTTATACAACCAATAAGCTAGTTGGCTGGCTGTGTCCTAGAGATTTTTCCCATTCCCTGGAGATCTGTGGAACTTTGAACATGAGAAAGATTATTTAGGGTATATGGAAGAAGAAACTTCTAAGTGGCAAAGCATTCTGAGTGCTTTTTCTGAAAGCGTACAGTCATATGTGTTCACAAAGAGATGTTCTGAAGTTGGAACTTCTGTTTGAAAGGGAAGCAAAGCATAAAAGTTTGGAAAATTTGCAGCCTGACCATGTGGTAGAAAAGAAAAATCCATTTTCTGGAGAGACATTCAAGCCAGCTGCAGAAATTTGCGTAAGTAACAAGGAGCCAAATGTTAGGGAGAAATGTCTCCAGGGCATTTCAGAGATCTTCAAGGCAGCCCCTCTCATTACAGGCCCAGAGGCCTAGGAGGGAAAAATGGTTTTGTGTGCCAGGCCTAGGGCCCTGCTGTTTGGTGCAGCCTTGGGACATGGAGCCCTGAATCCCAGCTGCTCCAGTTCCAGCCATGGCTAAAAGGGGCCAAGGCACAGCTTGGGCCATTGCTTTGAAAAGTGGAAGCCCCATGCCTTTGTGGTTTCCACGTGGTGTTGGGACTGCAGGTTTGCAGAAGACAAGAGTTGAGCTTTGGAAACCCCCACGACATTTCAGAGGATGTACGGAAATGGCTGGATGTCCAGGCAGAAGTCTGCTGCAGGGGTGGAGCCCTCATGGAGAACCTCTACTAGGGCAATGCAGAGGGGAAACATGGAATTGGAGCCCCGACATGGAGTCCCCACTGGGAAACCACATGGTGGAGCTGTGAGAAAAGGGCCACCATCCTCCACATCCCAGGATGGTAGATCCACCAACAGCTTGCACTGTGTACATGGAAAAGCCACAGGCACTCAACAGCAGCCTGTGAAGGCAGCCATGAGGGCTATACCCTGAAGAGCCACAGGAATGGAGCTTCCCAAGGCCCTGGGAGCCCACTCTTTGGATCACTGTGCCCTTGATATAAGACCTGAAGTCAGAGGAGATCATTTTGGAACTTTAAGATTTGATGACTGCCTTGTTGGGTTTCAGATTTCCAGGGGGGCTGTAACCCTTTTGTTTTGGCCAATCTCCCATTTGGAACAGAAACATTTACTCATTGTATCTTGGAAGTAACTAACTTGTTTTTCTATTTTACAGGATCATAGGCAGAAGGGTCTTGCCTTGTCTCAGATGAGACTTTGAACTTTGACTTTTAAGTTAATGCTGGAATGATTTAAGACTTTGGGGGACTTCTGGGAAGGCATGATTGGTTTGGAAATGTGAAAAGGACATGAGATTTGGGAAGGGACAGGGGTGGAATGGTATGGTTTGACTCTGTGTCTCCAACAAAATGTCATCTCAAATTGTAATCCCCACATGTTGAGGGAAGGACCTGGTGGAAGGTAAGTGGATCATATAGGTGTTTTCTCCTGTACTGTTCTCATGATAGTGAGTAAGTTCTCACAAGATCTGATGGTTTAAAAGTACATGGTGCTCCCCCCTTTCCTGCTGCCACATAAAAAGTGCCTGCTTCCCATTCACCTTCCATCATGCTGGTAAGTTTCCTGAGGCCTCCCCAGCCATATGGAACAGCAAGTCAATTAAACCACTTTTCTTTATAAGTTACCCAGTCTCAGGTGGTTCTATATAGCAGTGTGAAAATGGACTAATACACACATTGACATGTCTCTGGAACTTTCCTTTACTACAGTATATTCTTAGGTAAAACTCTTGCTTCTCTGACTTAAGATTTGAGAAGGAATAGCAGATAAAAATTCTTCAGAAAGAAAACCACTGATTCTAAAACATGAACTAGCTAACAGCCTAGTTTATCACCTACCTTTATCTCAGATAAATGGTTGCCTTATCCATTTTTAAAGGATCTTAAAATAAGATTCATCAGGCCTATTAGTCTATCCCATGGTTTAATCATCCATAAAGACAAGACCCTTCTTTATCAAACAGAACTCTGTAGGTGAAATTTTATTCTCTATTTTCTCTTACTCTGGTCTGTACAGTGGGATAGTGGGATATTGAGGGCAATGGCTAAATGCACCTCAGTCACTGATTTATTAAATAAACCCATAGTCTCAGCTCTTACTCCCAGACTCTACCTCTAACTTATTTTTCAACTCTTTTCCCAGGCTTGTTCCAATTTCTCAACATTACTCTTGCTGATCAATATCTGTCTCTTTATTTCTGTTTTTCTTCCTATTTTCCTTAAACATCTGTCAATGTCAATGTTTGACGCTGTTTTAATCAATCTTTAAAGAATTGCTGACTATTGTGAATAATGTTGCAGTAAACAGGAGTACAGATAACACTTCAACATACTTATTTCATTTCCTTTGGATATGTACTTAGCAGTGGGATTGCTGGATCATATGATAGTTCTACTTTTAATTATTTGAGAAACCTCCATACTGTTTTCCATAACAGATGTATTAATTTACATGCCTACCAGCAGTGTGTAAGGGTTCTCTTTTCTTCACGTCCTCACCAACACTTGTTATCTTTTGATTTTTTTTACAGTAGCTACTCTGAATTGAATGAGGTGATGTTCCATTTTAGTTTTGATTTGCATTTCCCTGATGATTAATGATGTTGAGTACCTTTTATACATTTGTTGGTCATTTATATGTCTTCTTCTGAGAAATTTCTATTCAGATCATTTGCCCATTTTTAAATTGGGTTTTTCTGTTGTTGTTGAGTTGTTTGATCTCCTTACATATTTGAATACTAACCCTTTATCAGATGTATAGTTTGCAAACATATTCTGCCATTCTGTAGATTGTCTCTTCACTCTGTTAATTGCTTCTTTTGCTATGCAGAAGCTTTTTTAGTTTGATATAATTCTGTTTTTCTATATTTTGTCTATATGTAGCTCATGCTTTTGAGGTCTTATCCAAAAAAATCCTTGCCTAGACCAACATTATAAGCTTTTCCTTTATGTTTTCTTCTAGCAATATTCATAATAACCAAGACATAGAATCAACCTAAATGTCCATCAATGGTTGAATGGATAAAGAAAATGTGGTATTATGCACAATGGAATACTATTCAGCCATTAAAAACATGAAATCCTGTTGTTTGTAGCAACACAGATAAACCTAGAGGACAATGTGTTAAGTGAACTTAACGTAAAATTTTTAAGTGAAATAGGCCAGGCACATAATGAGAAATGCCACATGATCTCACTCATACATGGAATCTAAAACGTTGTTCAGAGAAACAGAGAGTAGAATAGTGGTTACCAGAGAATGGAAAAGGTAAGGGATGGCAGTATGGTGACAGTTGGTCAACAGGTACAAAGCTACAGTTAAGAGGAATAAGTTTTGGTATTCTGTTGCATAGTAGAATGAAGAGCGTTAACAATAACATATTGCATATTTCAAAATAGCTAGAAGACAGGTTTTTGAATGTTCTCACCACAAAGAAATGATCAATGTTCAAGGCAATGGATATGTCAGTTACCCTGATTTGAACATTACATAATGCTTACATGTATCAAAACATCATAGTGTACCCCATAAATATGTACCATTTTTATATGTTAATCATACACTTTCAAATTAAAATATTTATCATAAAAAAGAGCTGCTAGGGAAGATTCCCAACTAGTTCCTTGCTTCTGTAATTTAAAACTGATTTCTCACTGAATTTCTTCTCTTCATTAGTCCTGTAGCCTATGTCTGTTTCTCAGGTTCCAGCTTTATAACCTATTATGAATCCTATCATTTATTCAAAAAATATTTATGGAGACCATTCTATGTTCCACAAACCATGACAGGCATTGGCTTTACAAAAGAAAGAAATACAGATATAGATCCTGCCCTACAGTTTAGGGAAGTAGTCAAACCAAATAATCATATAAATACATGTAAAATTGTAACTTTAGTAAGTGGGGTGAAGTAGAGTGTTGGTAGTATGAGAACAGAAAATAAGTGAATTTGACCTAGTTATTGATGTAAAAAAAAGAGGTAGTAACTGTGCTGAGGCCTAAAAGAGAAGTAGGAAGTAACAAGATAAATGAGTCCATAGAAGGGAGAAAGGGCTTGATGGGGCAGGAGTCAGCATCTGAAGATGCCTTTGGAGAAACAGAGTGTGAGGCAAGAGGGATTGAGAGGGGCCAGTAGGTGGGAAAAGGGAGACTGAGTAAGAATGCTGCATGGAATTAGGATAAACGTGTAGAAGGGTTTTGTTAAGGATCGTGGTCTTTGAAATGAGCACTATGGTCACAGTGTTTAGTGCCAGTTGGAGGGTGACTGAAACGTTATTGACTACTGGTCAGGAAGCAATTGTAGTGGCCTAGGATCACTTAGTGGGCTTAGTATTTTAAACTAAGATGGGTTCAAGAGGTAAAAAATACTTGTCCTTTTGTCACTGGCTTATTTCACTTAGCACACTTTTATGAGGTACCTAAAGTATTCAAATTAATAGTGACAGAAAGTGGAATGGTGGTTTTCTAGGGTCAAGAGGAGGGGGAATGGAAAGTTAGTATTTAATGGGTAGAGTTTCAGCTGGGGAAGATGAAAAAGTTCTGGAGATGGAGGGTAGTGGTATTTGCAAAACACTGTGAATGTATTTAATGCCATGGAACTGTAGACTTAAAAATAGCTAAGTGGTAAATTTTATGTCATATATATTTGACTACAATTTGAAGAAAACATAACCAAATTTTGGGAAAAAAGTTTTTTACACCAAAATAGAACATATTTAATTCAAATTCAAACATGACAATTTTGTGCCAACATCATTTAAAGTGGAAAGATTAGTTCACAATAGCCAAAAAGAGGAAACAACCTAAGTGTTAATCAAACTTCTAAATAATAAAGATAAAATAACATTTTAAAAGACACTGGAGTTGGCTTGGCACAGTGCTCATCCCTGTAATCCCAACACTTTGGGAGACTGAAGCAGAAGGATCACTTGAGCCAAAGAGTTTGAGACTAGCCAGGGCAACATAGTGAGACCTCATCTCTACAAAAACATGAAAAATTAGCCAGGTGTGGTGGCATGTGCCTGTGGTCCCAGCTACTCAGGAGGCTAATATGAGGGGAATGCTTGAGCCTGGGAAGTTAAGCCTGCAGTAGTAACCCGTGATCACACCACTGCAACAGAGCAAGACCCTGTCTCCATTAAAGAAAAAAAAGGAGAAGAAAAGAAGCTGCCAGATAAATAAAAGAAATATGTAAGGTCTAAAATACAGTTACCATAAGAAATTAAGCTGACTTCTTAGCTGAAATTATAGAAGTCAGAAGACAATGGAATGAGGTATTTTTAGCTTGTTTATATTAACCTTCATTTATTTTGAATTTTAAAGATAATATACATACATGGTGGAAAATTTATTGTTTGATTTTTTTTTTTTAGCAACCTCAGGATTTTATGGTAGTAAAATGAAGCATGGATCCTGGACAGTCAGTGTTAATTGTATTCGTCACTACTAACCTTTCCTCTTCAGCTGTTATTATCATTTTGTTATTATTAAAGTGCCTCTGTGATCTGACAAACTTGTTTCCCAACCCCTGCAGAATGTGGGTAGAGGTAGAATTTCTTACTGCAATACTAAAAATAATGAATCTTTCCACACTTACTAATACAAAATATTAACTTTCATAGAATTTTAGAGACTGGAAGGCCTTTAGCAATCATCTATTTCCCCCTTTCATTTTATAAATTATTAAATCAACTTTAAATACTGTAAAGTACATTTTGGACATTTTTAAACTATGTAAACTTACAACCTACTTTCATTGTCTGTTCTAGTCTTTCAGCACATTTGTAATTACAGTATATATACACACTATATATAGTGTGTATATATACTGTAATTACAGTATATATAGTGTGTATATATACTGTAATTACAGTATATATAGTGTGTATATATACTGTAATTACAGTATATATAGTGTGTATATATACTGTAATTACAGTATATATAGTGTGTATATATACTGTAATTACAGTATATATAGTGTGTATATACTGTAATTACAGTATATATAGTGTGTATATACTGTAATTACAGTATATATAGTGTATGTATATAAATAAATATATATAAATATAGTGTATGTATAAATGTATATATAGTGTATATATACTGTAATTACAGTATATATAGTGTGTATATACACTGTAATTACAGTATATATAGTGTGTATATACACTGTAATTACAGTATATATATAGTGTGTATATACACTGTAATTACAGTGTATATATTGTGTGTATATATACTGTAATTACAGTGTATATATATTGTGTATATATATACACTGTGATTATATATGTAATTACAGTATATATATACACTGATTATATATATATAATTTATATATATACATGTATAAAGTTTTTTTTTTGAGATGAAGTCTTGCTCTGTTACCCAGGCTGGAAGATCAGTGGTGCCATCTTGGCTCACTGCAACCTCTGCCCCCTGGGTTCAAGCAATTCTCTGCCTCAGCCTCCTGAGTACCTGGGATTACAGGTGCTTGCCACCATGCCTGGCTAATTTTTTTGTATTTTTTGTAGAGACAGGGTTTCACCATCTTGGCAAGGCTGGTCTTGAACTCCTGACCTTGTGATCTGCCCGCCTCAGCCTCCCAAAGTGCTGGGATTACAGGCATGAGCCACCGTGCCCAGCCGAATATATATATATATTTGGGTACATGTGCAGGTTTGTTACATAGGTAAATTACCTGTCATGGGGTTTTGGTACAGATTATTTTGTCACCCACGTAATAAGCATAGTACTCAATAGGTAGATTTTCAATTCTTTCCCTCCTCCTACTCTCTACCCTCAGGTAGGCCCCAGTGTGTCTTATTCCTTTCTTTGTGTCCATGTGTACTCAATGTTTAGCTCCCACTTATAAGTGAGAACATGCGGTATTTGGTTTTCTGTTCCTGCATTAGTTTGCTAAGGATAACAGCCTCCAGCTCCATCCATGTTGCTGCAAAAGACATAATCTCATTCTTTTTTATGGATGCATAGTATTGCATGGTTTATATGTACACAGTTTTTTATCCAGTCTACCACTGATGGGCATTTAGTTTGACTCCATGTCTTCCCTATTGTGAATATTGCTGTGATGAACATACACATACATATGTCTCTATGGTAGAATGATTTACATAACTTTGGGTATATACCCATGGAATTAAGTTTTAAACTGCTAAAAGAAAATGTCTAACAATCTAGAATTCTATACCCAGAGAAAATGCCCCTCACATAAAGATGGCAAAAATGTTTCAGACAGACAAAAACCAGAAGAATTTATTGTCCTCATACCCACTCCAAAAGGAATACTAAAAGAAATTCTTTAGATGTAAGGAAGATAACCCCAGACAGAAACACTGAAATGCAGGAACAAATAAAAAGCACAGGAAAGGTAAATGTGTGGAAAAATACCAGTAACTTTACAATGCAATAACTGTGAGGTACTAAATATATGTGGACTAATATGTCTAAAAATAACACAAAAGCAGTCCTAAGGAAACCCCTATCTGAACCCCACAGTAAGTCATCCTCAATCACGTTCCTTTTGGTATTTTCTTAATTGCTTTTACCAATATCAGGAATCATTTTATATGTTTACTCTCTCTAAACTATACATAAATTCAATAAAAGCAGACACAGTAATTTATCTGGGTTGAGGGAAATTATTTTAGCAAGTGTGTTAATATGTGCTCTGCTCTTTTTCATATGCAAACTCTCCTCCATTAATTTTGAGGCAGAGAATACTTGGGAAATGATTTGAATTGCTATAGCAGAAATGCAATGAAAGGAAAAAAATCTGAACATTTTTTTCCTCCAAAATAAGTTTCTGAGGCCAGAGTGACACAATAATTTTTAAAGCCAGCCTTTATTCAGGGTGAAAAAAAGTTTTCTAATTTTCAGAAGCAAATTCTTATATACCAAGAATAAAACTTTGAGATCTAACAGAATTTTATCTCAAGCCATAGCTGAAGAGAATACAGGATATGACATGAAGAAGGTTCCCATTTGAAATGGGAGAAGTAGAGAGCACTTCTTATTGGAGGAAGGAGCCAGTTTGAAAGAGACAAACCTAGATGAAGATGATGTCTGGCACTCTCAGTCAAAGGAAGTGGATCAAGAAGATAGAAATCTCAGATTGAGAAAGAATCCAGAATCAGAGGAAGTCTCAGCCCCACTTGTCACTGGTAACCACAGAAAGATAGCACAGTAGAGGAGAAAGGAAAATGGTGCCCTCAAGTCTCTATTGGCTTCCATGTTAAGTAGAAGGAACTTAGACATTCCAGAATATTCCAAGGGGAAGAAACGGAGGAGCACAAAGGAAGTGGCTGAGACTGAAGGCGAGTAAGGGCTGAGAGCTTGCTAAGGTTGAAATGTCCATATAACAGGGGTGCAGAAGTCACAGTTCAAAGGGGTCATGCTCTAAGAGTCATTATTAGGCCTCAGAGGATGCCAAGCCCCAGTGAGAACTGAAATAATGCCTCTTCAGCAAGAAGAGATACTTGAGTTCCTAAACCAAGATCATCACACTCTCCCTATGCCAAGACAAAATACTACATATTGCATCCACAACACATGAATTGAGGACAGAAGTCAATTCCCAGAAACCAGGCAAGAAAAGCTGAGGTCAACAGAAGCCAACAAAGAACATCCGTTTAGACCAGACTCATTCCCCAGTCCACTTCAGGAGGTTAAATAGACTCTTCCTGTGCCCAGATGCTTCGTAGCAAGAAATAAAAGAGAAGGGATGGGGATCGAGAAAAGCTTTGAAAAGCTGATCAAGTATCCAAGAGACTGAACTGAAAGCAGTGGCAACTTTAAAATGGCAAATTCATTCCCACCTTCCACCCCTGCCAGTAGAGAGCAGGATGTTTCAGAGCAAGAATAAGCTTATTTTAGAATTTAAACAAATCACCTTTTTATATGTTTACTTGTTGACATGTCTGGGTGGGCCCCACTATATCTGTTCTTGTTTATTGATATTTCCCCAGCAATGAGCCAAAGTCCAGGTGTTTGTGTTAAATAGGTATTTGATAAATGAGTGAATAGTATGCCCCTGTCCCACTATCCATCAGAACTCACTTCATGTGTCACTCCCTCCAGAAAGCCACTCTGACCCTTTTGTCTCCTCTCCTGGCTGGGGTTAGCCCCACTTCTCCAGGTCATTATGGCATACTGTGCACACCTTGAACATGCCATGTGTTTCCCTACAGGATAATTATGCTCTTGCTCCCCTAGACTGTGAACTTTTTATTATCTCATTTGTCTTTGTCTCCCCCAACATGTCAGAAAAATAATCTTTGTTGAATTAATTCATTAAATCATGAATGAACTTATTGTTCTTGAAGCAATAGGCTCAGGAGATGAACAAGCATAGCCAAAATAAAAGCAGAATGAAGAACTGAGCAGTAACCAAGACTGGAGAGAGTACTATTTATTGTATGGTCCTAACGCACTAAGTTTATCATAGCCTTATCCAGCCCTGGGAAATGAACCATCTCCAGAGCATTGTTAAGTCTTTTGGAATTCTGGGGAACTGGGAGTTTCACATTTTACAATATGGAAAAGAGGCCAAACACAGTCTCAGAACCCAGGAAACTAAAGCACCTAAAAAACTGCGTGATTCCTACCCATGTACACACATCTAAAAGGGCAAGGTCAGCTCACAAAATAATAATCATTCTACAGCCACCTCATACTTAGCAGCCTTCCTCCTTCCTTGGTAAGGGTGCAGTAAACAGACATTGCTTTGAAAAGGAAAAAAAAATGTGTCAAAATCTACTTTCTCTTCTACATTTCTTGCCTTTCACTCATTATTTTAAAATCCTGACATTTATTATTAATCAGTTTTATCCAGTATAAGATCCACATGACTAAGCTCTTATCCAAGCCAACTTGAATTAATTTGGCAAGTATTACTTCACCAAGCATGTGCTGAGCAAAATCTAAATATATCAGCCAAGAAGATAAGTATCCATGGCTCTTTATCTATAAAAGACGTGCAACTATGATTTCATTTGGGAGTGAGGAGACTCTTAATAAAGCTGTATTCAGGTTTCTATTGCTGTTTGAAGACTGAAGCATTTTGGATTGTCATTTTTTTCCAAAGCCCGACACTGCCATGTTTTTCAGATGAGCAGTTCCCAAAAGCTCCTTCTTACTTGCTTATAAATGTAATACTGTCTTTATTTTACCCTCCATCTGCTGCCTTCCTGAGTTTCTTTCTGCTGCATTCGTTCTCTGTGAGTTCCTGAGAATAACATACATGATTTATATACTTACCATTCAGTGTCTGGACAAGGTATATGATGATGGATGTTTCTATGACTTCCTTAACTCTCCTTAATAGTTCTTACTTTACACCAGATTTTATGCAGTCTTGTGGCATTTGCACTGTGGGGATGGTGAGAATATACATATTTGCTATGGAAAGCTCCTCCCACAGATGTCCTCTGAGAATCCACTAAGTAGAAGCTCATGTTCTCTCTCAGAAAAACCATCTCATATGCCAGGGAGGCACTGTGAAATATTTGTCATTGCCTCCCAAGTTCTTCCTGTTCAACTAAGAAATGCATGCGTGTACAATGCTTTGCATTTGCTGGAGTGTCACAAAAGCTGGAGAACAGAAGGGAAGCTCTTAAACTACATATTCCCTTGGCTCATTTGCTAAGAAGGGAAACACAGACAGAAACAACGGCCCTTCATGTTTCTCACACTCCCTTGTGCAGACTGATCTTATAAGTCTTCGGATTCTCCCTGCTGTTGCTTTGGCTCTCATCAAGCCCAACATTCTCCCTTGTGGAGGCATCTTTAATGACTCATCAGCAGTACAAGCATGCTCTCCATTTCCTTATATTCTAGTGCATTTGAAATTTACAAGAAGTTTCTCAGCCTGGTGGTTTTATTGTGACACAAGTTATAAAAAAATAGAAGGTCAAATCTGTCCTACAGAACCTTGTATGCCAGCAGTTAATTCCACTCTAAAAATGGGCCCAGTTATCAATCTGACCAGTTGATAATTAATCAACAGGTCTACCAGGCACTATCATAAATACAAAAAGAACATAAAACACAGTTCCATCTTCCAAGAATACACAGTTTATCTGAAGAGGTAAATAAGAAATAAGAGAAGGTACATCATCCAGTACTCAGTGATATGGACTGAAATTACAATGAGTGATAAGAGATTGGCAAAACCTGAGCCTGTGGGTATGTTGAAGCTGGGGCTGTTTTCATAGTCAGTTTTCTTATACTGGGCCTTAAGGACATATGGGATTTTGCTGGGCAGAGAAGAGAAAGAACATCTGAGGTGTGAGAACTACAGGAACAGAGGCCAAGAAACAGGCATAAGCATCACTCTGACAAGATCAAGGGATCAGCTGCTCTAAACACTGTAACATTTACATGCAGCCATGTGGTCTTCACTTAACAGCATCTTCCTTCATTTATGAGCTCATGCCTTAGTTAGTGCATATTTACCTTTTAGAAAAATTGAAAACTATGGGTTTTAAAGTCAGAAAAGCCCTGGTCTCAGATCCCAGCTCAATTATTTACTAACTGTGTGACCTTGTTCAAGTTTCCGTTTTCTAAACAGTTGAATGAAGATAATAATGGCACATTTTTCATAAGCTTATTGTGAAAATTAAACAACATTAATATAAACAACAGAGCCTACCACATAGTAAACACTCAAAAAACGTTAAGGAAAGTTAATTAATCAATTTTCAATAATGAGTGTTGCTGATTTTCAGATTAAGAACCCCTACATTAGCTCATTCGCTGTCACTCCATCTTCTTGAATGAAAGACACTACTTCTGTGACACTTTCACTGATCCTCTGAGGTGAAAATGATGTCTTTCTTCCAAATTATCATAGCATGCTTGCTATATGTTCAAAATTATGATTATTATGTCTTATATTTTTTATATTTATGTAATAAATACTAGTAAGTATCCAAAATTTCTAACCAGAGGTGCCTTGTATGTCCTTATAGAACTTGCCAATATATGACCAAACAGGATTAGCAGCTGCTACTCCTTCCATGCATATAGGAGGCTAGAGATGCTTTAAGAAGGGAAGAGAGGCCAGGCGCAGTGGCTCACGCCTCTAATCCCAGCACTTTAGGAGGCCGAGGTGTGCAGATCATGAGGTCGGGAGATCGAGACCATCCTGGCTAACACGTTGAAACACTGTCTCTACTAAAAATACAAAAAAAATTAGCCGGGCATGGTGGCGGGCGCCTGTAATCCCAGCTACTTGGGAGGCTGAGACAGGAGAATGGCGTGAACCCAGGAGGTGGAGCTTGCAGTGAGCCTAGATCACACCACTGCACGATGAGAAAGGGAAGAGATTGTTTTCACAGGAATTCCAAAGAACAAATGATAATGTGCATTTTCTCCTCTTTTCACTTTTCCACTGCAGTGAGGGGCTTTGTTGGCTTTTATGTTGCCATGTGGCCACAGAGGGTGAGGTTACAAAGTTCCTGGGAAAACTTGACATCGTTTCCCTGGATTTGGAGAGGGGCATAATGAAGACTGGTGCCTGGCTATTACATAAGAAATTTGCAGGCAAGCTTGGCTGTGTTGCAGCTCAAAGATGCCAGTGTAGCTCTCATATACTAAGTGAAACCCCAGGACTGGGATTGAGTTTTCTTGAGAGGACATCACCCATAACTGCATGCTGGGGAGTGTTGTCACCAGACGAAAAAAGGCTAGAAGTAGAGTAGAATAGAGATATTTAAAATACTTAAAACTAGTGAGAAAGCAGAACTAAATAATCAAACAATCATTATATATTCCAGTAAACAATGAAACATCCACCATAGATCCATATTAACTGAATGTGAGTCTGTCCAAAGTGTTACTTAGGGAGCAAGAGCCAGGAGTAGCAGATGGGGAGTTTTGGGAGGACAGGTTGTTAGCTACTAGGAAAAGGCCCAGTGTAGAAGTCCACAATGGGAAAGTGTCAAAATAATCAACCAAAGTGCCTGTAAGAGACAGCACCGGCATTTGGGTGATACAATTAAGACTTTGTATTTTTCCTTCTAATCTGTTTTCCCTCTGCACCTACCAACCACAATGGGAAGAAAAAGTGGAGAGTAAATGAACAGACCACCTGTGCTCCTTCCCTTGTGCTGCTTGGTAAAAGCCTGAGTAGGGCCTGTGCTAGAGAGAGGCAAGAAGCTTTTAATTACATGAGGTGAAGCTGTAATGTACATTTAATATGAGACAACTCCAAAATTCCAAAGTGACTGAAAAACTACAGAATCCACCCAAGATAATTTCTAGGAACAAGAAAGAGAGATGGACTTGAAGACAGGAATCAGAGAAGAATTATTTCTTGAGGGCAGTCTTCCATGCCCAACCTTTTCAAAAATCTGATTACAAAGCATTGAGACCTTCAGAAATTGTCATGTAAGAATTCTGGCATTTAAAAAAAATCATCTATTTTTCCACCTCTGTTAATACTTTGGCCACAGTCAAATAGCACTATAAAAGTATATCTCTAACATGGGCCATTTACTGCAGGACAGATGAAAGGAGTTTATTTACTGATTCTACAGAGACCAGGTTGTAATGTGCATGAAGTGGGAAGAATAATTATACTCTTCACAGTGATTGAGCTAGAGAAGCATATTGACATCAGTCCTTGGACAGAATTAACTACCCTTTCTGATGTATAGTCTTGTGTTGCAGATGGGGATACATTCTGCAAAATACATCATTAGGAGATTTTGTACTTGTGTGAACATCACAGAATATACTTATACAAACCTAGATGGCATAGCTTACTACACACCTATATAGAGGGTAGGGCTTATTGCTCCTAGGCTACAGCATGTTACTGTAATGAATACTGTAGGCAACTATAACACAATGCTAAGCATCTGTGTATCTAAATATAGAAGAGGTACAGTAAAAATGTGGCATTTTAATCTTAAGGGACCACAGTCGTATGTGCCACCCATCATTGACTGAAATGTCATTATATGACACATGACTGTATCTAATTTTCATGTGTCAAACAGAATACTGTTGGTGGGTACTGAGATAGAGACAGGAAGGCAAAGTCAAACAATATCCCAGAGTTTTAATAGAAAGAACTGGCATCCCTATAGCAGTCAGCCTGGGTTCTCCAGATGTATTAGTCCGTTTTCATGCTGCTGATAAAGACATACCTGAGACTGGGAAGAAAAATAGGTTTAATGGACTCACAGTTCCACATGGCTAGGGAGGCCTCACAGTCATGGCAGAAGGCGAAAGATGCTTCTCACATGGTGGCAGCGAGAGAGAAGGAAAGCCAAGGGAAAAGCGTTTCCCCTCAGAAACCATCAGCTCTCAAGAAACTTATTCACTATCACAAGAACAGTATGGTGGAAACTGCCCCCATGACTCAGTTATCTCCCACTGCGACTGTACCACAACATGAGGGAATTATGGGAGTCAAAATTCAAGATGACATTTGTCGGGGGCACAGAGCCAAACCACAATACCAGGGTAGGGATGAATGTGATGTAGGAGAAGAAAATAGAAAAAGAGACAAATGGCAAGGTAATTTCCACTTTTATGTTTAGTATGACTGGGGCCAAAAACATTAAAAATCCCAAGTAAATTCTGAACCAGAGATAATGTCAACAAAATCACTAATATTAACAGTTTTATGTGGAAAGATTAGGTTATATTCAAATGATAACAGTGAGTTCTTTAAAAAAATTTTTTCTCTCAACAGAGTGACACACACTGTATAATCAGGAGCTCAAAGTCAGAAATTTAGATTAAATCTATCTCCTCATAATTGATATTCCCTCTTCCTGCCTCTGTCTAAACACTGAGAGAGGCTAACTCCAAAAATAATTAGATAACAAACACTAAAAAACACTTAACAAAATAAGATATGCATCATATTTACTATGTCTCAAGTAGACCAAAAATTTAAGAATAATTTTTAAAAACATGTAGGGAATTTTGGCTGGGAGAAATGAGTTCTCCATAAAATAATAGTCAATCGCTTTTAAGGCTGGAATGTCCTCATTCAATGTACCTCATAGACATATCCTTGTAGGCACAGCAGATGTTCTGAGACCAAAAGGGGAAATTATCTAATTATTTTAAGAAAAGGGAAGTTGTGGTAGGCATAATAATGGCCTACCCATAATAACAGCTCTGCTGAAAAGTCCACATCCTAATTCCTGGAACCTATGAATGTATTATGTTGCATGGCAATGGAACTAAAGTTACAAAAGCAATTAATGTTGCTAACCAGCTGGCTTTGAGATGGAGAGACTCACCCGGATTATTCAAGTAAACCCAATCTAATCACATGAGCCCTGAAAAGCAGAGGACCTCTCCTTGCTCTGGTAAGAGAGAGATAAGCCTATGAAAAAAGGGTCAGAGGGATAAGATTTGTATGGTTTGGCTGCATCTCCACCCAAATCTCATCATGAATTGTAGTTCTCATAATCCCTACATATCATGGGAGGGACCTGGTGGGAGGTAACTGAATCATGGGGTGGATACCTCCATGCTGTTCTCATGATAGTGAGTGAGTTCTCAGGAGATCTGATGATTTTATAAGGCCCTTCCAACCCTGCCTTTGCTCTGCACTTCTACTTGCAGCCACCATCTGAAGAAGGACATTTTTGCTTCCTGAGGCCTCCCCAGCCATGCTGAACTGTGAGTCAGTTCAAACTCCTTTCTTTATAAATTACCCAGTTTCAGGTATGTCTTTATTAGCAGCATGAGAACAGATTAATAGAAAATTGGTACCAGGTAGGGGTACTGCTGTAAAGATACCTGAAAATGTGGAAGCAACTTTGGAACTGGGTAACAGGCAGAGGTTAGAATAGTTTGGAGGGCTCAAAAGAAGACAGAATAATGTGGGAAAGTTGGAAACTTCCTAGAGATTTAGAGGGCTCAGAAGAAAACAGAAAAATGTGGGAAAGTTTGGAACTTCCCAGAGACTTGTTGAATGGCTTTGACCTAAATGTTGATAGCGATATGGACAATAAAGTCAAGGCAGAGGTGGTCTCAGATGGAGATGAGGAAATTGTTGGGAACTGGAGCAAAGGCGACCCTTGTTATGCTTTAACAAAGTGACTGGTGGCATTTTGCCTATGCCCTAGAGATCTGTGGAACTTTGAACTTGAGAGAGATGATTTAGGGTATCTGGCAGAAGAAATTTCTAAGTGGCAAAGCATTCAAGAGTAAGCAGAGCATAAAAGTTTGGAAAATTTGCAGCCTAACAATATGATAGAAGAGAAAACCCCATTTTCTGGAGACAAATTCAAGCAGGCTGCAGAAATTTGCATAAGTAATGAGGAGCCATATATAAATCACCAAGACAAGGGGGAAAATGTCTCCAGGGCATCTTAGAGATTCTTTGTGACAGCCTGTCGTATCACAGGCCCAGAGGCTTAGGGGGAAAAACAGTTTCATAGGCCAGGCCTAGGGTCCCCCTGCTGTATGCAGCCTAGGGACTTTGTGCCCTGCATCCCAGCTACTCCATCCATGACTAAAAGGGGCCAAGGTACAATTTAGGTCATGGCTTCAAAGGGTGCAAGCCCCAAACCTTGGCAGCTTTCATGTAGCATTGAGCTGGTGGGTAAACAGAAGTCAAGAAATGAGGTTTGGGAACCTCCACCTTGATTTGAAAGGGTGTATGCAAATGCCTGGATGTCCACGCAGAAGTTTGCTGCAGGGGTAGAACCCTCATGGAGAACCTCTGCTAAGGCAACGTGGAAAAGGAATGTAGGGGTCAGAGCCCCCACAGAGTCCCCACTGGGGCACTGCCTAGTGGAGCTGTGAGAAGAGGGTTACCATCCTCCAGAGCCCAGAAGGATAGATCCACAGACAGCTTGCACTGTGCACCTAGAAAAGCCAGAGACACTCAATGCCAGCCCATGAAAGCAGCCAGAAGGGGACTCTACCCTGCAAAGCCACAGAAGCAGAGCTGTCCAAGGCCATGGGGGCCCACCTCTTGCATCAGCATGACATGGATGTCAGACGTGGAGTCACAGGAGATCATTTTAGAGCTTTAAGGTTTAATGACTTCTATATTGAATTTTAGACTTGTATGGGGCCTGTAGCCCCTTTGTTTTGGCCAATTTCTCCCATTTCAAATGGGTATATTTACCCAATGCCTGTACTCCCATTGTATCTATGAAGTAACTAACTTGCTTTTGATCTTACAGACTCATAGGCAGAAGGGTCTTGCCTGGTCTCAGATGAGACTTTGGACTGTGGACTTTTGAGTTAATGCTGGAATGACTTAAGACTTTGGGGGACTGTTGAAAGGGCATGATTGTGTTTTGAAATGTGAGGACATGAGATTTGGAAGGGGCCAGGGGCAGTATGATATGGTTTGGCTATTTCCCCACCCAAATCTCATCCTGAACTCTAGTTACCATAATCTCCATGTGTTTGGGAGGGTCCTGATGGGAGGTAATTGAATCATGGGGGCTGTTACCTCCATGCCATTCTCATGATAGTGAGTGAGTTCTCAGGAGATCTGATGGTTTTATAAGGGGCTTCCCCCCAACTTTTCTCTAGACTTCTACTTGCTGCCACCACATGAATAAAGACATGTTTGCTTCCTGAGGCCTCCCCAGCCATGCTGAACTGTGAGTCAATTAAACCTCTTTCCTTTATAAATTACCCAGTGTCAGGTATATCTTTATTAGCAGTGTGAGGACAGACTAATACAGTGATGTTGCTGGCTTTGAAGGTGGAAGAAGGGGCCACAACCCAAGGAATGTGGGTGGCCTCTAGAAATTGGAATAGGAAACAGATTTTCTCCTAAAGCCTTCAGAAAAAAACATGGACTTGGAACTGGCAACACCTTGATGTTATCCCAGATAATAGGATTTTAGCCTGAGAATGGAATTGAATTTCTGACCTTCAGAACTATAAGATAATAAATTTGTATTGTTTAATCGACCTACTATGTAAGTTGTTATGGTAGCAATTGAAAATCATAACAGAGAGATATGATGTAGGATATAGCCCATTTCTAGAAAGGTTCTGAGTAATTCTATAAATCAGGATACACTCTTAAAAATCACAGAAATTTAAAATCAAACAATGTAGGAAGGGAAAAGTAACATTCCTTTTAATTCATACTACAAAAAAAATTGATTTGGTTCAGATTTAGGTCTCCAAGCTAACTAGTAAAAATGGAAATCAGCCAAAGGGAAAAAAAAAAAAGAGGCAAACAGCAAAGGAAGAAAAATGTAAATAAAAGAATAATCCATGATATTATTTGGTGGTAACTGTAATTTATTGCTTTTTTCTTGCTTTCCCCCTCTCATTTGCTTTGGTTCTCTTTTATTCTCTTTTATTATAATACTTTCTCTCTATCCTCTCTTATTTAAATCACATATAGCAGAGAATTAAACATTTTTGTTGTATGTTACATTGATCAGATAGGGTCCTACATTTCCTATTCTTAATTTTTAAAATGAATGATTGAGTTTGTATTCCTTTTCATGTATGTACTTTATTCATTATTTTCTGGGAGTCAAGGTTCCTTATGCTCATGTGGATAATTCCTAAGTGAAATCAAGACTAAGTGCAAGTGGGCATCAGGTGGAATAACCATAGGCTGCTTCTACCCAAAACAATTTGAGTGTTAACTTATTTGTAATTTTCAGAGAACTGAAGGCTTCAGTTTTCCAAGATGAATCTGTTAACTAACTTGCCTGGAAATCTTTCAACTAAATGTTCTCAAAAAAGAAAATACTCTGAATGAAACAGGAGACACTGAAAACCTTTCCTTCCCACCACCAACCCCCACAAGCAGAAAGCTACCCAGGCTCAGTGAGTTGCCCATCAGCTGTGTTCCCAGGTCTCAGTTGCATTGCCATCTTTTCAGATCAGTTCTATCAATACCAGATGTACCATCCGGATACATGCTCATTAGTCATATGTTTTAAAACGAGCCCAGTTCTCACACCCACCCAATGGTGGGAACGGAAATGATTACTCTGGGCACCATGACGGTGTGACTGTGAAAGCAACTGTTTGGTGTTAACTGATTTGCATATTGGTGGAGAACTCCCAGAGTCCTGTTTTGGGGTAGTCTTTCCTGTTTCTGCAGTTCTACATACAGTGCTGCTTCTCGGGGATGGAGGCTAGATATCGAAGCCGTTTCAACCCACCCTGTTTAAGGGAGCAGTGCCTCTCATCACTCTGTCTCAATCTAATCACATGAACCCTTAAAAGCAAAGGGAGCAGCTACTCTGGAAGCTTCAGTGCCACAGGTAATGCATTCAGAGCCCAGGACTAAATCTGAGGGTCCACTAAACTCTAAAAAACAGATGAAAATAATCTAATAGAAAAACATTCCTATAGCCTCATGATAGAAAAACGTGAAGTCTCTTTTCTCTACTTCTACCCAGTAGGCAAGCAGTGATTTTATCCTCCAGACATATCATATCCCCTGGAAAGAAGGAAGCTATTTGTTTCTGAAGTCTACAGTCATGGGAATAAGCAGTTAAAAATGTGGGTTTTTCCAATTTCAAGGTGAGAAGGCTTTTGTAAAGACATGGAGAATTAAAATCAAAGTAGGTTCTTCCAGTGGCAGAGACCAGTGCCCTCTCCCCCACCCAGTACTCCAGGAGATGCTAAGATTTTCTCATGAAGCTGGGAGGTGGATTTACGGGGAC